>NC_000003.12:65767575-66070606 GCF_000001405.40 Homo sapiens | reverse complement strand
CCACTGGGCCTGGCCAGGTGGTAAGTTATAAAGCATAGATCCACTAGACTTTCTGAATCAGAATCTATAGGGGTAGAGCCCAGGCACCTATTTTTTGTTTTTAACATAAAAATGTTTATATTGGTCACATATGCAGAAGCAAAACAGAAGATTATAAGGGGTATTAATGAACAGAATCATGTGATTAGTTTTGTTTTTTCTGCTAGGTGATATCTTTTTTTAAAATTTCAATAACTTTAGTGGTACAAGTGGTTTTGGGTTACATGGATAAACTGTATAGTGGTGAAGTCTGGGCTTTCAGTATACCCCTCACCAGAGCAGTGTACCCTATACCCAAGAGGTAATTTTTAATCCCTCACCCCTTCTAACCCTCCCCTGGCACCTATATTTTTAACAACCTTCCCAAGGGTTCAGTTTATGGACCTGCTTTTGGGAACCACTGCTGTAAATCATGGGTTGAGGAGGGAATATGAATTAAACTAAAGGTATGGAGGCCAGCTAGGAGGTGAGAGATTGGGACACAGTGAACCAGGCTAGGAGGTTGTAGTAGGCTCAAAAATAACCCCCATGGATGGCCATGTCTTAACCCTTGAACCTGTGAATGTTACTTTACATGGCAAAAAGACTTTATAGATGTGATTAAGTTAAGGCTCTTGAGATGGGGAAATTATCCTGAAGTATCTGGGTGGGCCCAAGATGTAATTACAATTGCCCTTATAAGATGGAAGCAGAGTGAGATTTAACTGTAGGAGAGGAAATAGGTCATGTGACTGCGGAAGCAAAGAGAGAAAAAGTGATGTAGTAGAAGGAAGGGGCCACAAGCCAAGGAATGTAGGTGACTTCTAGGAACTAGAAAAGACACGAGGCCCAGGTGCGGTGGCTCACGCCTGTAATCCCAGCACTTTGGGAGGCCGAGGTGGGCGGATCTTGAGGTCAGGAGTTTGAGACCAGCCTGACCAACATGATGAAACCCCATCCCTACTAAAAATAACAAAAATTAGCTGGGCGTGGTGTCGCAAGTGCCTGTAATCCCAGCTACTCAGGAGGCTGAGGCAGGAGAATCGCTTGAACCCAGGAGGTGGAGGTTGCAGTGAGCGGAGATCACGCCATTGCACTCCAGCCTGGGTGATAGAGCGAGACTCAGTCTCAAAAAAAAAAAAAAAGAAAAAGAAAAAGAAAAAAAGAAAAGAAAAGATACAGAAATGGATTCTCCCTTAGAGCCCCCAGAAGGAATCAGCTTTGCTGACACCTTGATGTTAGACTTGTAAGACTCATTTCAGATTTCTGGCCACCCAAACTGTGGGAGGATACATTTGTGTTGTGTGAAACCACAAAGTTTGTGGTTATTTTTTATAGCAGCCATAGTAAACAAATACAAAGGGAAAACCAAAAAACCTAATACAGACGTAGTAGGAGGAAAACCATTAAAATTTAGCAATTGATAGGGTCTATTTAGGTTAAGAGAGAGGAGGAATCAAGAATGAGCCTAGATTTCTAATCATAGATGGCTGCTGTCATATCAATAACAGGAGGAAGGAAAGAATATAATTAGTTGTTTGGCCAGGTGCGGTGGCTCACAGCTGTAATCCCAGCACTTTGGGAGGCCGAGGTGGGCAGATCATTTGAGGCCAGGAGTTCAAGACCAGCCTGGCCAACATGGTGAAACCCTGTCTCTACTAAACATACAACAATTAGCTAGCGTAGTAGCGCATGCCTGTAATCCCAGCTACTCAGGAGGCTGAGGCAGGGGAATCACTTAAACTGGGATGCAGAAGTTGCAGTGAGCTGAGATCATGCCACTGCACTCCAGCCTGGGTGACAGAGCAAGACTCCACCTCAAAAAAAAAAAAAAAAAGAATATAATTAGTTGTTTGGATGGTTGCTAGTATGATGCACAGGTAAAGAGGGCCAGCAGACATTTGGATATGCAGGGCTGAAGTTTTGATTCTGTCATTTGCAAAATGGACAAAATAAAATATTCTTGTCTAATGGTTGTGAAGACTAAAGGTAATACATTCAGAAGTCTAGCATGAATAGGTATTCAAGTGTTAGGGGAAATATCTTTACCACAATATGGTTCCAGGATCTGGGATTTGTTGTCCATCCCAAGGCATGGGATGAGACTCTGCCCCTAATCCCTACCCTCTTCCCATCAGCCTATTTGGCAGAATGCAAAATAGTAGCTGGAGCAGTCACTGAAACGGTCATTAACACCAGCTAAGACTTTGTGGATTGCAGATTCAGCGCCTGTGGAAAGTAACTCTATTGACCATAGAAGAAGACACGGGCTAATGCAGCTGGTCAATATTTTCTAATCGAGTAAAGCCTCATTGAGACAGAGGCTCAGCTGAAGTTTATCTTTTCCTCTTTTTAAAGAGAAAGAGTTTGGGAAGCAAATGAGTTTAACAAGATTTCCAAAGGGAATATTTAAACGGCTTAGAAAACAAAGTGCTTTTAATCACCTTCAAACACTTGAGAAGCACCATTTGCGATCCAAGTGATACTTGAATCGCACACCATTTTTTTTTTTTTTTTTTTTTTGTGAGACGGAGTCTCGCTCCGTCTCCCAGGCTGGAGTGCAGTGGCGCGATCTCGGCTCACTGCAAGCTCCGCCTCCCGGGTTCACGCCATTCTCCTGCCTCAGCCTCCGGAGTAGCTGGGACTACAGGCGCCCGCCACCACGCCCGGCTAATTTCTGTTTGTGTTTTTAGTAGAGATGGGGTTTCGCCGTGTTAGCCAAGATGGCTACTATCTCCTGACCTCGTGATCTGCCCGCTTCAGCCTCCCAAAGTGCTGGGATTACAGGCGTGAGCCACCGCGCCCAGCCAATTGCACACCGTTTCTAACTCTTTATTGCGCAAGTGCTCAGGGCAGACCTGGAAATCATTTTATAGCCCGGTTCTTTTTCCTGAAAATCATGAAACTGTTTCCTTTAAAATGTGTCTTCATTCCTTACCTTCCACTAATTCTGACTGGCTTTTCTCTAATAAGGAATCAGGCTAAGTTTTGATGGATGTTTTTCCTCCACCATGTCAAACAAAAACCCAGTTCTCAATAACATCTTCTTCCTCATGTCCATATCAAAGCCATTACCGAGACCTAACCATTTCCCTCCATTTCCTTATACTTTCACCTTCAAAATTCTAGTCCCAGCTTCCATCATCTCTTAGCTAGACAGCTGCAACAGGTCCTTCTGTGGTTTCCTGAATCCTTTCTAGTGCCCTTCCAATTCTCCATCCTGACAACAGAGACTGATCCCAAACAAAGTGTAGCATCTGAAGTCGGACTGAATAGGATCGCTAGCTGTGGGGGCTTTAGCTCACAAGTAATCTTAATGAGGCTCATTATCTTCCTCTACAAAACAGGATAATAGCAGTAACTGCTTCTGAGGTTTGAGGTAAGGATTAGGTGAGTGAAGTGCTTCTCATAGTGCCTGCAAATAGCAACTACTCAGCAAATATTCGGTGTGGTTACTGCTACCAGCCTATCAGGACAATCTCACTTGTTATTATAAACATGCACATGTTTATTATAAAACACTCATTCATCTGTTTATATAGGTGAAGTGCCAAATGGCTCAGGACTTTTCTTTCCCATAATTTTTGAGGCAAGCAATAATTAGAAAATGCATATGATTTAAATGAAACCAATCATACTTCTGAACAGTAAATTATACACATTATATAAAAGGAATATAAAAAATATGGGTAGATAGACAGTTTTATGGTTCTCCCCTTAAATAAGTTAACAAAATTCCTTTCATGCTCCTCCCAGTCTCTTCTCCCAAAAAAAAAAAAAAAGGATTTTTTTTTTTTTTTGAGATGGAGTCTCGCCCTGTCGCCGAGGCTGGAGTGCAGTGGCGCGATCTTGGCCCACTGCAACCTTTGCCTCCTGGGTTCAACTGATTTTCCTGCCTCAGCCTCCTGAGTAGCTAGGATTACAGGCGCCCGCCACCATGCTCGGCTAATTTTTGAATTTTTAGTAGAGTTTGAGTTTTGCCATATTGGCCAGGCTGGTCTCAAACTCCTGACCTCAGGTGATTCAGCCATCTCAGCCTCCCAAAGTGCTGGGATTACAGGCGTGAGCCACCCCACCCAACCAACAAAAAAAAAAAAAAAAAAGGATTTTTAAAGAAATAAAAATCAAGTAGCCAGAGTGGGCTATTAAGTATTCAGAGGGGCACTTTATCAGAATATGAAGAAATAATTAAATCCTTAGCTGACCAAATATAAACCATGAAAAGTCAGAAAGTAATGCTGCCCCCAAATTCTCCTCCATTGGCAACTCTTCCTAAGCACCAAAGTGTGTTTTCTGTCAGGTGATTCCTTTTATCTTAGGAGCCCCTCTAATCACTCAGAATGTGCTCTGCATTGGGTAATTCAAAAGCAAAATCTCTCACAACCGAATTTTTCAGGAAAAGCTCATTAACTCAATGTGAGGGAAGCATTCCCTGAAGCAATGAAAATAATATTTTTAAATGAAATGCCGTTTTCTTACTTTTAAAGGACCCAGGGCTGGAGTTAGAACTTCAAAAGGCTCTAAAGACTGACGAGGTTCTGATGGCCATGCCCATACCCTACTTGGTATTTCAAAATAAAATCCCCCTTATGGCCAGGCTCGGTGGGATTATGAGTGGCTCACACCTGTAATCCTAGCACTTTGGGAGGCCGAGAAGTGTGGATCATTTGAGGTCAGGAGTTCGAGACGAGCCTGGCCAACATGGTGAAACCCCCATCTCTACTAAAAATACAAATATTAGCCAGGCACGGTCGTGCATGCCAGTAGTCCCAGCTACTAGGGAGGCTGAGGCAGGAGAATCACTTCAACCTGGTAGGTGGAGGTTGCAATGAGCTGAGATCACACCACTGCACTCCAACCTGGCTGACTGAGTGAGACTCTGTCTCAAAAAACAAACAAACAACAAAAACAATTAAAAAAAACCTAAAGTAAAATAAAAGCTGCCTGAAAAGAAGGCCAAAGTTGTAGTTTTCCCGCCAATACTACATCATTGATTTTCTTGAAACAACATATATTTAATTCTTTCTTTTTTTTATTTTTGTCGATGTGCTTTCAGGAAAGTGTGTGTGTGTGTGTGTGTGTGTGCGCGCGCGCGCGTGTGTGTGTGTGAAATTGCTTTGCTGGTAACTAAGTACATGTTCAATGTGCCTACCAAGGGCTGTAAGGCAAGAACTGTAAGGACAAGGGCCTGCATATGCACATCAAACTAGTCTGGCACAGAGTGATCTAGCAAAGGTGGAATTTAGAGGCCTGGGCTCAAATCCCAGCTGAATCACTTACCAGCTGTCTGATCTTGGGCTAGTTACTCTCTCTGAGCATCAACTACCTTGTTTGTTGTTGAAACACTGATGTGTGGCGATTACAGCAGGTACACAGAAACACAGTAAGGGTCCCCTAAATGGTAACTAAATAACAGTATACAGCGATTTGCCATTAACCAACCACTTATATGTAAATAAAGCCTAAGCAAAGCACTATTGATTTCCTTAAGTAGACTAGCCTGGCACCCTTACAAATGCTTAGTTTTTCACAATTCTCTTAGCATATTTAGAGGACAAAGAATTGCTCAAAAACTCCACAAATTTTAATTTAGCAGAATCGAAGTTAATGAGTTTTCGGTATCCTAAAATGTAGAGAGAAGGAATGAAAAGAGAAGGGAAGAAAATTATATTTAAAATGACCTAAGGAAAAAATACAACAGAATACATACGATGTCAGAGGATTTTAAGCATTTGGAGAGTAAACAAAATGTTATTTCCAGGAGTATGTTTATTTTATTTTATTTTATTTTGAGACGGAGTCTCGCTCTGTTGCCAGGCTGGAATGCAGTGGCACAATCTTGGCTCACTGCAACCTCCGCCTCTCAGGTTCAAGTGATTCTCCTGCCTCACCTTCCCAAGAAGCTAGGATTACAGCCGTGCCACCACGCCCAGCTAATATTTTGGTAATTTTTTTGGTAGAGATGGGGTTTCACTGTGTTGGCCAGGCTGGTCTCAAACTCCTGGCCTCAAGTGCTCTGCCTGCCTCGGCCTCCCAAAGTATTGGGATTACAGGAGTGAGCCACTGTGCCCTGCCTGCAGGAGAATGTTTAATGTCTGCTGGGAAGACCTACTTTTCTGAGAATATGAAGGCTTTCAATGCCTGCTCAATTATTTTGTGTCTTGTCACAAGACGCAAAGGATATCCTTGTTCTTAGGAAATACACACTAAAAATAATAATATTTAATACTGAGGATGATTTTTTTAAAAAAGGAAGCTGGGTGCAGCAGTTTATGCCTGTAATCCCAACACTATGGGACACCAAGCTTCCAGGAGGAATGATTGAGCCCAGGAGTTTGAGACCAGCCTGAGCAACATAGCAAGACCCGTCTCTGTTAAAAAATTTAAAAATTAGGGAGGCGTGGTGGTGCATGTGCCTATAGTACCAGCCACTCAGGAGGCTGAGGCAGGAGGATCACTTGAGCCCAGGAGTTACAGCGAGCTATGATGGTGCCACTGCACTCCAGCCGGGGAGAAAGTCTCTTAAAAAAACAAAAACAAAACAAAAAACAAAAAAACAAAAAAAACCCTCCTATAAATCAGTAATAAAAAGACAAATAATCCTGTAAGAAAATGTGGAAGACTTAATGAACACTAGAAAATACACCAAAAGTAAATAACCATTTCAAAAAGATTGAGACCTTGTCTCTAAAAGAAAGGAAAACATGGCTCACGCCTGTAATCCCAGCACTTTGGGAGGCCGAGGTGGGTGGATCATGAGGTCAGGAGATCGAGACCATCCTGGCTAACAAGGTGAAACCCCGTCTCTACTAAAAATACAAAAAATTAGCCGGGCGCGGTGGCGGGCGCCTGTAGTCCCAGCTACTCGGGAGGCTGAGGCAGGAGAATGGCGTGAACCCGGGAAGCGGAGCTTGCAGTGAGCCGAGATTGCGCCACTGCAGTCCGCAGTCCGGCCTGGGCGACAGAGCGAGACTCCGTCTCAAAAAAAAAAAAAAAAAAAAAAAAAAGAAAGGAAAACAAGAGATGCTGTCATTTAACACATCTGAGGACACTTCCTCACCCCTGGGGTAGTCATTCATTCAACAATCTACTGTCAGCCCTTGTATTAGATACTGAGGATAAAATGACCAAGATTCATGTGTGCCCCTCACTCACAGGGAGCATAGAGTTGGTGATGGGAGGGAGAAAAAGTGTACCCTTGAGGACATTTATTGAGACGTACCTATGTGCCAGGCACTGCTTTAAAACATTATATATGTGGCCGGGCACAGTGGCTCATGCCTGTAATCTCAGCACTTTGGGAGGCCGAGGCGGGTGGATCACCTGAACTCAGGAGTTCAAGACCAGCCTGACCAACATGGTGAAACCCTGTCTCTACTAAAAATACAAAAATTAGCCAGGCGTAGTGGCGGGTGCCTGTAATCCAAGTTACACGGAAGACTGAGGCAGGAGAATCACTTGAACCCAGGAGGTGGAGGTGGTAGTGAGCCAAGATCGCACCATTGTGCTCCAGCCTGGGCAACAAGATCAAAACTCCATCCCCCCCGACAAAAAAAAATCATATATACAAGTGGATTTATTATGGACTTCAGTGACAGTACTGAGTCAAAAGCTATGTAATTCTCATCTCTCCTTTTCTTACAAAGTTACCATTGAAAACTGTTAACTGAAAAATGGCAACAACCATTAAATTTAGGTTTCTTGAAAAAAAGTCTATGTAAGCCATTTTAAAATAGGTTTGTGTTCTTCAGAAATGTCATTATCATGAAAGACAAAGAAAGGCTGAGGAACTGATCAAAATCAAAGGAGGCATAATTATTAAATGTAACATGCAACCTTGGTCTGGATTCTGTACTGAAGAAAAAAAATGCAACAAAAGTTCTTTTTGGGTCAATTGACAAAATTGGAGGATAGATGGTAGATTCAATAAAAATATTGATCAATATTTAATTACCTGCAGCCGGGCGCAGTAGCTCACGCCTGTAATCCCAGCACTTTGGGAGACCTAGGCAGGCAGATCACAAGGTCAAGAGATTGAGACCATCCTGGCCAACATGGTGAAACCCTGTCTCTACTAAAAATGCAAAAATTAGCTGGGCATGGTGGCATGTGCCTGTAGTCCCAGCTACTCGGGAGGCTGAGGAAGGAGAATCGCTTAAACCCAGGAGACGTAGGTTGCGGTGAGCCAAGATTATGCCATTGCACTCCAGCCTGGGTGACAAGAATGAAACTCCATCTCAAAAAAAAAAAAAAAAAAAAGAAAGTTTTGCATATGACAAATGACAAAGTAAATAGGCAGACGTTAACAGTTTGTGAATCTATGAAAAAGGGATGTGAGAGTTTTTTAATACTATTCTTATAATTTTTCTTGACACTTGTAATGATTTATGAAAAGAAGTTTAAAAATTACATACATATAAAAAACAGCATTCCTAATAGCACAAAGGTAGGAATGAAAATTCCGAGCACACACCCTCTGCAGCTGGGTATCATTAAGAATGATGTCCCATTGTGACCAAATATTAAAAGTTTGATCCGCCATGGTGAATTTCCATGAATTTGGGCAATAAAATGAAACATTCTCCCAGTCTAGGGTTTTATTATCATTCCCCTGGGAATGTATACTTGGTCAGATATTCTTTATTTTGGCACCAGGTCACCCGCCATTCCAGAATGTGTTTTGAAGTCAATTCATCTCTTAGGCCATCCAAATATTGAAAATGTCATTAAAATATAAGGTAAAACTGAACAGGTTTTTATCCTGAAATTCCCCCAGTCCATTCCTATTTCTCTTCATCATTGGGGAATTTTTGCTTGTAATCTGAAGTCCCTAATGAGCTTAGACTCTTGATTGGTCAAACATAACTTTGCCCCGATTTAAAGTTTTTTCCTCATTTAACAATGTGATTTATATGCTAACTTACACATATCTCAGGAGGTGAAGGATTCAAATACCAGCCATGACTTGGGACTTTAAAAGAAATAACTTTGTGTAGGCTCAGTTATACATGGAGAGAAAATTCTTACCTCATGGAGATGATGTAAGAGACAATTATCATTTGCAAAACGTCTCAAGGTCTTAAGATGAAAGGGGTCATTTGGGTGTATCAGACTGTCATTTTTATTATGGGTTCTCTCACATTTCTTTGATATTATACAGAGCACAATCATTTTAGCCTGTTTCCTCAGAAGTCTATGAAGGTGGTTGCCTCATTTTGCCCATTAAACAAATGAATTTACTTTCCCTTGGCTGCAGGAAATGTTCCTATCAATGGAATAAAAAATAAAGAAACTCATAGGCCTAGCCATGTTGCTTCTCCTTTATTTTCACTGGGTGACTAACTTAGCTATTTTATTTTCAATTATTGTTTGGCTTTATTTTTTATAAGAGATGAGGCCTCGGTCTGTTCTGAGGCTGGAGCACAGTGGCCATTCAGAGGCACAATCATGGCACGCTACAGCCTTGAACTCCTGGGTTCTGGATCCTCCTGCCTCAGCCTCCCAAGTAGCTGGGTCTACAGGGGTGCACCCCCATGCCTGGCTTGTTTTACTCAATTTTTGTCATGTTATTGTTTCAGTTTAATTTCATTAAACAAACTAATTTTACCTTAGTATGTTTGAATCATAAGCACATGGCCAAATAAATTCCACCAATAGTTATTCAGCACCTACCATGTGTTAGGCACAGAGAGAAAACGGATAGACAAATAGACTCAGTCACTGATCTCATGAAGCTCAGAGTCCAGTCAAGGAGAAACAAGAGAAACAATCACACGATTAAGTATTTAATTTTATTTTTCTGTTTTTATTTTTAAATGTTTTTAGATGGAGTCTTGCTCTCTTGCCCAGGCTGGAGTACAGTGGCCCGATCTCAGTTCACTGCAACCTCCGCCTCCTCAATTCAAACTTTTCTCCTGCCTCAGCCTCCCAAGTAACTGGGATTATTGGTGTGTGTCACCATGCCTGGCTAATTTTTTGTGTTTTTAGTAGAGATGGGGTTTCACCATGTTGGCCAGACTGGTCTTGAACTACTAACCTCAAGTGATCCGCCTGCCTTGGCCTCCCAAAGTGCTGGGATTACAGGCGTAAGCCACTGCACCCAGCCAAATACTTCATTTTAAAGTTTGGCAAAGGCATAAACAGAAAGTAAAGAATGAGACAAGGGATTATAAAGATGGGCTTGATGTAAATCAATTTCTAATAGATCTTTCCAGTTCTGGTTGTAATGAATGTGATCACAGATTTTTCTCATAGGTCAGTTATTTTAATAACACATTAATTTGTCAGAAACCATGCATCTAGGCCACAGGAAGAGTTCAGAATCATTTTCTTATCAATGCTTCTTATTTTCTCAGAGTTTTAATATTTTTGAGGATTACATGATGAAATGGAATATTGCAACTGTAGAAAAAAATGGCAAATACTGAGCCAAAATTGGTTCTTACATACTTGTTGGTAAAAATCAAGAGGAAATTAAATATTTTTTAAAAGCACAAAATAAACAATATTGTAGCAATGAATTAAGGAACAAACTATAGGACTCACTTCCATTCCTGAGATAACATCTAGTTAGTTATTAAATGCTTTCTATCTCTATAGAGTAAAGGCTCAATAAATGATACATTTGTTGGGCTCATACTGCCTTTTTCACTTAAAAGTATTGAATAATCTTGCATAGAAATGACCCCCTTCTGGTACACATCCAAGATTGAGTACTGAAATAACTGTAAAACTCTCATAGGCAGTCTCTTAAGTACAGTTACACATCGCTTAACGAGGGGGTCATGTTCTGAGAAATGTACAGGTAGCAGATTTCCTCATTTTTTGCACACCGCAGAGTACACTCACAAAAACCTAAATGGAACAGCCTACTACACACCTAGGTTTTATGGGATAGCCTGTTGTTCCCAGGCTGCAAACCTGTGCACCATGTTACTGTGCTGAGCACTCTGGGCAATTGCAACAGAATGGTAAGTATCTGTGTATCCAAACATATCTAAATATAGAAAATGGGCCAGGCCTGGTAGCTCACGCCTGTAACCCCAGCACTTTGGGAGACTGAGAGAGGAGGATCCCTTGAGCCCAGGAGTTTGAGACCAGACTAAGCAACATAATGAGGTTCTTGTCTTGATGAATTTTTTTTAAAAAAACTAGCTGGGCGTGGAGGTGCACACCTGTGGTTCCAGCTACTTGGGAGGCTGAGTTAGGAGGATTGCTTAAGCCCGTGAGGTGGAGGTTGCAGTGAGCCATGATCACACCACTGCACTCCAGTATAGGAAACAGTAAGACCCTGTCTCGAAAGAAAGAAAGAAAGAAAGGAAAGAAAGAAAGATGAAAGAAAGAAAGAAAGAAAGAAAGAAAGAAAGAAAGAAAGAAAGAAAGAAAGAAAATGTATAGTAAAAATACAGTACTAAAATCGAATGGGACCAATGTTGTATATGCAATTTGTCACTGACTGAAACATTGTTATGTGTTGCGTGGCTTGTGTTAATAGGTCTAAATAACCACAGAGGACTAGACATTCATTGGACCTATCACCTGCTTCTTAAATAAGCATGTGATATTAGGCCCTGGAGGTAACAATCAGCACTTAAAATACTCCCTGGCACATACTGACTGCCCCAAAATATTTGTTGATAAATGAATGGATGGATCAATGAATGAGAAAAAGAAATCTATCTATTTGTAGGAGAAAAGAGGGTTATATGCCAAAAACTAAGCAACCAAACCCAGTTTTTGAATTCTTCTACTCAGCATCTCAAATTTAAAACTTTTGGTTCAACAGCCTGTGTTTACATAGGCTATTGTTTAGAAGAGTTGATACAGCTTTCAAACAAAGCAGCATGTACAACACTTGTTGCAGCTTTGTATATGGTAGCTAAAGGTTACAGCCTGTAATCCCAGCACTTTGCGAGGCCAAAGTGTGAGGACTGTTTGAGGCCAGGAGTTCAAAACCAGCCTGGGCAACATAGCAAGACCCTGTCTCTATAAAAATCTTTCAAAATTAGCTGGGTGTGGTGGTGCGTGTCTGTAGTCCTAGCTACTTGGGAGGCTGAGGCAGGAGGATCTCTTGAGCCCAGGAGTTCCTGTTACAGTGAGCTGTGATTGCACCACTGCACTCCAGCCTGTGTTACAGAGCAAGACCCTATCTCAAAAAAAAAAAAAGTTAACAACCTAAATGACTCCCTGTAGGAGCTTGGTTAAATAAATTACAGAACCAAAAAATGAAATAGTTTGCAGCTGTTTAATAATTTTAAGTACACTTCCTCAGATACCTGAGAAGGTATTTGTTGCTGTTGCTTCATTTCACTGATTAAACAAATTCCCCCCACCACCCATTTACAGGTAGGGTTCATAGCAATAAAATGAAGAATGAAAAATTTTGGTCATGTTGCCCTGTTTAAGAAGCAGCTTAAATATTTTCTGATGCGGAACAACCTCTAAGATACATTTCTGAGCAAAAATAGCAACGGTAATATAGTACCATTTGTGTAAATTAAAGGGAAGATCTATGCACAGAATATCTTAGAAAGTACACACAAGGAAATGTGCAACAACTAAACTGTTGCCTTTGGAGAGAGGAACTGAGATGAGTAGGATGGATACCCTCTTCTCACTGTATACCTCTTTGTATGGTTGGCATTTTTCTAAAAAAACACACATATTTTTACTTAGTCAAAATTTCATTTTTATATTTAAGGGATAAACTCTTGGAAGATTTCACTTAAAAACAAAACAACTTAAAAGAAGATGGATCTTGGAGCAATTCCACCCTCATTCTGATATTCTATAGATGCTGCTGTATTTTTAGAGTGCACAGAACTGTTTCTGGATTTCTATCACCCTTACCAGCTAGGACAATTTGGATACCAGTTACAGAAGTTCCAATTTAAACAATAAATAGAATCTAGGGCCTTACCTAGCAGAAAAGTCTAGAAGCAGAGTATGCTTCACATGTGATTTGATTCCAGGCTTGACCCCTGTTTCTCTTCAATTCTTTCAATCTGGCCTCCTCTAAATTAACACTGTCCCCAGGCTTGGATCCCCTCTTGGTGGCAAAAAAAAAAAAAAAAAAAAAGTCGCCCCCCACCCCACCAGGCCCTGTACCTACACCATCATCACCAAACTGTGCAGAATGAAGGGTGCCTCTGTCCCTGCATTACAAGTACAACCAACCAGCATATTTTATTTATTTTTATTTTTTGAGACAATCTTGCTCTGATGCCCAGGCTGGAGTGCCGTGGTATAATTTCAGGTGACTGCAACCTCCACCTCCTGGATTGAAGTGATTCTCCTGCCTCAGCCTCCTGAGTAGCTGGGACTACAGGCATGCGCCACCACACCTGGCTAATTTTCGTATTTTTGTAGAGATGGAGTTTTGTCATGTTGGACAAGCTGGTCTCAAACTCCTGGCATCAAGGGATCCACCAGCCTTGGCCCCCCAAAGTACTGGGACTACTTCCCTGTATGTTGCGGGAAGTCAGGAACATGAAACGGAGGGACCGGCTGAAGCCATGGCAGAAGAACGTGGATTGTAAATCTTTCATGGACATTTATTAGTTCCCCAAATTAATACTTTTATAATTTCTTATGCCTGTCTTTACTGCAGTCTCTGAACATGGATTGTGAAGATTTCATGCACACTTATCACTTCCCCAATGGATACCCTTGTCATTTCCTATGCTTGTCTTTACTTTAATCTCTTAATCCTGTCATCTCGTAAGCTGAGGAGGATGTATGTCGCCTCAGGACCCTGTGATGATTGCGTTAACTGCACCAATTGTAGAGCATGTGTGTTTGAACAATATGAAATCTGGGCACCTTGAAAAAAGAAAAGGATAACAGCAATGTTCAGGGAACAAGAGAGATAACCTTAAACTCTGACCGCCGGTGAGCTGGGCGGAACAGAGCCATATTTCTCTTCTTTCAAAAGCAAATGGGAGAAATATCGATGAATTATTTTTCTCAGCAAGGAATATCCCTGAGAAAGAGAATGCGTCCCTGAGGGTGGGCCTCAAAAATGGCCCCCTTGGGTGTGGCCATTTTTTATGGTCAAGCTGTAGGGATGAAATAAGCCCCAGACTCCCATAGCGCTCCCAGGCTTATTAGGACGAGGAAATTCCCGCCTAATAAATTTTTGGTCAGACTGGTTGTCTGCTCTCAAACCCTGTCTCCTGATAAGATGTTATGAATGACAATGCATGCCGAAACTTCATTAGCAATTTTAATTTCGCCCCATCCTGTGGTCCTGTGATCTCGCCCTGCCTCCATTCGTCTTGTGATATTCTATTACCTTGTGAAGCACGTTATCTCTGTGACCCATACCCTATTTGTACACTCCCTCCCCTTTTGAAAATCACTAATAAAAACTTGCCAGTTTTATGGCTCAGGGGGCATCACGGAACCTACCGACATGTGATGTCTCCCCTAGACGCCCAGCTTTAAAATTTCTCTCTTTTGTACTCTGTCCCTTTATTTCTCAAACTGGCCGACACTTAGGGAAAATAGAAAACAACGTACGTGAAATATCAGGGGTGAATTTTGCCTGATATCTGGCTGAATTTCCCCCGATACCTGTAGTTACAGCTACTTGGGAGGCTGAGGCAGAAGAATCACTTGAACCCGGGAGGCGGAGGTTGCAGTGAGCCGAGATCATGCCACTGTACTCCAGCCTGGGTGACAGTGAGACTCCATCTCAAAAAAAAAAAAAAGAAAAAGAAAAAAGAATACTGTTTTACCATGTGGTCATTTCACTTATTAATACAAAGTATTAAATGAGCAAAGGAGCACCCATCTATGATATGCACAATCACCAAGTCAAGATAGAAACCCTGCCCCAACTCAGTATCATGAATGTCCCATTTGGATTCCTTTCCCCCACGGAAGGAGTTCCCCATGGTCCTGGTCAGCTTCTATCTGTGGTTTTGAAATAGAAATCACAGCTTTGAATACTGCCGAATTTGCTGGCCTTTTCTAAACCTGGAATCTGGCAGAACCAACTACTCCCAAAATGCAAGCTGCATTTTCACTATTGAGGCTTTCAGATGGTTATGTCAGATTGTTTGAGTTGTTAGACAGCCAGTCAGCCAGTCAATAAATACAAACTGTGCCCTTTCTGTGTGCCACATTCTGAGTAGGTACTTAGCATGCAGTAGTTAACAAGACAGGGTCCCAGCTGCCCCCCTACCCCTTGCCCAGCTTGGTCCAGCAGGGAAGGCAGACGGCAAACATATTTATTTAAACAGCTACATACAAACTGCAAGAAATCCTGTGTGATTTGTCCCTTGCTCCTGTCTTTCAGCTCCTCAAGGATGCCTCCCCCCTCATTCTCTGCAAGTCAGACACTGGATCTTTTATTTCCTAAAACTAGAGCTGTTTCTTTTCACCCCTGTGAACAAAGACTCTTCCCTCTATAAGGGAAACACCCTTCCAGTACCATATTCTTTTGTTGTTTTTTTGAGACAGTCTAGCTCTGTCAACCAGTTTGGAGTGCAGTGGCAGGATCTTGGCTAACTGCAACCTCTGCCGCCCAAATTCAGGCGATTCTCGTGCCTCAGCCTCCCTGCTAGCTGGGATTACAGGGATTACATCCCATGGCCAGCTAATTTTTGTATTTTTAGTAGATATGGGTTTTACCATGTTGGCGAGGTTGGTCCCAAACTCCTGGCCTGAAGTGTTCCTCCTGCCTCAGCCTCCCAAAGTGCTGGGATTATAGGCATGAGCCACTGTGCCTGGCCTGCAGGAGTATGTTTAATGTCTGCTGGAAAAACCTACTTTTCTGAGAATATGAGGGCTTTCAATGCCTGCTCAATTATTTTGTCTCTTGTCACAAGACACAAAGGATATCCTTGTTCTTAGGAAATACATACTAAAAATAATATTTAATATTGAGGATGATTGGTTAAAAAAAAGGAACCTGGGTGCAGTGGCTTATGCCTGTAATCCCAAAACTATGGGAGGCCTGGCCTCTTCCAGTACCATATTAATCACTTCTTCTTCTCTGGATTTCAGTTGAAACTACATTTCCTAAGGGAATACTTCCCTCAGATTCGATCAGGTGTCTTTATAGTGTCTTCCAGCCATGTCTGCATTTTCCGCTTGGCACACAGTCCCTTTAGAATTAGACATTTATTAGGCAGATATTTGATTACTATCTGTCTCCCCAGCCAGACTCTATGCCCCATGAGGGTAAGAGTATTTGCCTATTGTTTTCCACTTTGCTTTTCCATGCCACACCAAGCAGACTGTCATCTCAGGGCCTTGGTTCTTGCTGATCCTACTGCCCAGAACACTGTCTCCCAGATAGCTACTTGATCCACACTCTCACTGTCTTCAAACCTCTGCTCAGTTCTGAACTTAGCCACGAGGCTTCCCCTTATCACCTTGTACATAACAACAATCCTAACCTTGGGCATCAAAAGTCCCCCTTTCCCCCTCCATAGCACCTATCTTCAGAGACTCTATTTTCTACTTTGTGTATTGCCACAGTAGAATGTAAGCTCCATGAGAAGAACGCCTTTGCCCAATTAGTTAAGGGCTTTTCCCCCACTAGTTCAAAAGTGCCTGACATATCTTAGGTGCTCAATAAATATTTATTGAATTAAAGGACGAATCATTACCTAAGGTGTAGCAAATTGGCACATGATAAGCCTTGCAAATATTTTGGGAATGCCTGCATGAGGACGTACACGTGCTGCTAAAACAAATACAAGACATTTAACCTAGTTGGAGGAGTCACGTAAGGTAGAATGGAATAAGAAAGAGGGGGCTGGGCACAGTGGCTCAAGCCTATAATCCCAGCACTTTGGGAGGCTGAGGCGGGTGGATCACTTGAGACCAAGAGTGCAAGACCAGCCTGACCAACATCGTGAAACCCCATCTCTACTAAAAATACAAATATTAGCCAGGCATGGTGGTGTAGGCCTGTAAACCCAGCTACTCCAGAGGCTGAAGTGGGAGTATCTCCTGGGCTTGAGCCCAGGAGGTGGAGCTTGCAGTGAGCTGAGATCATGCCACTGCACTCCAACCTAGGCAACAGAGTAAGATCCTGTTTCAAAAATTAAAAATAAAAAAATAAAAAAATAAAAAGAAAGAGGGTTTCAGCCCTTTTGATGATGTTAATCCAGTAGGTCAAATGTCAGTCAAACTTTCTTACAGTTGGTGGTTAGACTAGAATGTACAAACAGGAATGGGAATAGTGTTAAACCCTTCACTCCCCAAATTTCCATCTCTCCCAACCCCCTTGCTCTTCAACATATTTTCATTCAGCTGGCAGTTTTTGTAGTTCTGCAGTTTCTTGCCAAGAACAGAGATTGAAAATGTCCCACAGAGAAATCAGCATCAGGGTTAACCAACTGGAAGCCAAACCCTGCAGTTATTTTCCAGCGTTCCTCAACTCCCAGGAGAATCAGAGCAAAAAAAAAAAGGAGCAGAGGTTAGAGGGCAGGGTTCTAGAAGTGTCATTCTCTTACATACAATGTCTGAGTTGTGTGGGTGGAGGGACTGTAGAGGGTATGGAACAGAGAGCCTTGTGCCTGAATCTTTTGGGAGATGAATTTCCTCTCCCTCTTTACATGTTCTGGTCTTTTACTTACTAATGATACTAAAGGAGCTATATGGTTTCTCCTGGAGCTGTGTCAGGATTTGCTCCATAAATTACCTGGGAGGATGCCATATGCAAATACAAGAAGAAATAGCAGTCTTAGTATTCATGGTGACAGCTTAGTTATCCTCAGGGGAAGGGAAGGAGAAGTAGGTATCTTTTTTCTTAATAAAGTTTTTCCTATCACCTCCGAATTCCATAGCTGTTCTTGGAAACAGGTTGGAATCAGCCTAGAAATTTTAGTAACAACAATTTAGCCTAAATTTCAACATAATGCCATATAATAGTTATAGTACATTGCTATACTCCTTTGGAAACTACTTTAAAGATCTATTCACACAATACTTTTCTGGGATGTAGGAAGCCTCTCAAGGAGATAAAAGCCATTCAAAATATGATTGTTATCTCCCTAAACCCAGATCAGTTTGCTTTTAATGTAGTTATCACTAAGAAGATTAGCAACACTCAATTCATACACAAAGAAAGAAAGAAAGGAACAAACTATATATTAACCATCAACATCATTATTGTTAGGCTAAATGACACCTCATGTGAAAAGTATTTCATAATAATAGCAATCATACTCATTTTATGGTTGAGGACAGTGGAGCTGATATAGGTTATAAGACTTCTCTGAGGGCTGGGCTCAGGCCTGTAATCCTAGCATGCTGGGAGGCTGCAGTGGGTGGATCGCCTGAGGTCAGGAGTTCCTGGTTCAAGCGATTCTCCTGCCTCAGGCTCCCTCCCAAGAAGCTGGGATTACAGGTGCCCGCCACCACACCTGGCTATTTTTGTATTTTTAGTAGAGACACGGTTTCACCGTTGACCAGGCTGTTCTTGAACTCCTGACTTCAAGTGATCCACCCGCCTTGGCCTCCCAAAGTGCTGGGATTATAGGCATGAGCCACCATGCCTGGCTGAGCATGGGCTTTTATAACTGGCAGAATCAAAGCCCTGTGCTTTCACATAATGTCTAGACATCCTCAGGCAAGTCTTTTTTTTTTTTTTTGGAGACATTGTTTTGCTCTGTTGCCCGGGCTAGAGTGCAATGGCATGATCTCGGCTCACTGCAACCTCTGCCTTCCAGGTTAAAGAGATTCTCTGAGATCGTGCCATTGCACTCCAGCCTGGGCGACAGAGCGAGACTCCGTCTCAAAACAAACAAACAAACAAACAAAAAAACCCATGCTCTAAATCAAGATGTTCTGAGCACTATAATATTTTTATTTTCTGTAAGTTATATGTTTATATTATATACCACATTCTATATTATTTTAATATGTCACAACTTTGTAATGTTGCCAGAGTGGTTTTTTAAAAATTATTTTAGGCCGGGCACAGTGGCTAGCACTTTGAGAGGCTGAGGCAGGTGGATCACTTGAGGTCAGGAGTTTGAGACTAGCCTGGCCAACATGGTGAAACCCCGTCTCTACTAAAAACTACAAAAATTAGCCAGGCGTGGTGGCAGGCAACTTTAATCCCAGCTTCTCAGGAGGCTGAGGCAGGAGAATCACTTCAACCTGGGATGTGGAGGTTGCAGTGAGTCGAGATTGCACCACTGCACTCCAGCCTGGGCAACAGAGGAAGACTCTGTCTCAAAAAATATATATGTATTTAAAATTTATTATTATATATATATATTTTAAAAAAACAGGTCTCACTATATTGCCCAGGCTGGTCTTGAACTTCTGGACACAAGCAATCCTCCCGCCTCAGCCTCTCAAAGTGCTGGGATTGCAGACGTGAACCACTGTGCCTGGCCTTTCTTTTTTTTTAAATGAATTTTAGGTAAAATTGATATAAAATAAAACTCCCCATTTAACCATTGTAAAGTATATGACTCAGTAGCATTTAATAAATTCATAATGTTGTGCAACCATCACCACCGTCTAGTTCCAGAACCTTTTAATCCCCTCCCAAAATAAATCCCATAACCCTTAAGGAGCACCATCCTCACTCCTCCTGTCTTCAGCTCCTGACAACTACTAATGTATTTCCTGTTTCTGTGGATTTGCCTATTCTGGACATTTCATATAAATGCGATCATACAATATGTGGTCTTTTGCATTTTCCTTCTTCCACTCACCAATGTTTTCAAGGTTGTTTTATGTTTGAGCATGTATCAGTACTTTCTTTCTTTTTATGGTTGAATAATATTTCATTGTATGGATATACCGCATTTATTTATCTATTAATCCATTGAGGGACATTTGGGTGTTTCTGAATTTGGCTGTTGTGAATGTTACTTCTATGAACATTTTTGTACAAGTGGTTTGTTTGCACACCTGTTTTCAGTTCTGTTGCATATATATATACCTAGGAGTGGAATGGCTAGGTCATACAGTAATCCTATGTTTGACTTATTGAGGAACTGCCCACTGTTTTCCACAGCAGCTACACCATTCTACAGTCTCTCCAGCAATGTATGAGGGTTTCAATTTCTTTGCATTCTCACCAACATTTGTTATTCTCATTTAAAAAAAAAATATACTCATCCTAGTGGATGTATAGTGGTATCTCCTTGTGATTTTGATTTGCATATCTATAATGACTAATGATGTTGAACATATTTTTCATGGGCTTCAGAGTGTTTTAAGATAAATTTTAATTTTAGAAAAGTCTTAGGTTTATAGAAAATCTGCAAAGATTATATAACAGTATGTTAGTAACACAATCCTCATGTAAAATGTACTGGAAGGTATCTCTATGCTTCCTCCACTTCTTCTGTCTTAGGCCTTAAATTTTTTGATAGAGAAACATGTCATTGGAGCACACTATAGTTATATATTTATTTAGAGATGGTGTCTCACTCTGTCACCTAGGCTGGAGTGCAGTGGTGTGATCATAGCTCACTGCATTCTTCAGCTCCTGGGCTCTAGGGATCTTCCCACTGCAGCCTCTTGAGTAACTAGTACTACAGACATACACCACCATGCTCGGTTAATTTTTATTTTTGTAGAGACAGGGTCTCCTTTTGTTGCCCAGGCTGGTCTCGAACTCCTGGCCTCAAGGGATCCTCCCACCTTGGCTTCCTGAGTAGCTGGGATTACAGGCATGAGCCACTGTACCTGGCTCACACTATAATTACTAATGAAGGCTCTAGCAATATTGCTTATTTTGCCTTAAAACCATAGGGTAGATATTACAGGGATGTTAGAAATTAATAAATGGAAGTATATAGCACAGTGGTTAAGAACATGGTCTTGGTCCTTAGTCTCAGTGACAACAGGTCTGAATACTGGTTATGTCATCTTTGGCAAGATACTTAACCTCTCTGAACCTCATTCTAAATTTGTAAAACAGGGATAGCATCTACCTTATAGTGTCATGAGGATCAAATGAGAATGGCATTGAAAGCACTTATGTGCAGTGTTAGGCACATTGTAAACACTCAATAAATGAGATGTTTACTTTGTTTGCTTGCATTTACTTCATTTTATTTTTGAGATAGACTTGCTCTGTTGCCCAGGCTGGAGTGCAGTGGCACAAACATGGCTCACTGCAGCCTCAACCTCCCGGGCTCAAGCGATCTGCCTGCCTCGGCCTCCCAAAGTGCTGGGATTACAGGTATGAGCCACCATGCTCAGCCTACATTTAAAAGCACAGAACAATCACCTAATTTGTCTGTGTTCTCATAGTTGTTTAGGATCCATGGAAGACCATCATTCCATCTCAAGGTCCTTCATTCATTCACGCATGTATTCATTCATTTTTCAAATATTCATCGAGTCCATGTTGTGGGTCAAGTTGGCAAGGAGCTACCAAGGTAAATAGTAGTCAAAATCATTGAACCAGAAGCAGAAAAACCTAGAATCAAACCCCAACTGCCATTTCCTAGGTTTGTGATGCTCTACAAGTTACATAGCCTTATCAAGCCTCTGTTTCCTCACCTGTAAAATGGGAATGCTAATACTCCCTGCCTTATAGGGTGCAGAGGATTAAATACATGTATCACATAACGCATTTACCAAAATGCTCAGCACCATGAGCACTCCCTCAAAAAACGTTAGCCATTGTTGCTATTGTGGTCATGATTTTTGTTAAGACAAAGACAAATTATTGTAAAGATTTAATGTGACAGTAAATGCAAAGATTTGTAGCAGTGCATGCCATGTTGTAAATGTGTCTCCATATAAATGTTATTCTTCTTTTGATTTGTTTTTCATCCATTTAAAAATGTAAAGCCATTCTTAGCTCATGAGTCAGACAGGGATAGGTTAAGGAATGGATTGACTATGGGTTGTAACCCCTGGCATAGGGCATTGTAGGCAGAAATGATAATTTTTATTTTATTTTATTTTATTTTTTTTGAGACAGAGTCTCACTCTGTTGCCCAGGCTGGAGTGCAGTGGCACTATCTAGGCTCACTACAACCTCTGCCTCCCAGGTTCAAGCGATTCTCCTGCCTCAGCCTCCCAAGTAGATGGGTTTACAGGTATGTACCACCACGCCTGGCTAATTTTTGTATTTTTAGTAAAGACGGGTTTTCACCATGTTAGCCAGGCTGGTCTCCAACTCTTGGCCTCAAGTGATCCACCTGCCTTGGCCTTCCGAAGTGCTGGGATTACAGGCGTGAGCCACTGTGACAGGCCCAGAAAGGATAATTATGGTTTCATGAAAAGTTTGTTTCAACCATATGTATATATGTGTATGTGTGTGTGTGTGCTAGTGATAAAAATACATCTCCTATTGCAAACAGCAATCAGAAAAGTTTGAAAAACATGACTCTAGAGAAGGTTCTCAGCTATCTGGATAGCAGTATCAGGAAATACCAGCTTGCCTTAGCAAGCAGATTGCATAGCTTTAATAGTTTCAGGCTTTAGTGGTATCAATTCAAAAAGTGAAGTCATACTGAGATTATATGATAAAATTAATAACTTAAGGAAGGTAAGTCTAGTCTAAAACAGTCTAGTCTCAAGCCAGGTAACCCTGTATTGTAAGTGAGTTAAAAAAGAAAAAAAGATTGTTTTCTAGTTTTTGCTTCCATCACTCAGCTGTGAGTATTCCCAGCACTCTCAGAGTTCTAGAGGCAAGGTCACAAGATCAAGGTCAAACATCTGAAAAATGTAGATGCTGTGAGTTTGGAAGCAGAAACATTCCCAAGCATATGCCAGCTTGTGCATTCAATAAAGCAGAGGGCTAACTTAATAATGAAAATTGCAGGATCTTCCAACACTTGGCTTAATTCAGCAGTTCTCAGCTGCATCTAAAATCCCTGGGGTACTCCAACTCGGGCAGGCTGAATATCCAAGCCAGGAGTGTCAGGAATGTTCAGGACACAAGGACTCCAAATTTGGGCACTGACTCCCCCGGGGATGTTGCTCATAACCACTCTGGGTTTGTCTAAGTCTCCCCTCAGTTAGGCAACAGTCCATAAAAATGAGTTTAAAATTCTAGGAACGTGCTAAATCTGGAAAGTGAGTAATACATTATCTTTCTGAGTCCTCATTCATCTGGCTATACAGTTTGGTGGGGGCCAATTTTCCAAAGATGGCACAGTTCAAGGAGCAAGGTTGCTCAGACTCCAGATTGCTTCGTTATCCCGAGTCATTTTTCAAAACCCCACCTAGTGTTTGCTGGATCAGCTTTGTGGCAAGATAGCATTGTCCTTTATGGAACTATATATTCACATCGTGGGCAACTTTAACCACCTTAGAACTCTGTGAATGCCTCCATAAAACATATCTTTGAGTATCATAATGTAATCATAAAGCTGGACTTTGTCTTTCACTTCTCAAAATACTTGTAAAATAAATTAGAGGAGAGGAGACAAGAAATTCTTCTAACAATGGCACTTTTAATTTCTAATGCCATGTTTACAAATTAAAATCCTCCCTAATGAGATGTCCTCCACGGTAACCTGGGTTTCCCTGTCATTGACCTTACCAAGTACTGATCTTTTTTCTTGTTTCAATATCAAATTGGGAGGTAGGCTTCCTCCGGGGGTTGGGGTGGGGGGGAAGTGTCTTTTAGTGCTGTGCCATCAGTCCCTACAAGGAGTTGACAAAATAAGTGTTTAATCAATAATTGCTAAAAAAAAAAAAAAAAAAAAAAAAAAAAGGCCAGCTGTGGCCAGGTATGCTGGCTCATGCTTGTAATCTCAGCACTTTGGGAGGCTGAAGTGGGTGGATCACTTGAGGTCAGGAGTTCGAGACCAGCCTGGCCAACATGATGAAACCCAGTCTGTATTAAAATACAAAAAATTAGCTGGGCATGGTGGCAGGTGCCTGTAATCCCAGCTGCTCAGGAAGCTGAGGCAGGAGAATTGCTTGGAGGAAAAAAAAAAGTCAGATGTGGTGGCTTACACTTGTAATCTCAGTACTTTGGGAGGAGGAGGCGGGAGAATGGCTTGAAGCCAGGAGTTCAAGAACAGCCTGGGCAACATAGTGAGACTCAGTCCCTGCAAAAAATAAAAAAATTAGACAGGTTGGTTAGTGTGTGCCTGTGGCTGAGCTATGTGGGAGGCTGAGGTGGGAGGATTGTTTGAGCCCAGGAGTTGGAGGCTGTAGTGAGCCATGATTGTGTCACTGCACTCCAGTCTGGGTGACAGAGTGAGATGCTATCTCAAAACAAACAAAAATTGCTGGGCTGGGCACGGTGGCTCATGCCTATAATCCCAGCACTTTGGGAGGCAGAGATGGGCAGATTGCTGGAGCCCAGGAATTCAAGACCATTCAAGACCAGCCTGGGCAACATGGCAAAACCCCGTCTCTACAAAAAATACAAAAACTAGCCAGGCGTGGTGGTGTGTACTTGTAGACTCAGCTATTAGGGAGGCTGAGGTGGGAGGATGGCTTGAGCCCAAGAGGCAGAGGTTGCAGTGAGCTGAGAATGCGCCACTGCACTCCAGTCTGGATGACAGACAGAGCCAGACTCTGTCTCAAGAAAAAAAAAAAAAATTGCTAAATGAATGAATGAATGAATGAATAAAAACAATCTACCAACTGTCATGTGCCATCATGGGATATTTAATTGTTATTTTCAGTTTAGCCTCAGAGAAACTCAAGACTCATTTTGGGACATTTGAAATCAATGTTATGTAGTTTAACGAGCCATCTGTATTAAACAAGTATAACACTTGACTGGCTTCCATTGTAAGGGGTTCAATCCTGCAGTGTTGCCAGCTTTAGAATATCTTCAAAACATCTATAAAAATATGGGCCAACCACTGCAGCTTTGATTGAAATCAAACTCCCACTATACTTGAATTCGTGGAACCTTTAGGTAACTGCAGAAAAGGAGACCATGATAAGAGTCTGCAGAGGAACCCACCTCGATGAGGTTTCCCTAAGGAGCCCCAAACACTCTGCCAGGCTTGATTAGGCAGCTGATGAGGTTTTTGAATCACTCGTGTTTATTGTGGAAGCCACCGCAAAGCAGGCAGACTCTACCTCTACCCTCAACAACTGAAATTGCTTTATTAGAGACTGAAGTTTCTCTATTCCTTTTCCCTCCTGTTAGTGAAAATCTCCTTTTGGCTGGGATTGCTAAACCTGGATCATGTAGGCTGCTTGTAGCTAGCTATCTTTCCTGGCTGGCTGGAGAAGACCCATCTGTATGTAGTGGGAGAGGGTGAGGGCAAGACAGCAAAGGAGAATCAAGACACAGAGAGAGAGAGAAAGCTGAGGATGTCACTTGAACCTCTTCATCCAGACATATTGAAAACTAGTTTCACCTCTGGTCTTGCCACTTACATGGAGTAATATATTTCATTTTTTGCTTAAGGTAGTTAAACTGGGTTTCTGTCTCTGACAATCAAAAACACCCTAATACAAATTGTTATTTTAGCCTTCTTCAGAATCCTAATCATCAATGGACTATTAAGATTAAATAAATTTGGAAACATTCAGAGAATAAAATATTATTCAATTATTGAAAGTAATAAATGCAAGTTCATGTAGGTCCAGTATAAGATTCACCAAATATAAAAAGTGGTTAATTATTGGTGGTAAGATTACAAATGATTTAATTTAATGTGCCTGTTTACTTGTCTGTTTTAAAAATTTCTTGCAAAAATTTATATTAGTATGGTATTTTTAAAAATATGGGCATTTTACCCTTAGTTTCAATGTGTATTTTCCTTTTTCTCCCTCTCAGTTCTGTTTTGGTACAGTAAATTGATAAAGATATACAATAAAGAAGAGGAAGGTTGGGTGTAGTGGCTCACACTTGCAGTCCCAGCTACTCAGGAGGCTGAGATGGGAGGATCACTTGAGCCTGGGAGGTGGAGGCTGCAGTGAGCTGTGATCTTGCATTCCAGCCTGGGCAACAGAATGAGACCCTGTCTCAAAAAAAAAAAAAAAAAAAAAAAAAAAAAAAAGAAGAAAAAAAGAAATATAGAGTAAGCCATGTTCTAATTACCATATTTTGACAAAGTTGATGGGAGACAATATAAAAGAGGTACACACGTCTGTTCTCGGGAAAATGAGAGTTTCCTGTTCTCAAGGAAATTAAGTGTTAGTAAACCATCAGGTATAGTTTCAGTGGAATTATGGAGGATGATAGGATAATTTGAGATACTTAGTGTTTTATATAGCTGAACCATTTGGGAAATTTTAGGAGAGATACTCGTGATACATTTTTTGATTTCCCTTGGTTCCTCAGACCAAAAGTCTAACCAAATATTCCAGTTCCCAAGATTTATTTTTTTTTTGCACTTAAGTGAAACAGAACATTAACCAGGATTTAAACCCTTCCTGGAGTTACTTCCAGGGCTATTAAAATAATAGTTCATATATGATGTCTTGAAAAGTCACACAATTGTCACACAATTTAATATTTTATTTATTTATTTATTGAAATGGAGTCTTGCTGTGTCACCTAGGCTGGAGGGCAGTGGCATGATCTTCGCTCACTGCAACCTCCACCTCCTGGGTTCAAGCAATTCTCTTGCCTCAGCCTCCCTAGTAGCTGGGATTACAGGTGTGTGCCACCACGCCTGGCTAATTTTTGTATTTTTAGTAGAGATGGGGTTTCACCATGTTGGCCAGGCTGGTCTTGAACTGCTGATTTCAAGTGATCTGCCTGTCTTGGCCTCCTGAAGTGCTGGGATTACAGGTGTGAGCCACTGTGCCCAGACTTATTTTGTTTTTTATTTTTATTTTTTGAGACAGGGTCCTGCTCTGTTGCCTAGGCTGGAGTACAATGGTGCAATGATAGCTCACAGCAGCCTCGACCTTCTGGGCTCAAGCAATCCTCCTTCCTCAGCCTCCTGAGTAGCTGAGACTACAGGTGGATGTCACCACACTTGGCAAATTTTTTGTATGTGTTATAGAGATGGGGTTTCACCATGTTGCCTAGGCTGGTTTCGAACTCCTGGGCTCAAGTGATCATCCACCTTGGTTTGCCAAAGTACAACATTTTATTTTTTCTTGCTTAGCTGAAAGTACTAAAGGGAGGAATACTATGGTCAGAGGAAGCTACCCTGGCTTCAATCTCCCCTACTGGTCTTCTGCCCTGAGTTACCTGTTTGGAGTCGGTTACCCTACCGTATATAACCTATTTATACTAAAACCTCTAATGTATGCCTCCTGATAGCTTTCTTCAGAAATTAAAAAAATAACCAATTTATATGTCCTCCTTTGCCCCTGCAACTGACCAACTTATTTCCCATCCTCATATTTTCAGAAAAAGGAGGAAAATTACCACTTTAAACTGCAATGACACATTTCTTTAATCACAACTGGAAAACTTTGGAAAGAAATATATTTCGGAGAAGGGAAAGAAATGCACATTTCATATTCGTTTTTTTTTCTTCCCCCTAGTAGAACTAGCTATATACAAATAAGATCTTAATTTGTCTAGTGTTTATTCTGTTATAGTTTATTTCTCAGCTGAATCTACCCTCTGTATTAGGAGTTCATTGTTGAAATGCTTATGCAATAATATAAGACTGTTTGGCATGTCACCTGTACTGCAGCCTAAACACTGTAGAAATGTTTGCAAATTAATTCTCTTTGCATTCCTGAATTATTTGAATCTTCAAAGCCCATAGATGGAGAACAGGAGATTGAGTTCTGGAGTGAAACACTGTATCCTTTAGCTTAAAGTGAAGAGACAGAAAGGAGGGGGACTTAATTACTGTGTATACACTATGTAGCAGATTCAAGAGTCCAGAGCATGCTGTTACCCAAATATGCTAAATGGCCACATCCTATCCTCTCAGACTACAGTGTTCTGAGCATGGGTTTTGGGTCATGCCTCCGGGTTCACTTCCTGGTTTTGTTACTTGTAAGCTCTGGGGCAAGTTTCTTCACTTTCTTAGCTTCATTTTCCTCAGTTATAAAATCAAGGTCATTCCTGATAGTTCCTACCTTACACAACTGTGGTGATTGCATAAAATAACTCACATCAGCTGGGCGCGATGGCTCACGCCTGTAATCCCAACACTTTGGGAGGCCGAGGTAGGTGGATCACCTGAGGTCAGGAGTTTGAGACCAGCCTGGCCAACATGGCAAAACCCTGTCTCTACTAAAAAAGCAAAAATTAGCTGGGCATGGTGGTGTACTCCTGCAATCCCAGCTACTTGGGAGGTTGAGGCGTGAGAATCACTTAAACCCAGGAGGCTGAGGTTGCAGTGTGCCGAGACGGCACCACTGCACTCCAGCCTGGATGACAGAGTGAGAGTTTGTCTCAAAACAAACAAACAAACAAACAAACAAAAACCAAACAAAAAAACCCCCAACTCACATCACTACGCTGACATATACAGTAAGCTTGAAAGTTAGGTATTTTATAGCATTATTTCTCCCAACAGAATGTATTGCCAAATTCATAGCTAAAGTGAGACAAGTCAGAATACTAGGATCTTAGATCTATTCAGGAAAAATCTACTTCACAATGACATAACTATAAGCTCTTTTCATTGAAAGTAATGGCAAAACCTGCAATTACTCTTGCACCAACCTAATATAAATACCCCTGTTTTGGCAACCAAATCTAAACTGGCTTTGGATCAAAGGTCACATATTACACAATTTCATGTCATACTTCATCCATTTATTCAACAATTTCATGTCACACTTCATCAATTCACTCAACAACTGTGTATGGTGCACACTCCACACAAGGCATGGTTCATGGTTTTTGGTATTGAGGTTTCAAAGGTTGGATAGGAGAGAGATGATCTCTGCCTTGAACTTCTCCAGTCTGGGACACAGGAACTAGACCAGGTGAAACACCAGCCGGGAAGATGCAGAGGGAGCATCCTGGAAACTGGCAGCCTTGGCTACTTTGAAGGTTCAAATTATTTTTCCTTTTCCTGAATTAGAATAATGTCTATTCTCTCCATATTGCCCTCTGTGCCCACAGGTACTACTCCTTCTTTTGGGGCTTTTCCACATCTAAAACCTGACGTATGCTAAATTCCAAGTTCTTTCCTTTCTCAGCTGCTGTGGTGACACCTGGAATCCTGGCAAGAGGGGGATGTTGTTGCATTGGGAGGAATCACAAAACGCCTGGTCTTGTCCAGCCCTTGGACTCCCCCAGGCAGAGGTGAGAGTTGAGTGGAGAGGTAGGGGACTCCTAATTCAAGGTTGGTTGTGGGTATTCTTAGCAAACAATTACACTTTACTAGAATATGAAGTGGCAAAGTGGGGAAACACACAAGGCTAAGCTTACTAAGCTTACTAATGATTTGCAGGGGAATCTGTGACTCCCCACTAACATGGAAAGTAAAAATGTACATTTTTGTGGAAAGAGTCATTTGACAAATATTTTAGCATTTGCTAGTACGAGGCACCATTCTAGGAACTGGGAATAATACATCAGTAAACCAAACTGTCAAAGTGTCCTGACCTCCTTGAGTTTTTATTTTACACAGAGATGTGGATCACAGGTTTATTTGACAAAAAGGTCTGGGACCCAAACAATGCTTTGGAATCAAGATACTAAACCTATGGTGCTCAGCGTTGTGTACCAACAACACATAAGGGGAACCTTAAAAGTTCAAATGACTTAGCCCTTCCTTGACATTCTGATTGGCTGGATCTGTGCTCGGGTTTGATAATTTATGTTTTGAAGTGCTGTTCATATTGACCTAGATTGCTTCTGAAAAAAAGCTGGAGACAAAGTTCCTCTCACCAAGCAAAGCCATGGAAAATTGGTCACCTCCTTTTTTCAGAAACACAACAATGCAATGGGATTTTCAGTTCTGGATATCCCAAGAGAGAAGCATCAACATCCCTCCTTACTTTTATTAGCTTAGAATAGCACCCTACAATGCTTTAAAAGGATGTTTAAACGTATGCCTAAACCAGGTATGGTGGCTCACATCTATAACCCCAGCACTTTGGGAAGCTGAGTCAGGAGGTTGGCTTGAGCCCAGGAGTTTGAGACCAGCCTGGGCAATCAACATAGGGAGACCCCCCCATGTCTACAAAAAATCAAAAAAATAAAACTAGCTGGGCATGGTGGCATGTGCCTATAATTCCAGATACTCAGGAGGCTGAGGTGGTAGGATTGCTTGAGTCCAGAAGTTCGAGGTTACAATCAGCTAGTCGAGCTACTGCACTCCAGCTTGGGGACAAAGCAAGACCACGTTTCTAAAAACACCACCACCACCATCAAAAAACAAACACACAAAGTATGCCCATATTTTCTAAGTTCTAGAAAGGAGAGGATAAATTATCATACTTACTAACTTGAATCCCCAAATGATTTCCCAATTTTCTTCCCAAATAGTAATACTACTATTAAGAATATAATGAGTTTTTATTATTTGCCACTTTATAAGTGTTTTCCCACGTAATACTTCCAAGAACCCTGTGAGGTCTTGTTCTACTTATTTGATCAGCGAGAAACGGAGGCGCGGAGGTCACCAAGCTTGCTCAAGGTCACACAAGGGTGGACCCCTGAGCCTACCTCTCAACCTCGACTGCTGTGTCCATCCTTTCTTCATCGTTTCAACGTACCCCCCTCATTTCTTGGAATCTCTCCTGTGACCAAAGATGAACAAAATTATACATCACTAAAGAGGAAAACAAACTGCTGGGGAGACTACTCAGCAGCCTGATTTGAGGAGTATTTGGGAAGGGCAGCCTTCCTGTGGTATGGGAGTCTTTCTGTCCGCCACCTCGCCGGGACAGAAGTCACTCCATCCGCACCCCCGGGCGACCTCCGGAGGCCGCAGCTACCCCCGGGCTGCGAATTCCGAGTTCTCTCACGCCCCCGCGGGCGCCAGGACGCAGGGCATGTCCGCGCCCGGCGGGGATCCTTATCTCCTGGCCCCGGAGTAGGTCCGCAGGCTTCTCGGCCCTGCCAGGAACTTGAGGCCGGGGCAGATGATTGACTGGGTCCAGCAGTCTCTGCTGGCAGGGCAGTTGAAAAGCTAGAGGGATCTCTTTTTTGGTTGAATACCTGAACCCACACTAGCACCATGGCTTCTCTCTCTTGCCTGTAGTTTCCCGTGTCCTAAAAAGTTGGTCCCAAAGTTTAAGGATGCGGGTGTGTGTAAGAGCGCGTGTGACCCGCACAGGGATCCCAGTTGGGGAACCGGAGGATCCCACCGTCCCCCTCCCCCGGGTCGCAGAGACCCTGGCAGACCCCGCGCCAGGACCCGAACCCGCAAGCGCAGGGCAGGCAGGGAGGCGGCGAGCGCCCCGGGGCGGGTCTCGGGGGTTTCAGTGGGACCTGCGGCAAGGGGGGCGGCGAACCAGCCGGGCTGGGTGACCGACAGCCTGGCCAGCCACTGGCCGAGGGCGGTTAGGAGGCTTAGGGCCGGCGCGAGTGCGTGCGCGTGTGCGTGAGTGTGAGCGCCAGGGTGAGTGTGGCAGCCTCCCCAACCCCCACCTGTTTGAAATGGTTTTCAAATGCCAAAGCCAGATTGCCCGGGTTTCAAAAGTTGCAAACAGTTGGAGTAAAACACGTGTGCGGCCCTCCAGCCCCAAAGGAATCCGCGGAGTCCAGGGCACTGAAAGAAAAGGAGAGAGGATAGGGGTTCAGGAAGGGTTGGGGGGGAGTTGCCTTCTCCCGGCAGGTCGGTTTTAGGACCCATCGGGAAGCACGTTGGAATCTCTCCCTTCGGGGAGGAGGGGAGGGGTGGGCCGGCCGGCTGGCGGCCGCGGGGCGCATGCGCGCGCGTCTCCTGTCGCCGGCCGCTGCGCTCCGCGGCGCGGAATAGAATGAACTGTAACAAAACAAGCCGAGCCTTTGTATCTGCTTAAAGGGGCCGCGAGCACTTACCTCCCGCCCTGCTCCCCGCCGCCCCGCCACCGCGTCTTCAGGGCTCCCGGCAACTGGCTGGAAGGGCTTCCCTCACCCTCAGTAACAGCCTGCCAGCGAGGAGAGGCGAGCCGGGCGGGAGGCAAAGAGGAGGCACCGCATTTGTAAAAGGCAAGAGAGAAAGGAAGGAAGGAAAAAAAAATAACCCGAGCGGCGCAGAGTGGACTCTGGTCCGGGAGAGCACGGGCGGGCGCCGGAACGTGGACCCAGAGGCACCGGAATGCAAACAAAGCTCGCGGGCGCCTGTGCGGGGCTCGCGGGGAAGCCCAGAAAGTTTGTTTTATGATGGCTTGAGTGCGCGAGCGTGTGCAGGGGAGCGAGGCTGCCAAGTTTCTCTCTCCTGTTTTGTGATTTGGGGAGAGATGTTTCTCCCATGAACAAGCGGAGGCTTGGGGGCTCGTGCTGTGGGGGGCACCTGTCTCTCGTTTTATTTTTTTGGAGGAGGGGTGTAACTCATCATGTCCAAAGTGATCCAGAAGAAGAACCACTGGACTAGCAGGGTTCACGAATGCACCGTGAAGCGGGGACCCCAGGGCGAGCTGGGGGTGACGGTGCTGGGAGGCGCGGAGCACGGGGAGTTTCCGTACGTCGGAGCGGTGGCGGCGGTCGAGGCAGCGGGGCTTCCCGGCGGCGGCGAGGGCCCGAGGCTGGGCGAAGGGGAGCTGCTTCTGGAGGTGCAGGGGGTCCGGGTGTCCGGCTTGCCCCGCTATGACGTGCTGGGGGTCATCGACAGCTGCAAGGAGGCCGTCACCTTCAAGGCCGTCAGACAAGGTAAGGCAGGGCGCGCCTTTGGGGGGCGCCCCGAGAAAAGGAGGGTGGTCTGTGGGCTGCCCCTTATTCTCGATTTCCTGCTTCCCTCCTCGGAGCGCAGTGAAGAGAAGTTGAGGCCGTGCGCCCTGTGGTGGCGGTGAAATACACAAAGTTGTTGCGAGGTTGAGGGTTGTTTGCCCACCTGCGTTTCGAAGAGGGGGCTGGGTTTGCGCAAGGTAGCGGGGGGACGTTTCTCAGGCCTGGCTGGCCAACCTGTTATCTCCGCCACTAAGTGCAGCGCAGTCTCGCCTGCACCCGAGAGAGAGTTGGGGAACTGAGTCAGGGGCATGGTGGACGCTGTCCTGGCTCCTTGGGGGAGGGATGCAGCTGGCGTTCTTTGGCCACGAGTCAGTTTCCATACCTGCTGAGTGGGTATACAGAAAGAGAGGGTCTGTAGTTTATTGGACCTCCCCCATCAGAAAATCTGCTTCACCCCGCGACCCCTCCAGGTGAGCTAGGACACCACTGCCTGGCGGTTCCTGAGCCCGCCGCCAGAAGAGCCTGCATTCACCCCTCAGCCGGATGACGCATGTGTCTCCACCGTGTGGCTCAGCCATACACTTGGGAGGGGGAGAGGGGGAAGGGGTGCTTGCTTTTAGCTCGAATCGGGTCCAAGTTTACCCTCCCACCACCACCATCATCGTCATTATTGATGATGAAAATGAAGCTACTATTCATTGTTGGTTTACTACATGCCCGGCTCTGTGTAAAATACTTTACTTGCACTATCTCACTCCGATTCACAACAGTTCTAAGAACGAGTTGTTCTTATTTATATACCCCAAATTAGAGATAAGGAAACTGGGATTGATACTGGTTAAGTGACTTGCTCAAGGTCACACAGTTGCCAAAAGCGAGGGTTTGAGCCCTTGCTGCAGAGCCTTAAGTATGGAGGAGGAAGGAGTGGGGGGATGACCCTACCGCACTGAAGGGGCTGATTCCTGAGGAGGGAGTGGAAGCAAATTCCTCTCTCAGAAATCTGTAGAGGCCTTTTAAAAGATGCATTTGCTGGCTGCTGGTGATGTAGGTCCCTTACATCTCACTTTGGTACAGACAAGGGGCTGTCCTCATGTCAACCCAATGGAGACCAGCTGAGGCCCTTAAAGGGCTCCCTTGTGCAAGCAAGTGCCATGACGCAGGTTCTCCCCAGTGAAAGCACCGAAGGAAGTCGTGAAGTTGAACATGGTGAAAAGTTCCCATGTGTTTCCATAAGGACAGGCAGCAGCTGGAGGAATGTGTCAAAGGAAGGGCTGGGCCTAGCTGGTCCTCTCTTGGAAACAGGCGTGCTCCAGATGAAATGGAGGAGGGGGCGGCCGACTCGCCTGGCCTTTTAGCAGCTTTGGGAGCTGAGGAGCTGACACTTAGCTATGGAAAGCTCCTTGTATTTATGACTTCATTCTCCACTGGGATACCTCCTCCAAGAAGCCCTCCAGAATCCTGCTAGGATGCACAAATTCTTCCTCCTTTGGGCTCCTTTAATGTCTACTTTGTGGCTTTTTTACTTACTCTGAACTCTGAGTTAGGTCCTCATTTCCATACAAGGTAGTGAGCTCATTAAAGGGAGAGATTGTGCCTCATTCCTGGCATACCTCTCCAGGTTTTGCTTGAGGTTCAAAACCTTTCCTGGCCTGACAATGCGTCTTCCTCACACTGGCTTTCCTGTGGGTATTACATAAGCTAACACGTGGAAAGTGCACCCAACAGTGCCTGTACATAGTAAGTGCTCCATAAAGATTAGCTATTTATGTTTGAATTGATTTTAGCAGCTATTTATTTCTGAAACTAGTTTTTAGTGTCAGGAACCTGGATAATTATGACTTGATAGGGCTGTAGAGAAAATACTGTGTGAAGGCATAGGATGGGAGCAGCTGCAGGTCTCAGTTCAGGACCATTTTGGAGAAAGGGTGGAGGAAGGACAGGCAAGGGTACCTGCCCAACTAGGGGGATGCCTCGCAGTGTCTAACGGGTCCTGAATAGGGGCTGGCTTGCAGTGTTTGCAGTGTGCAAGATGCTGCATGGGCTTGTGTCTCTTCCTTCCACTAGTTGCCAAATTTCTGGGAGGCGATGTCCCAGGGCTCTCTCATCATGGAGTTTAGGAAGGCTTGGTGAGATAATCAAGTGGGTTTGGAAACAGACACCTCTGAGTTGAAAGGAAACTGTAGTGTCTCCAGGTGTTAGCTCTCTTCACCCCTTGTGCACAGATTGTTCACAGCAGGGGCGAGTGTGTGGGTATGTTTCTGTGTGTGTGTGTATATGTATGTATGGATGGATGTACGTGAATCTACTTGTAATGGGATAGAAATATGATACTGATTGGGAAACCTGAATGGCCTGGAATTCATTGCAGTCTGAAAGTGACTATTTCATGTAATAATTACACAGGCACAGTTGGATCTTCTGACGTCTTCATTACCAGTAATGATGGCCCTAGAAACCATTTCACCAGTTTTCTGCTCCCTCTTCCATGTTGAGAATATGATTTAGATTGTATGACAGAATTGCTCTTAATGTGTCTTCATTACTGTGCCTTTTAAAGTCATATCAAGCAGGCTCATACTTGGTATATGGTAAAGAAAAATACTACTTTTGTGTTGTTTGCATCCCAAGTTAGCCACTTCCAGGGACACAGATCACTCTGGATACTGTCTACATGGTGGGAGAAAATTCTGTTTTTCTACTTCATGGCAGTTCTCTGGAAAGATACATGGACCAAAACTGTCTGTGACAGGACTGGATTGTGCAGGAATCAAACTCAATGGATCTGCCAGGTTGGACTTGGTTCATTTTAAATGGAGAAGACAGTCCTTTGTCAGGTTGGAGTTGGTTCATTTTAAGTGGGGAAGACAGTACTTTGTCATAAAATGCCTTTACAAAGTTATATATAATTATGTGTATTCAGGTATCATTTACCTATAGTAAAATGCATATCTTAGATATATAATTTGATGAGTTTTAAGCGATGTATGCACTCATGTTAATCACTCAAATGAAGATAGAGAACATTTTCATCACCCCAGAAATTTTTCTCATGTTCCTGTCCAGTTAATTCCCCCCTCCCCCTGCACCATAGATCTACCATAGAATAATTTTGTCTTCAACTTCATAAAAATGAACTAATGCAGTATGTACTCTTTTGTGTTTGGCTTTTGTTACTCAACAAAATATTTTGGAGATTTCGTTTTGTTGCATGTGTACTTCATTTGGTTCTTTTTTTATTGCTAAGTAATATTCCATTGTATACACATACCAGTTTGTCCTTTTGCTTGTTTATGGACATTTGGAGTATTTACCATTTTTTACTATTACGAATAAAGCTGTTATTAATGTTTCAGTTGCTCTACATCTTTGGCCATCTTTGATTTTGTTTGTCTTTTGAATTTTAGCCGTCCTAGTATATGCTTCGGAAAAATGTAATTAAGGAAACTTTGATACAGGATATAAGATGTCGCTAGTATGTATTAAGATCTTGCCTTAGAATATAATAGGTGCTTGGCTAAGCTGATGCTTCGTGGGCATTCTCTTTTTCAGTCCTTACAATTGGACTCAGATGTTAGAAGCTGAGGTTCAGAGAATTTGGGTAACTTTTCCAAGGGTCATACCACAGTGGCAGTAGAGCTGCAACCCAGCTCTGTCTGATTCCAAAGCCTGTGCTCCCAATTCCTGGGACAGTAGGTCTCCAAGTGAGGTCCTCAGACCAGTGGCATTAGTATAGTAACCTGGGAACTGGTTAGAAATCCAGATTCCTGGGCCCCACCTTAGTTCTACCAATTCAGAAGCTTTGCGGGGGATGGGGTTGGGGTTGGGGGGTGGGGTAACAACCATGGGGTGTTTTAATAAACCCTCAAGGGATTCTGATGGGCTTATTAAGGGATTCAAGGGTTCAGTTTTAAGAACTACTGTACTAGGGTATAGACCAAAATTGAGAAGATGACATCAGATGAGACAGGTGACCTGGGTTCTAGAATAAGCTCTGCCAGTCACATTCTTGGAGCCTACATTTCTCTATGCCAAAAATAAGTGGGTGAGCCTCTTCAGGTTATTTGTGCTCGTGAAATCCTTTGTTTCCATGAATCACCCAGACTCCAAAGGTTTAAAATGGTATGATTGTAGTTTCCCAAAGTGGTGTATTACAGGTCATGCTTACATATTTTTGCAGGTGAATTTTGTGGTTTTTCAAATTACCCAGGAACTGTAACTATCCCTCTACTTTTTGTGTATGTGTGGCAGTGTGGAGATAATAAAAGAGATACAATTTAAAAGCCAAACCAAACCACCACCAGACCCTTCCCCTCACTGTAATGAGGGAAATTGTGATCACATATGGTTGAATATAGTTCTTTGTGTGGTTTTTTGTTTTGGTATTGTTTTGATTCATTGGAATGTATGACAATAACTCTCATTTTAAAACACAGGGCCTTGTCTTTCAGAGTTGTTTGGTTTCTCATGAATCTCTGGTCTTGCTTCTTTCTCCTCAGTGACCTCCTTCTGGTGTGCTGTAAAATGCTTAACAACCAGTGCTAGTAGTGGGTAGACCCTGATTTATAGCATAGCTGGAGTTGGGAAGAGACGCGTATACTTGCTGTTCCCAAGCCAATGTGAGCTGGCCCCCACACACCACTGACTGCATATAAGATAGTGCCCTTGTGGTGGCTCACCTGTAATCCCAGCACCTTGGGAGGCCAAGGTGGGTGGATCACTTGAGCTCAGGAGTTTAAGACCAGCCTGGGCAACATGGTGAAGTCTCTACCAAAAAATACATAAACTAGCTGGGCGTGGTGGCGAACTTCTGTAGTCCCAGCTACTCGGGAGGCAGAGTGGGAGAATCGCTTGAGACCAGGAGGCAGAGGTTGCAGTGAGCCAAGATTGTACCACTGCACTCCAGCCTGGGTGACAGAGTGAGACCCCCATCTCACACACACACACAAAAGATAGCTCCCTGAGTAAAGTGCCATTCCCTCACCCTGTTTGTTCCTTCATAGCCTTGACACAATCTCGTATTATCTTCTGTTGTTGTTGTTGTTGTTTTTTTTTTTTTTTTTTTTGAGATGGAGTTTCGCTCTGTTGCCCAGGCTGGAGTGCAGTGGTGCGATCTCGGCTCACTGCAACCTTTGCCTCCCGGGTTCAAGCAATTCTGATGCTTAGCCTCCCGAGTAGCTGGCATTATAGGCATGTACCACCATGCCTGGCTAATTTTTTGTATTTTAGTACAGGTGGGGTTTCGCCATGTTGCCCAGGCTGGTCTCTTGAGCTCAGGCAATCTGCCTGCCGCCTTGGCCTCCCGAAGTGCTAGGATTGTAGGCGTGAGCCACCGCAACGGGCCCTGTTTCTTCTTTATTGTCTGTTTCCCCTCCCATGAGAATAGAAGTTCCATGAAAACAAGAAGCTTGTCTCTCTTGTTCACTGCTGTATTTCTCAGTGTCTAAAAAAGACCCAGCAGGGCCAGGCGTGGTGGCTCATGCCTGTAATCCCAGCACTTTGGGAGGCCGAGGTGGGTGGATCACAAGGTCAGGAGTTCAAGACCAGCCTGGCCAAGATGGTGAAACCCTGTCTCTACTAAAAAAAAAAAAAAAACAAAAAAATTAGCCGGGCGTGGTGGTGGGCGCCTGTAATCCCAGCCACTAGGGAGGCTGAGGCAGAGAATTGCTTGAACCCGGGAGGCTGAGGTTGCAGTGAGCTGAGATCGCGCCACTGCACTCCAGCCTGGGTGACAGAGTGAGACTCATCTCAAAAAAAAGACCCAGCAAATAATAGGTGCTCACTAAAATTGGTTGGATGCCTGAATGACTATTCCATTGTTTCGGAAGGTAAGTGCAACTAGGCCACTTGCAACATCTTTCCTCCCTTTCTCTCGATTTGTCTTTTACTTCTTGTTTAGGATCCAGAGGTCTTCACTTTCTCGTAATCAGATCTTCCAATTAGCAGGCTTTCTGTGTCTAATAATTTATACTGGGCTATAAATGACTGACAAGGATTAATGAATCCTATTCAAGTATTTCTGCCTGTTGACTCTAACTGAAGTTTAACAAGTGAGCCTCTAAACGTGAAATTTCAGATGTTCAGCAGGCAGGATGATGAGGATTTTTTTTGTTGATGTGGGACCTGTGTCCTCATGCCTAAAAATGATTCTTTCCCTCCGTTTTCTTGCAGCATTGTCCCTGTGTACTTTTTTTTTTGGCTAATAGCAAATCAGATCTTTGCTACAGAACACAATCCAATTTTAGCCCTCTCGCTCTTAAATTGTACTTTGTATTTATGTCTTTTTTTTTTTAACTTAAACTTTCAAAAATCAACCTGTTTTTGTTCTTGGTGCCAAAAGACCACTCTTGGAAGGATATTTTTAGGTTACACTGTGGAACACTGTACAGGTTTTACAAAAAATGAAGCAAGGACGTACAACGCACTTGTCCATCGTTTCCAGTGGCCACCCCTTGTCATTGGCTGTGTTATTTAAAAATAGATTAACTTGACCTTCTGTGGCAATGGCATACAGTTGGCTCACCGTGTTTCTTGGCATTCATTACCCAGCTGGTTTTAGATGGCAGAATTGATGATATCCACCAAGGGGAATTAAGTGGTTTATAAGAGAAAACATTCTGACATCTCCTTACCACAAGGGTTTACATGAAGGATGTTGCTTTGTAAACGAGGGTTATTTAATGCAAAGCACCACTCTCTGGTGTTAGTGGCCCTTTCCTTGAGTTTGTATATACAAGTAACAGGATATACTGATTTTGTATACACTGAGAATAAAGGCTGTCAAATTCGTTAAGGGCTGACATTCACATCCTAAAAAAGTAGGTTACTGCATGCCTGCCTGTCTTTTTGCAGCTCATATGTGAGATCTGTAACCTTGAAAAATCCCTAGTACACACTGGTGCATTGCTAGACTTCTCCCCTATGGAGGTCGGCATCGATGTAGTATTTCTTATGAATTCATTTTGTTGTTTCAACAGATGTCAAGGTTGGTCCTATCATATTGACTCTGCTTTCTAGTTAAGTGTCCTGTGGAGGGTCTAATGTGTTCTGGATGTCAACTTTTCCGAAGGCATGTAGCAAAATTAGAAAATGTAATTTGAGCAGTGTCTTTTATGATTAAATAGAAATCTTCTCTTTTTATGGCTCAGTAATTACATAATGGAATAATCCATTATTAATCATTTCTGTAGTCTCTGTATCTGAGTGAAAGCCGAAGTCCTTATAGTGACTTCCAAGGCTGCCCGTGACCTGTCCTAAGGATATTACTTCTCTTTCTCTGTCCTGCCTGCTAGTGCCCACCTGATCATCTTACAGGCTTGCTATCTCTTGAGCTTCAAGTCTTTCTGAAATGTCACCTGCCCAGTGAGGCCTCTTGTGAGCACATTATTGAAAACCATAACTCCACTGCCACGTGTCATTCCCTGTTCCCCCTCTCAGCTTTATTTTACTCCATAGTATGTAGATCGCTTCACCACAAGTAAATTTCTTATTTTACCTCTTTCTCTAGAATGTAAGCTCTGAGATGGCAGGAATGTTGTCTTGTTCTCCCACAGTATCCCCAGTAGCAAAAACAGTGCATGGTGCCTAGTACTTGCTTGGGTATTTGTTAAATGTTTACAGTCAAGTTTAGAACTAGAATAAATCTCTTCTGAGGTCAGTTACCTCTGAAAATGTAGATATATAGAAGTCCCTGAAAATTTAGGTGACTGATGATGGATCACATTAAAGTTGGTTAGAGTTTAACATTTACAGTCAATGGCTGGGGCTAAAATAGAGCTTAGCCGATTGATCCAGGAATATTCTTAAAGTCAGTGAACATTGCTGGCCTGCTTCAGTTGGTCTTAGTATTATGGGTTTACAAGTAAGAACATGTGGGTCCTTGGTTTCTTGTCAAGAAGGGGAGGGAAGAGTCCACTGGAGTCTCCTTGGAGTCAGAGATAAGGTCACATTTCCAATTTTAGGTTTCCCTGCATGGAAGAGGTCCTTGACTTTAAAATTAATTGAGTGTCCTGATTTTCAGAGGTTACTTTGATTTGGGAAATGACGGTAACAAGGGGTACCAGGTGGCTGATCCAAACAGGAGAGCTGAGGCTACTAGAGTCACCATGAAGATCTTGTCGAGTTAGGGATAGGTCTGTGCACAGCATCCCTTACTTAGCCAAGTCATTGGCCTCAGTCCACTTTCAGTCCTGTGTGCTCCCCACCAACATGAATCCCTAGAAGGCAACTCTAGGTCAGGATTTGAATGCACAGGGCTTATCTGGGAGGTGCTCCCAGGAAGTTCCAGTAGGGCAAGGAAGAGGTGAGACCAGTGAGTCAAGAAGGCCAATGGAGATGCTTTAAAGAGCAAGTCACCACTGTGTGTCTAAGGCAGCCCCATGCTGAGTGTGTCATGGAACTTTGCAGACTCTCTCACCCCTAAACAGACTGAGAGGTTCTTCTGGCTGTGTGTATAGACTTTTTCTGTTACCATCTCCAGTGTCATGAAGATGAGTTCCATAAGATAATTACATTCTCATGGCTAAGGTATCAACCCCACCATTACTGTGGATGGAGGCATTTGTGTGTCTGTTTAATGGGCCACAGTTATGCTTCTTACAATAAGGATAATCTTTACTCCTTTATGAGACAAGACTCGAGGCTCTCTTTATGGACAGGGGCATGATGGTGCAATTAAAAGGCGATCGTGCCCTGATTATAAGCCATGTTTCAAAATTACTGCTATATATAGTGTCATCAGGACCGTAGTACTGCTCATAAAATGATCCACAAATAGCAATTTACTGATGTGTCATAGAGTCAGATTTTGGACCCAAGGTTGGCTTGGGTGAAGAGGCAGGCTTTACACTTTATGAGCTGGGTGTTCTGGGGCAAGATGCTGAACCTCTTTGTGCCAGGTTTCCCCCTCGGAAAATGGGGATAATAATGATACCTACTCTCTAGGGTTGTTGGAAAAGTAGAAAGTAAACCACATGACACAGGGCTTGGCACATAGTGAGTGCTCAATAAATGTTGGCTTCTGTAATTGTTTGAATGCTCCCCATTTGAAAGCCCTTGGGAGAGAAGAAAGAATCTCTTGAGAGATGGAGATTGCAGTGTACAGTTCTCTGGAGAGCTTTTCAAGTCTAGAAAAAAAACACTCTTTTTTCTGCTTGATTCAGATGCTGCCTTTTTGAAAGGCTGAGACTGGATTAGTTCAGACAAGTAGGAAGGAAGCCTCCGGACCTCACGGAGGTTTGAGTTGCCCGAGTTTCTCCCACATTGTCCTCGGTGAGGAATTGCTTTTAATGATTGTTCGCAGGTCGCAGGTTGTGGTAGTGTGGAGGGAGGGCGAGTTCTTGCGTGTTCAGGCAGGCTTTTACCATCAACGATGATTCTTGAGAATGGGACTCTGTGGTCCTCTCATCTTCCTGGTACCACGTCTGGGCTCCTACATCAGGAATGGCTGGGGAAGCAGTGGGGCTTAGTGGTCATAAGGGTTTGGAGTCAGACCGCCTGGGTTCAAATCCAGGCTCTCGCACTTCCCAGCTGAGAGACCAGGGACAGGTTAGCCTCCCAGAACATCAGTTCTCCCAGTTGAAAATGAGAATGTTACCTGTGTCATAAAGTGGTTGTAAGGATTAAATGAGATAATGTATGTAAAACTTGTACTACCCTGCCTGGCTCTTAAGTGGTGCTCATTGAAGTACCTACCCTACAAGCAGCTGTGATCTTTTCTTTTCTTGATCTCAGCTCACTGCAACACCCACCTCCTGGGCTCAAGCGATCCTCCTACCTCAGCCTCCTGAGTGGCTGGGACTGCAGGCATGCACCCACCACACCTGGCTATTTGTTTGTTTGTAGAGATGGGGTTTCACTACATTGCTCAGGCTGGTCTCGAGCTCCTGGGCTCAAGCGATCTGCCTGCCTTGGCCTCCCAAAGTGCTGGGATTACAGGCATGAGCCTTCGTGCCTGGCCAGCTGTGATATTTTCAGCTGAGAAATGGAGGTACGTCAGTTAGTGCCTCTGAATCAGTGGTTCTCAGCTGGGGGCAAGTTTGTTCCCCAGGGGACATTTGGCAACGTCTGGAGCCATTTTTGGTTGTCACAATTAAGGAGAGGGTTGCTTCTGGCATCTAGAGAGTAGAGGCCCGGGACCCTGCTGAACACCCCACAATGTACACAACAGCCCCTCAAGGGAGAATTATCCAGCCCAAAATGTCAGTAAGGCTGAGGTTGAGAAAGCCCCTCTACAGGCATGACTCCATGCTTGATACTGGGAATCTGAGTTAGGAGGGATATGCTAGTAATTGTAACTATTATTTATTGTTCCTCTGATACATCACTTAAACCCAGGTTAAGGGTTTGTCTAGGTAGATGAGCTTATTCTCATTTCAGCTGTGAGAAAATTAGCTTGAGAAGTCAGGTTCTCCTGGTTCCCTGACTGCTGACCTAGGTGAGATTCAAACTCAGATCTATCTGATTCCAATAATCTTACTCTAGGTTTCCATGTTAGAAATGCCTTGACAGCAGGGGCATGGTGGTTCATGCTTGTAGTCCCAGCTACTAGGGAGGGAGGCTGTGGTGGGAGGATTGCTTGAGCCAAGGAGTCCGAGGCTGCAGTGAGCTATGATGGAACCACTGCACTCCACCCTGGGTGACAGAGAAAGACCCTCTCTTTTTTTATTATTTATTTATTTATTTATTTATTTATTTATTTATTTATTTATTTATTTGAGACGGAGTCTCATTGTCACCCAGCTTGGAGTGCAGTGGTGCGATCTTGGCTCGCTGCAAGCTCCACCTCTGGGGTTCACGCCATTCTCCTGCCTCAGCCTCTCGAGTAGCTGAGACTACAGGCACCCGCCACCACGCCTGGCTATTTTTTGTATTTTTAGTAGAGATGGGGTTTCACCGTGTTAGCCAGGATGATCTCGATCTCCTGACCTTGTGATCCGCCCGCCTCGGCCTCCCAAAGTGCTGGGATTACAAGTGTGAGCCACCGCGCCCAGCCGGTCCTCTCTTTTTTTAAGAAAAAGAAGAAAAAAAAAAGAAAAAAGAAAGAAATGTGTCTACCCCATAGCCTGGAGCCCTCATGTCAATGTAGAGACACCGGTCTTAGGCTGGCCCTTTTGCTGCCAGAGAGACATGCTTGGTGACCCCACGGAAGATAGTCCGATAAATAAAAAATGGTTTCCCAAAGTGTTTCCTGCCAAAAAACGGTGTGCTGCTATATATTTTCAAGCAATTCTGCTTAATTGCCGCCATCTCCTCTTCTCTCTGATCAGTCTCACCAACACTGTCCATTCTTTCCTCCCGTGTGCCCTCTCTCTATCCTCCATGCACTTCATTATTTCAAAGAGTCACAATGGTGCCTTGTAACTATAGTTTTGCCCAACTGTCTCCCATACTAGATTATGTGTTTCTTGAAGGCAACATCCTTATTTTATGGATCTTTGTAGTCTCTGCCCTCTGTAGGTACTCAGGAATATCTGTTGAATTGAATTCTTTTTGAGGGTAATGAGTAGGCAAAATTAAAAAAAAAATTGTCTGAGATCTTGTTGGCTAGAAAATCCATGTCTTATTTTTAAAGCATATTAAATATACTTAGCCATATGTCTGACTTTTCCGTGATGATTTAAGATGGTTGTCTGCCAGTTGTTGTAGCATTTTGAACTATAGAGAAAAATATTGAATTAATTATGTTGAAGGTCTTAGAGGGCCTTTATTCTGGCCAGATGTGTGCATCTGCTTGCGCCTGTTGCTTATGTAATGTGGCCGTGGAAGGTACCACCTTGGCCTGGTTTAAATAGTATTTTACCACCTGGATTCTTGGCCAAGCGTTAGAATTTACATCTGATAGGGAGAGCATGTTCATTTCCTCCTCCATCTATCAGCCTGTTTAAGTCTGTGTGAGTTAGTTAAGAATTCAGAACTCAAGATCAAGTTGTTAAAAAAAAAAAAGCTTTCTCCGGTGTTGCAGCATGTGTTTTTTTAACATTTTATTTTATAAAAAGCGTAGGCATCTAGATTTTGGTTTCTAATCTTTTAAAAACTTAAATAGTATCGTGACCTTATATGACTATCAATCACTATCTAAAATTGGTCTGTGATTCCACAGCTTATGTATTTTCCTGGTGAAATTTAAATTTTTTCTCATTTAAACAATGTATACAATACAGAAATATGTTAATATGGCAGAAAAATATGTCCGAATTGCCCGTAATCCCACCCCAGAGAAATACATGTGTTAACACTATTTTTATCCAGACGTACACATACACACACACAGACACACACACATACACAAACAGAAACACAAACATATACTTTTGAAGATGGGGGGGCTTTTTCTTATGAAAATAAGACTGTACAGTACATGCTGTTTGGGTGGGAGTTTTCTTCATGCCTAACAGCATATCATGGACTTTTTTTGTTTGTTTGTTTTTTTGTTTTTTTGTTTTTGAGACAGAGCCTTACTTCTCTGTCGCCTAGGCTGGAGTGTAGTGGCACGGTCTTGGCTCACCTGTATCTCCTGGGCTCAAGCGATCTTCCCATCCCAGCCTACTGACTAGCTGGGACCACAGGTGGGTGCCACCGTGCCCAAATAATTAATTTTTTTTTGGGTAGAGACAGGGTTTCACTGTCTTGCTCAGGCTGGTCTCAGAATCCTGGGCTCAAGCAATCCACCCACCTTGGCCTCCCAAAGTGCTGGGATTACAGGCGTGGGCCACTGTGCCTGGCCAATCATGGACTTTAAAAAAATACTATATGTAGATCAAGTTGACTATTTCAGTGACTGCAAAATTTATTTTTGGTTACTTTATAATATAATAAGCTCTACTTTAAGGTTGAACATTTAGAGTGTTTTCAGTTCTCTTTTATATAACATATTGATGACTACCCTCATACATACATTTTAGCGAACATCTTCAGATATTTTCTTTGGATAGCTATCTAGAAATAAAGCTGTTGGCTCACATGAATTATTTCTTTTTAAGGCTTTTGGTATCCATCATCATTTTACCCCCCCAGAGAATATATTAACTAATATCCCTTCTGGCTGTATATCGAGAGTCCTGTAATTTTTCACTTATCTCACTTGTAAAGATAATACCTTCTACTGGAATTGTTTATTTATGGTGGTCTTCACAAGTCAGAAACTGAGTAGTTTTTTGTTTGTTTGTTTGTTTTGGAAACGGAGTCTCACTCTTGTTGCCCAGGCTGGAGTGCAATGATGCGATCTTGGCTCACTGCAACCTCCGCCTCCTGGGTTCAGGCAATTCTCCTGCTTCAGCCTCCCGAGTAGCTGGGATTACAGGCATGCACCACCACACCCAGCTAATTTTGTATTTTTATTAGAGACAGGGTTTCACCATGTTGGCCAGGCTGGTCTTGAACTCCCGACCTCAGGTGATCCGCCCACCTTGGCCTCCCAAAGTGCTGGGATTACAGGCGTGAGCCACCGCGCCCGGCTGGATACTGAGTAGTATTTTAAAGGACAATTAGGGAGTGGTGGGGACTAGGATTACCTGGAAGGGCTTATTCTGTTCAATGGGAAAAGCTGCCATTCTGCTTTGGCCTCTTGCTGCCATGTAGGAACATTGGCCCGGTGTTTCTAGTGTAGATTTTTCAGGTTTTCAAGAGAACCAGAAGCCTGTTCTTTTTTTTTTTTTTTTTTTTTTTAATGAACTTTGCCAGTTTTAAAGCACTGGTTCAAAGTTTTCTTTTTTTTAAAAAAAGGGTGAACCAAACAAAACACATCTGGGAGCCATATTTGGTCCTCAGATGACAAGCTTGCAATGCCTTGTTTATATATTTGTCTCTCACTTGGTTTCTCTCATACTTCATCTCTCCAAAAGCAGTAATTGCATTACTCTTTCTGTATTCTCAGGGCCCAGGATACTGACCAACTCACAAAAAGGGTCAGGAAATGTGTGTTGAAATGAATAGTACATTTTGGAAGTGGTCTACTTTGGCATTATAGTCCATGTAGGTTTATTTGAGGCCCAGCTGGTGACAGCTTTCCAATTCAAGTTATGAAGAGCTGGGGAGAGAGCATATTTTGACAGCTGATCATAATTCTTGGAATATTTTGTCCCAGGGCCCTGGTCTGCCGGGTCTTAGAACTGGGTGCAAAGTCACATCTTGAAATTGATGTTCACGTGAATTTGAGTTCTTAGTACAGGAATAGAATCTATTCTCTGCCCTGAAGTGATTTGATTGTGAAATGTGTAGCTTTACCAACAAGAACGAATGAAGTTTATGTATACCATTTAGGGAGGTTTTAAATTTGGCAGGAAAGTTCCTAATAATACAACTTGTTTGGACTTTTCTATAGATAAATTGGGACCCTAACCTTTACCCCAGGAGTGGACAGTGTCAGAACATGATTAACCTCTAAGACCGGTAGTCATCTGTTTTTCAGTGCCAGCATTACATGGTAGAATTTTGTTTTTTGTTTTTTGCAAACCAGTGTAGCCCTTCTTGCTTTCCTGCCTGCATAATGGATTGTTCTGCATTGCATAATTCATGTCGGGCACCAGGTTTGCTGCACTAGGATGAGGAAAGGGATTCAGGTAATTCAGATGAGAAATTTAGTCAGTGCAGTTTTTTTTCTATCAAGGAGCCAAGAAAGGTCCTCTATTAAATTAAAACTATAAAATTGTCAGCAAAAGTCCAATGCAGGGTTAAAATCTTACTTGGTTTGGACTTGTACTGTGTGTCTTTTCTCTCCTTCTCTAGTCCCCTTTCCCCCTCCATTTCCATATCAGAATGGAACATTCCAATAGACTGTCTAGGAATTCAAATTTTAGATAGGATATTCTATATGTAATCCAGAACTTCTGATGTGAGATGCAACTTAGGAGAGTTTTCAAGTTTAGACTACTGTATGCCCCGATCCACTTCCTTCATTGTGGTCACTGCTTTTGGAGCACCCAGAAGTCCCCTAGCTTGGCGTGAAGTTTGACTTCTTTCTGCTACTATAAAATGCTCAAGGATAATGTGGCACAAAAAGCTTATATTTCATGGTGTTTCAGGCTGGGCGATCCCAGGTTAAATTTCTGTGCTTTCGTCTTTGTTAAAGAGTTTAGCCATGTCACAGTGCAAATGCACAGTTAAGTTCCTCCACAGTGTATATGAAACCTGTTTTATTTCAGTTAGGATTAGCAGAGCACTCTAGCTGACCCTAAGTGAACTCTAGGTACATATGTGATAAATGCATATTGCTATATGCCACTGAGGTTTCGTGATTGTTAATTATATGGCATTATAATGGCAATAGGTAACAGAGACAATGAGATTCCATGTTCGAATGGCTGACACGTGTCCAAAAGCTATGGGTTAATTTGGGACTTTGAATCTTGAGTTTAGGCAAAGATGGAAAAAAATCCCCAGTAATTGTTCATTCCAGTGTAAGGACAGCAGATGAGACTGTTGTTTCGGATACCTACATCCAAGGAAATGTCCTGGCTTCTGCCTATTTGAATCTATGAGCCACATTTATTAACCCTATAAATTTATTTTTCTTTTAAAATTAAAAAGAGAAAACTTTTGAAGACACAAAGTGTTATCTCAATATTGATATATTATACATGTGTCATTATTTATAAGAGAAAAATCGGGAAAATAGGATGCCCAGCAAAGGAAAAATTCATGTAGCTGTTGCCTAGGTATGTCTCTTCAACTCCGTGGGAAAATACTGCCATAGGGAAGAAAGGCCCTGGCTTTCTTAAGCAATGTGAATTTGTTTCTGCGACATTTTAGCTAAAAATGTAAGCTCAAGATATTCTGTGTGAAATAAATTATCCCAAAGAAAGATAATTGTGAGAAGAAGCCATTAATGGGAATAAGACAGCTGGTTGTAAGGATTGGAGGCTTTTTTTTGGTGGAAGGAGCTTATCCATGGGGTTTAATACAACATGGTGAGTCACCCTGTTGCCTGAATTCCAGAGGGGAAAGAGACATTCGGGAAAAGGCTGCGGGGGAAATTTGCAGTCCTGTGCACCTGTTACCAGGCACTTATATTCACCTGATGGCTGCTAACAGATTGCAGGCACAGCTTCTTGAAGAAAATCATCAACTTTGAACACAGTACCCCACACATTGGATTTGGGTGAATGGAAAGTATATCAGAATTACCTGGGAGAGTTTTCAAGTTATAGTCACCGGGGCGTGGCTTTATTAGTGATTCTGACTCATGTCTCCCTGCTCAGCACAGTCCTGATACTCCACCTCCAAAGAGTGGTCCACAGAACAGCCACTTACATAGAATCAGGCAGGGTGTTTGTTAAATATGGGGATTACTAGACCCCATCCCAGACCTACGGGATCAGAATCCTGGGGGTGTGGACTCTGTGAATCCAGTGTTTAAAGGTGCTCTGGCTGAATGTGGCAAGTCCAGCGTGTGATGCTCCAGGCTCTAAAATATTGGCCTTTCTTCCAGTTATCTAACAAGTGATGGTAACAGACCCCACTGTACACTCGAATGAACACTGATTGTGGGAGGCAGTCAAGAATAGAAAGACAAATTGAGTTATTTGAGCTGCAAGTTCTTCTAGGGGGCAAATGCTAGGTGTGTGCATATGTGTTTGTGGAAGTTCATTTTCTTGCTTCAGGGTTTTAGTAATTTAGAGGGACCTTTTCCTCTGTACCATGCTTGCCCTTTTAAGGCAGAAAGGGAACTCCGGTGGAAAGACAGCATTGACTAATAGAACTTTCTGTGATGATGGAATATTCTTTATCTACACTGTGCAATATTTTATTCCCTAGCCACATGTGGCAATTGTGTACCTGTAATGTGGCTGAGGAACTGAATTTTACATTGTACTGACACACAGTTTAAATCTATCTGCTTGTGGCTAGTGTCTACCGTATTGAATGGCACAGAAGACAGTGCCTCCACAAATAGTGAGGACAGTTACAGATCTTTGGTGTCACATCCAGCTGCTCCAAGACACGGTTGGAGTGATACGTTGGGTTGATGCTTCTTAACTTTGAAAGCTTGGGGTAGATCATGTTTTAGTGTCCTTTGGCCTTTTTCTTTTTAATCGGTACATTTACCGATGACAGTTTTCTTAAGCTCAGCATATGGTAGTGCGCTCATTGTCCCAGGTGAAGTAGGTTAGGGGTGATGTTTTCTCCTGTTGACTGCTCTGTCTCCAGCACCTGTAATGAGTGAATATAATGGATGACTGAAAAGTGATTTCAACTTGAGTATTTTATGCAGGGTGGGAGACTCTGTGTTACCCCGAGGTTGTATAGTTAAACTGTTGTATCACTTGATGCTTTTGGTTATAATTAATTTAAAAAATGCAACTCAAATGGCTTAGGTAGCAAAGGAGATGAACTGATGCATATAACTTAGAATTTCAGAAGGATGGAGCTTCAGGTATGGCTCAATCAGCGTATGGGTCCAATTTCTCTGTAATTTGCTTCAGAGCTGCCGATAGTCTGTATTGACTACCTGTGAAGATACAACCTACATATCTGTAATGGACAGCCTTGATTCTCTCAGAGCTGCTGTTTTCACCCTCCTCCTGTCTTGAGCCTCAAAATGGCTCTTCTTTTTGAGATAGAGTCTCGCTCTGTCACCGAGGCTGGAGTGTAATGATGTGATTTTGGCTCATTGCAACCTCCAGGTTCAAGCGATTCTCCTACCTCTGCTTCCCAAGTAGCTGGGATTGTAGGCGTGCACCACCATGCCCTGCTAATTTTTGTATTTTTAATAGAGATGGAGTTTCACCATGTTGGCTAGGCTGGTCTCAAACTGAGCTCAAGTGATCCGTCTGCCTCAGCCTCGCAAAGTGCTGGAATTATAGGCGTGAGCCACTGCGCCCGGCCAAGATGGCTCTTATTTGCAGATGGATAACAGGGGCAAACGGGTGATATGCCTTGTTACTCACAGCCAGGGAGAGAGAGACCCAGAGGAACGTCATGTACTGTGTGCTGAATGCCTTAGTTCTGCAATCCCTAATCATTGATGCTTATGCAAATTGGTGCCCACTTGCAGTAACGGGTGGGGTCAGTCCTTATCTGGGCCTTTTGACTGTTGCACTGGGAGCAAAACATGGTTCCCTAAGGAAGAGGGAGGTGCTGTTGAGAAGAGAGAAGCCATGGAATAGATGCCAGGTCAAGTAACCAACTGATCCCCACTTCTGACAGCTACCTCCAATGGGATGGTGGATTTAGAGAAAGGTCAAATTGGACAGGTGCCATGGGAAATTTAATTGCAATTGAGTATGGATGAGGTAAGAGTGGACTCCTTGGATATGAGTTTTAACTTGACCCGATGAGTTAAAAAATACAGCTCCCATTTATTGATCATTTGTTACCTGAGCTCTTGTCAAACTCTCCACAGACACTATCTTATTATTATTATTTTTGCAACAACTTTGCAAGTAGATAAAATTTAACCCATTTTAGTGATGAAGAAACCAAGTCTTAGAGAGGTGAAGTAATTTGCTTTAACTTAACAGCTAGTAAACTGCAATTCTAATCTGGTTCTAATTGCAGAGCCTGTGCTGTTAAATAGTATTCAAGATCAGTGGTTTTCAACTGAGGTAATGTTGCCTTTCCAGGGAACATTTGGCAATGTCTGAAGACAGTTTTGATTGTTACATCTGGGAAGTGCCACTGGTATATAGAGGGGTAGGGGTCGGGGTACTGTAAACATCCTTTAATGCACCAGAGAGCCCACTGCCAACAAAGATTTATCTGGCCCAAATGCCAATAGCAGCAAGATTGGGAAACCCTGCCTTCTAGTTCTCACAGAATTCCCCATAGATTCACTCACCATCTCCTGAGCTCACTTTATTTTCTTCTTAGCTCTCATCACCATCTGAAGTTAGCCTGCCTATTATCTGTTCCACTGGAGTGTAATCACTTGAGAGCAGGAATCTGATCCATAATCCATGTATTCTACTCTCCTTATGGCCAGGCAGTACCTGGCAGCTGAGCAGCATAAACATTTGTGGAATGAATGAGTGAATGAATGAACCAATCAAGATGGCATCCTTCTTGGTGTGGGTAGGTACCTTCCAATTGGATATGGCTCAGGGAAGATACGAGAATTTACCGGAAGCCTTGAACAGTTCTGGGGAACAATGGAGACACACTGTGGCTTCCCAAAGGGAAGAGCGAGAGGTGATCAGACAGCCAGTTCTCATTCTTGCAAAACTTGACAAGCAATGACTTGAAAGAGGAGGATGGGAGGTAAGTAATGAGACCAACCCATGCTGTGCTGAGTGAGGTGAGAGTCAGAGCTCAGGTGGCTGATTAAGACCCCGAGCACTCAGAATGCAGAAGGCTGCAAAGAGGGTCACCAGCCCATCAGCGGCCACCAAAGGCTGTACCAAGTCCACCTGGAACCTAGCCACAAGGGATGGTGATCATGATCCATGTGAGGCAAGATAGTTTACTGGTTACAGTGGTCACTGGCCTATTTTCAATTCCTTCACCGGCCCTTACCGGCTGTGTGACCTTGATCACTTGCTTAACCTCTCTGTGCCTCAGTTTCTGCATCTATTAAAAAAAAAATGCCTGGCTCTTTGTGCCTGGCTGGAGGCCACTTAGCCTAGAATTTTGGAATCCCAGGGTTTAACTCCTGGCACTGAATACCCTTGTTGGAAGGTAGAGAATGGGATGTCACCTCTGGGGTACTAGAGTATGGCCAAATGCTGTTAACCAGGCAGTCAGTCTTTGGAAGAAAATACTCTGCTTTTACATCCCCTGGTGGTAGCAGAAAGTTACACGTGTGAAAATATGCAGGGGCTGCTCCTGTGTGTGTTGGGGTGAGGGTGTAGTGGAGGTTAAAGGTATTTTGTTCCAGCCAGGCTTGTAAAAGAAAACAACATTAAATGGGCATGTGCAGACACCCCCCCCCCCCACCAAAGTGTCCTTCCTTATCTTTGTCTCCTGGTTGTGTGTTCATGAAGCACAACCACCAAAAATTGTGGACCGCATCTCTGACCAAGATCAAAGGAGGAAAAATAAATGAGTCCAAGACAAAGCAATTTACAGATATTAATTCCCAAAGAAGAGTAAAGATGTTTGCTTTTTCTCTCAGCTTGTTGGTTCTCAGCATTCTCATTGTTTAACTATTCTAATGGTTTCTGCCTCCTTCTTTGTGTTTTCCTAAGAGTCCTTTCTTTTCAAAGTTGGGATGACTTCCAGCTCTCACCTGCCCAATCTGTCCTGTCACCTGGCTGTTGGGCTTCATGTATGAAAGTGAAAACCGAGGAGAGTAGACCTATACGGATGATAACAATAGTGGAGCTTGATTTAGTGCCTCTCTACTCAGGCTTTGCACTGAGGGCCACACGTGCACCATCCTTCATCCTTAGCACGTGCTGTGAAGTGTGTGTACCATCCTCTCCAGTTTAGCGGTCAGAACCCTGAGCCTTGGAAGTTGTTACTTGTCTGAGATTAGGTGACAGCAGATTAGGTGACAGCGGTGGGTTTCCTCTAGCTTGGTGTTCGTCAGGAGGCTGCATTGTTGCCTGGTGACAGGTGGCAGGATCCCCTTCAGGGTGTGATGTACCATTGTGTGAATTAAGGGTAGGTGACCCCCTGGAGTTTGATCTGAAGAAAGCTGAGGCCAGGCACCCTTCCTTGCACCCTCCGTTGGGAGGGAGACGTTGGTGCCTTGGCGATGGTTTCACTGCGAGCCTGGCTCATTGCAGCGCGGAGCTTCCCGGTTTTTCCATCTGCAGCCGCGCCCTGCGCGTGTTGAGACACAAGTGCTTGCGTCTTCCCGCACTGACTAACTCCTACTTTCTCCTTGGGGTTCCCGGCAGTGCAACTTGGCACTTCATGAACGTAGCAAGGTTCTATGAGACTTAAACAAAATTGTGGTAAAATATACGTAACATAACATAAAATTAACCATTTTAATTATACAATTAAGTGGCATTAAGTATATTCAGGTTATTATGCAGTTATTACCACCATCCATCTCCAGAACTTTTTCATCTTCTCCTACTGTGCCTATTACCAACTCCCCATTCCCCTTTCCCCTGGCCCCTGGTGACCTCTAAATTTCTTTCTCTGTGAATTTGACTACTCCAGATACCTCATAAAAGTGAAATCGTACAGTGTTTACCCTTTTGCGACTGGCTTATCTCAATTAGTGTAATGTCCTCAAGATTCATCCACGCTGCAGCGTGTCAGAATTTCCTTCCTTCTAAAGTCTGAATAATATTCCATTGTGTATGTACCCCATTTTGCTCACCCTTCATCTGTTGATGGAGATTGGGTTGTTTCCACCTTGTCCTATTTGACTTTTATCTTCCCACTCCCCTTGGAAGCAGGTGGAGTCAGATTTTCTTGATGTCCTGACCTCCTCCATTCTGCTTTTCTTTCTTGCTCAGTTTTGCCTGACTTTCCCTGGGTCTCTCCGGAGCACCACTTACCCAAAGTCTCCAGCTCCGGTGCTGGGGCACATATTGCCAGAGTAGAGCCTTGCCAGCAACGTGTCCTCGTCGCTTCTTTGCAAAGGGTGTGTGTATTGGTCAGCTGTTCTTCGGTCCCGCCATCAGCTTTGACCCAGTCGACCCTTCCACCTTTCTGGCTTGGAGGCTGTATGCTCAGTAATTATGTGCACAGGATTTGAATTTCATGTAGTCCGGGTTCAAATCTGGTCCTGCTGCTTCCTTGCTATGTGGCCTTGGGTACATGTTTTTACTTCTGTGAAGTAGCAGTAATAAGAGCACATATCTTATATGATTGCTACAGGGATTCAATGAAATGATGCAGTCAACTCTCGGCATGGAACACAGAGCAAAGGCAACACTGAATGACTGATAGTTATTACCATATTAATTTTGTCAGTTTTCCTCCTTTGAATCTGATCACTTGATTCTAGGCTTGTGGAGGCGCTGAATAGACTTCGTAATTGACTCAAAACACTTCTGTTTTAACACTCTGGGTTTTTATCTTCTTTCCTGGCACCACTACCTCCTTTGAGATTTTATAGAGCTGAATTTGTTGGACCAAATTATATGGAGCATATTTGATAGAAACACATTCTAAGTATACTGTCTTTATGTCCTCATGTTATTTCCTTTCGATTTCTTGAAGTCTCAATTTAGTCACCACTCTGTAGGAAGCTACAAATGATGATAGAGCAATTAAGTGATCCCTGAGTCTTTAGTGTTCTAGAATGATTGATGTACAGATAGAAAGAGAGAAAATGCGTATAGACATTTTCCAATAAACTTTATGTCAGGGTAGTTTCCTGGTTTGGTCAATTTTTCTTTCTGTTGATTATTCCAGTGTAGATGGGATAAAAATTAAGCTACTAGACATTTATTGCTTATAAACTTTTTGGCATATTTAAAAAATATCATCTAATTGTTATTTTAAGGCAGTAGCTATAGAATATCTAGCATATATGTACCCCTTACTCTATGCCATCCTTTGCTGGAAGTGCTTTTTATCAACTCATTTACTTCTCAATCAGCTCTATGAAATGTGTTATAATCATTCCCATTTTTGAGAGTAGGAAATTGAGGCACAGAGGAGTTAAGATTTTTTTTTTTCACTGCTGTTAATGGTAGGCAAAGTTGGGAAACAAACCAGGTTCTTAGGTTCAGGCTGGGAGGGGGTTGGCTGCGTCCACAGTTATCAATGAGGAAATGGATGCCTGCAGGACGTAAGGTGCTTTACTGGGCTCAGCAGAGCCAGGGCTTTATATCCAGGTCTTTTATATATCCAAAGCTTATTTTTATTTACCATAGCTGTCTTAATTTATCAATTAGTACGTGTGTATTATGTCTTTGTATTTCTATTTTTATTTTTTAGATTTTTTTTTTTTTTTTTTGTAGAGACAGGGTCTCACTGTATTGCCTAGGCTGGTCTTGAACTCCTGGGCTCAAGCAATCCTCCTGCCTCAGCCTCCCAAGGTGCTGGGATTACAGGCATGAGCCACCCTGTCTGGTCTGGGAGAGGGTGCTGGGTGAGGGGATGGTGGTGGGGCAGGATTAAACAGTGCTGCAGGCATTCCCAGAAGGAAAAGATCATGTAGCGATGATTTGTTGTCAGTTAGGGTTAGAACTGGCCTTAAGGGGAAGGTAGTATTTGTCTGTAGGATATTTATAGAGATGGGGTGGAATGTTATTCTAAGTGGAGGCAACAGTGGGAGCAAAGGCCTGGAGGCAGGAAAATTCCAAGTGTACCATGGACCCAGAGTGTCTTAAGTTAACATTTAAGAAAATGACGGAATGAGATAGCATGTGTCCTTTACCAGCCTGGCAGAATTTCACAAGTGTTTATTAACTCTTGGTCTTGAAATGATTTGATAAGGCCTCTTTGGAGAGTATTGAGAAGAACCTATTAAAAATGGTAACATTTTGACCTAGCCTTTCTACCACTAGAAACCTATTCTTTGGAAATACTCAAACTCATAAAAGATATATGTGGGGCTGTGTTCTCTATATAGCATTGCTTGTAAAGACAAAAATTTCAAGTTGGCTTATATGTGTTGTGGGTGGTTGAAAAATTATATGGTATCTCCCTACAGTGGCTTATTCTGTAGTCAGTTAAAAAAGTGAGGTGGATCTCTGTCCTGACATGTAAACAGATGATGATATATTAAATAAAAAAGTAAGAGACAGCATCTATAGGATGATCCCATTGTTATATCACAGCTACTGCTGACCTGGTTGGGTATGCTTGTGTGTGCCTTAAAAATAAAAAAAGATCTGGAACAACAAGGATATGTTCCCTGTGGCTACCTCTGAGAAGGGTGACCATATGTCTCGGTTTGTTTGGGAAATATCTGGTTTACACCTGTTGTTCTGGTATAATTATTAATAGTACCCTCTTTCAGTGTTTGGTGAACTGCTTTGGATGGTGAATTATGTGTTTACCCTACCTTCCTCTGAGGATTGGAATTGGGGCAAGAGAAATGGGAAATGGGCTGTGACATAGGTGACTCGTTGGTGTAGTTTACAGCAAGCAGGTATTATTTTTATGAGGGAAATTGAGGAAGATGGCCCTGATACATTATGTAGTGGTTCACTGCGGAGCCACCATTGCATGGTCTTTATCAGGGGAGAAGTTACCTTTTTTCTTTTCGTCAGGTGTATGAGTATCTCCGTTTTACTTAAATAAGTCTTCAGTCAAATCATTGACGATGTTTTCATTGTCTGAGAAAAGTGGGTAGCATTGGCCCTAACATGCTTTTTCAAATACCTAGTGGGGATGTTTGCATTTCTTTCTTTCTTTTTTTTTTTTTTTTGAGACAGAGTCTCACTCTGTTGCCCTGGCTGGAGTGCAGTGGTGCGATCTCAGCTCACTGCAAGCCTCACGTCCTGGGTTCAAGCCATTCTCCTGCTTCAGTCTCCCGAGTAGCTGGGACTACAGGTGCCCGCCACCACGACCAGCTAATTTTTTGTATTTTTAGTAGAGACGGAGTTTCACTGTGTTAGCCAGGATGGTCTCGGTCTCCTGATCTCGTGATCCGCCCACCTTGGCCTCCCAAAGTGCTGGGATTACAGGCTTGAGCCACCGAGTCTGGCCTCTATCTTTTTCTTTAATTTGGTTCCAAGGTAGTTGGATTGAAGTTCTTTTTTTTTTTTCTTTTTTTTTTTTTATTTGAGACAGAGTTTCACTGTATTGCCCAGGCTGGAGTACAGTGGTGCAATCTTTGCTCACTGCAACCTCTGCCACCTGGGTACAAGTGATTCTCCTGCCTCAGCCTCCTAAGTAGCTGGGATTACAGGCATGTGCCACCATGCCTGGCTAATTTTGTATTTTTAGTAGAGATGGGGTTTCTCCATGTTGGTCAGGCTGGTCTCAAACTCCTGACCTCAGGTAATCCACCCGCCTCGGCCTCCCAAAGTGCTGGGATTGCAGGCGTGAGCCGCTGTGCCCAGCCAGAATTGAAGTTCTTCTTTGGGAAAACAGCACACCTTTTTAAAAAATTTAAAACTGTGACCCTCCCCACCCCTGGGTTCCTCAAACATAAATTTAGACACAATAGGAGTTAAAATGATTAAATGAGCTACATGCAAACTATTGACCTAGAGTGGGCTTCAGAGTTGGCTAGGTTCCTCTTTTCTTTGCTTCCCAGTAAAACCCTAGAGGAAATGGGGATGGGTGGGAAAGAGCTGCAGTTAAAAAATAGCAGTGATTCAGATTTACCGGACATTACAGGGGCACTTCTGATGTGCCAGGCACTGTGCTAGATGATTTCACATCTGTCCCCTTATTTATTCTTTTTTTTTTTTTTTTGAGATGGAGTCTCACCCTATTGCCCAGGCTGGAGTGCAGTAGCACGATCTTGGCTTACTGCAGCCTCTGCTTCCCAGGTTCAAGTTGTTCTCCTGCCTCAGCCTCCCAAGTAGCTGGGATTACAGATGTGTACCACCATACCCAGCTAATTTTTGTATTTTTAGTAGAGATGGGGTTTCGCCATGTTGGCCAGGCTGGTCTCAAACTCCTGGTCTCAAGTGATCCACTCGCCTCAGGCTCCCAAATGGTTGTCTGTTTTTATCTCTCATCCATTTCTACCTCTGCTTTTCTGAAATTAGCTAGTTATTACTGAGTCTTAATATTTTTTTTTTGTTTCAAGGTAAGACTGGTGATATGGAACTTTTAATACTACCTCTTCTCATATTTATATTTATAGGAAAAACTTGGAATGAATGTTTACTGCATAAAGTATAGTTTGTATTATTCATGTTGAGTGGATCATGGTGTAATTCCTTTTTATTTGCCCTCTGCTAAAAAAATAATTTCTAAGATGTTACTTGATAACTTGTCCAAGAAAAGTTTACTTAAAAGTTTGACAGATTAAAGCCTGTATGCATCTGGAAGTTTGGTGTTTTGGGTTAACTGAGCATAGAATGTTTCAGTGGCTGTCATTCTTTTGAATTTGAAGGATGTAACTTTGAAATACCATTTTGTTGCCCATCCTAACTAAAACAAGCAAAAGCAAATCGATATAGACAAGGTTGTGTGATGTAGGGGGAGTTACAGCTAAGGAAAAAGGAAGTATTGGACATCTGTTGGGTATCCTATTGCCCTTTAAAAAAGTTAACTCATTTTTTTCGCTAGAATTGCATTTTACTTGACCTTGAAAAAAGGACAATCCAAATAACTTAATACTATTACCTGGCCATACTTCACTATCTCTCATTCCAGTTTTTTTTTTTTTTTTTGGTTCAGCATATTGTCTGGCTTCCTGGAAAGCAAACTCAGAGATGATTACCATATAGGACATTGGTTAGGGAATGCTTTTGGAATCAATTCCTGTTGAAGGAATTGGGCTGGAGGAGAAGTTAGGCTGTGAAGTCGTCTCAACCAAGGCCCAGCCGACCTGCAGGAAGCTCTGACATTGAGATGGTTCTTCAGTATTGTCCTGGGTTGGGATGATAGGGCAAGGCTTGTATACCCTCAAGTCAACAAGGATTGGAGGCGGCTGTTCTGGGAAGGCTATGTGACCTCAGGGAAGGTGACTCTCTGCAGCCAACACAAGTCTTGGAGGGGGATCCTGGAGGCGGGTGGCATAGTACAGCATAGTGTTCACTGCATGTGGGCATATGACATAGGGGTGTATGTTTGTGTGTGTGTAATTGGCTTAATAAGCACCACCTTCTTCAGTAACATGACCAAGAACACACATCTGGGAAGTGGGTGTGCTTGGATTTGAGCTCATGTTTGACTAGCTTTCAAACCTATCTTTTCGTCGCTCTAGGACTGTTGCAACGTTTGTTGTCGAGAAAAGAATACTTGGGCCGTTCCCTTTCATTTTCCCTTTGGCGCATTTATGTGTGCTGCCATGTGGGGACACCCTTGAAGTTAGCTGAATTGGCTTCCTCTGGTATCTCCAACCTTTTGTCACAGAGAGTTGAAAGGAAAGGTAAATTCTTTTGTCCTAAATGAATCATCAGCTGGAAGAAAAGTCTGAACTCTAGCCCTCTATTATATTCCCCAGCCAGGGATGACTTTGGGCAAATTGGTGTCCCTCCAGTTCCCTGGGAAGGCACTTGACTCAACAGGCCTCTTTCCATTTAAATACCACAGGTAACACTTGGCTTCCTCTGAGAAAGCTTTCAAGTCCTGCCCCTTTGCTTACAGCTGGCTGGCATTCTGTGTACCCACTACGGCACTAGGATGAGACCGGCCATAAAATATTTGCTCTATGCTTTTATCACTGCCTGGAAATCCTGAGGGCAAAGGTGCTTTGTAAACACCAAGTTGGTAGTGAGTGGTGTGCAGAAAATTTGGAAATAAACACAGTTCAGTTCATGTAGGGGTTATGGGACTTCTCCAAATACCACAAACTGGAAATTCTGAAAAGAAAGTTAGATTTTATCAAAATTTGGGTGTTTGGGATTTTCAAAGAGCTGTCCTACTAATGACATCAGAGCCCCATATAGCCAGAGAAAGCTTCGTTTCATTATAATGGTGTAAGTGAGGAACGCCTAGAAGTGTGCTTGTTTTCAGCCTCTTATCATCTGCCGGCCTGCACCCTGGTCAGAGGATCAGATTCTTTCAAGAGGCAGTTTCTTTCATTCAGCCTTTTACTTGAGTGAAGCAGGCTTGTTGGGCATCAGTGAATATCATGCTAAGAGTTCCGTAGTTCAAGGAGACCTAGAATAAGGGGGAAAGCACTTTGTGAATTGCCCAAGTTATTGCCTAGGGATATGCATATTGGGAGCCCTGAGGAGTGGCCAAGGCACCACAGAACAGAGACTCACACTCAGTACCTGAGCAGGCTCCTTACTTTCTGTATACTTTTTGTTGTAAAATGGAGTTAATAGCAGCACCCATTTCATAGTGTTATTGTGATGACTTACTAATACATGTGATGCTTAGCATTGCTTAATGTTGTGGCTAAGCATTTTCTATATGTTAGTCGTTATTGTTTTTAAAAATAAACAATGATTCTTTTTTTTTTTTTTTTTTTTTTTTTTTGAGACAGAGAGTATCACTTTGTCACCCAGGCTGGAGTACACTGGGACAATCTCAGCTCTCTGCAACTTCCACCTCCCGGGTTCAAGCGATTCTCCTACCTCAGCCTGCTGAGTAACTGGGATTACAGGCACCCACCAGCATACCCATCTCATTTTTGTATTTTTAGTAGAGACAGGGTTTCACCATGTTAACCAGGCTGGTCTGGAACTCCTGACCTCAAGCAATCCACCTGCCTCACCTATCTCGGCCTCCCAAAGTGCTGGGATTATGGATGTGAGCCACTGCACCCAGCCAACAATGATTCTTTTAGGTTGAAGAGTTAATGTGCTCATGAGGGCAGGTTGAGAACCACAGTGCTGTGTAAAGATATACATTTTTTATTGAACACCTACTATGTGTTAAGTTTCATGCTTAGAGCTTTGTAGACACTACTGTTTAATTCTCTCAGTAACATTATTATGTAGGTATCGTTAGGCATTCTTAGGAACCTTGGAAAGTTTACCTTGTGTAGGTAGTCAGGGGTAGAACCAGGTCTTGAATTCAGATATTCCTTACTTTTTTTATTTTGAGGCAGAGTTTTACTCTTGTCGCCCAGGCTGGAGTGCAGTGGCATGGTCTTGGCTCACTGCAACCTCGGTCTCTGGGGTTCAAGTGATTCTCCTGCCTCAGCCTCCCGGGTAGCTGGGATTACAAGCACCGGCCACCACGCCCGGCTAATTTTTGTATTTTTAGTGGAGACGGGGTTTCTCTGTATTGGCCAGGCTTATCTCGAGCTCTTGACCTCAGGTGATCCGCCTGCCTCCCAAAGTGCTGGGATTATAGGCGTGAGCCACCGCACCTGGCCGGATATTCTTTATTTTTAAGAATCTGAAGTACTATGCATCACTCCCTCCAATGTCCTGGGGCAGCCACCAGGCATATTCATCTTTGTGTGTGTTTTTCTTTTGCTTTAGCACTGGGGCACTTCTTGCTTATTTCTTTGGTAGGAAAGGGGCTCAGTTTGTCTTGTGGGGTTGGTGGCAGGCAGGCCGGCTTACGCCTGATACGGCCCTGGGTTAGAAGGGAAGGGAAGATAAACTTTTATACAAATGGGGATAGCTGGGGTCTGAGACCTGCTTCCTCAGTAAAATTCCTGGGATCTGCCTATACCTTCTTTTCTCTAACCTGGCATACCCTGCTTAAAGCCTCTCAGGGCTTCTCTCTGTTCTTAGGATCAAAGTATTTAGAGCTACAAGAGCCCTCATGGTCTGGCCCCTGCCCCCCGGCCAGCTTCATTGTACATGTGGTGTTCTCTTGTCGTTCCTGTAATGTGGTATGCCATGGGGTCTTTGCACAAGCCTTTCCTCTTTGGCTGGACACTGTTCCCTGCCCCCCCATACTCTTCCTACTTAATATGTAGTCATCCTGCAGATTTCAATTCTAACATCATTTTCTCCAGGGATCCTGGCCTGACAGAATCTCATCTTGTTTAATGCTCTCATAAGACCACTTGTTTCCCTTTTGCAGCACTTGCCACTCAGTTGTATCTTTATGTGCGTTTGTGGTTGTATGGGTTGTGTCTGTTCCCCAGAATGCCCAGCTCTGAGCTGCGTGAGGGTCAAGGGCATTGCTGTGCCTGCCAGGTATAGTGCCTACATGTGGTGGGTGCTCATGTTTTAGAGACTAAATGGAGGAGGAGATGAGGAAAAGATTGAAATCTCTCGGTTCACCAGATGGTGTAGGGCCCAGCATTGTAAATTCACACGTTGACTGTGCTTGTGAATTATCTGGGGATGCAGGTCCTGATTCAGTAGGCCCAGGTTGGGCATCTCTAACAAACTCCCACGTGATGCTGATGCTGGTCCTATGAACTATACTAAATAGTAAGAATCTATGGAGCCAGGCTGGGCATGGTGGCTCACACCTATGATCCCAGCACTTTGGGAGGCTGAGGCAGGCTGATCACCTGGAGTCAGGATTTCAAGACTAGCGTGGCCAACATGGTGGAACCCCATCTGTACTAAAAATACACAAATTAGCTGGGCATGGTGGCACATGCCTGTAGTCCCAGCTACTTGGGAGGCTGAAGCAAGAGAATCGCTTGAACCTGGGAGGCGGAGGTTGCAGTGAGCCGAGATCAGGCCACTGTATTCCAACCAGGGTGACAGAGTGAGACTCTATGTCCAAAAAAAAAAAAAAAAAAAAAATCTATGGAGCCAGATAAGCTCCAGAGGACTAGTGTGTGGGGCACACATTCTTCCCTCCTCCAATTTAGTATCTTTCCTTCTCTTCTGCCCTAAGGAAAGTATAGCAAATACACTGAAATGGTTATTGCTGTACTAGGGCTCATCTCACTTATGAGCTATGTTCCTTGTTGTCTGCAGTATATTTTCTTGTTTGAGTCAAGCCCATCCATATTACTGCTACCAGTTCCCTTGATAAATGGTCCTGAAATGTTTCCTCGGAAGCATCAGCAACAGACCTACTGACAACAGCTGCTTAGGATGCAGTTAAGGAATTTCTCTTCAGCCTTGCACCATTTCCCTTATCCTGCACATTTATGCTCTTGAGTTTCCTCTTCCTCGCTCTCCTCCTCCTCACTAGAGTTGGACTGTGTTGGTGACATGCTGTGTCCAAGTGTTTAGAGTCAATTCCTGATTTCTCAGGCAGCGATTAGATTTTGAGTGTGTTGCTCAGCTTTCCTGCTTTTTGGCTTCCTAATTCTTCTGTTTACAACTTGATTCTTACCTGTTAATGATATAGGAAAAGAGACAGTGTGTCATTGGGAAGATAGGATCGCCGTGGGGCTTAAAGGAGACAATGAGATAGAACTGATAAAGTTCTACCGAGGCAGGTCCAGGGACTCCTTCCCTCTTGAGCGCCATGGGACCCAGCATCTGCACTGTACCCTGAGTGTAGTCAAGCTTAATAGACTTTACGTGACATATGTGATCTTCAGGCCAGGTGTGGTGGCTCACACCTGTAATCTCAGCACTTTGGGAGGTCGAGGTGGGAGAATTGCTTGAAGCCAGGAGTTTGAGACCAGCCTAGGCAACGAAGTGGGACTCTGTTTCTACATAAATAAATAAATAAATAAATAAATAGCTGGGCATGGTGACATGCACCTGTAGTTCTAGCTACTTGGGAGGCTGAGGTGGGAAGATCACTTGAGCCTAGGAATTTGAGGTTGCAGTGAGCTATGATTGAGCTACTACATTCCAGACTGGGTGAGAGAGTGATACTGCATCTCTAATAAACAAAACAAAACAAAACAAAACAAAACAAAACAAAACCATGTTCTTCAAAGAGAGGACCGCTAAACCAAGAAAAAACTGAAACAAAAATTTAAAACTCATAATCCCATTCCCCTGTTTTATTTATGTGTCTGTGTGTTGATATGTTTTTATGTCATACTTTCTTTAAACGACAGTATTATATGTGACATCATTAGAAACCTCCTTAAAGTTCTGGTACCATAGGATGATCAGAGTCTAAACAGATGAAAAAGCTTTACTTCAGCATTGCCTAGGGTTTGACATATGCTGAAAATAAACCATTCTAGTTTGTCTTACTCATATGTATATGTATAGACACATATACATACCCATACACACATATATACATATATACCTACACATAAACACATATACATGTATACCTATATGTGTGTATATATGTGTCACAAGTGAAAAGTTACTTGTTTGACTTTAGGAGAAGCTTTTAAGACTTTAACATTTGAAATAAAATGCTGGGCAACTTTCTGTCTTTAGAAGGTGGGATTTCATTTTTTGTCGTATCCAATACTGGCAGTAATAGTTTTTCAGCCTCTCATGAGTTAATTCACATTTGCTGACATTATTCATATAGCAGCCAGCCACACAAGTGCTTCCATACTGGTTGCTGGTTCCTGTCTGGTGGACAGCTAAATCCTCATGAGCAATAGACAATAAGGGCTAAATGAATGTGATAGATTTCTGTTTACTTGGCTGTGTCTGGTAGTGGTAAAGTCACAAATTTCAGTGATGGGAAGAATTGAGTTGTCACTTAACAAATTACTGATCTCTCTAAATATAATTTTTTATCAGCTCAACATAACCCAAGTAAATCCAGAGTTTTGAAGTGACTGACTCGAGGCCCAGTGTGTCATTCAAAGAAATCCAGTCCAGGAACCAACCCTAGAAGTGATTGCAATCTTATTGGAAGTCAGGTGATTCCCTTTTGCAGCCCTTCCTAAGTGCCCTTTCCCTCTCTGTTTATTTGTCATCATTCCATCTCTAGATTCCTGGTAGATCCATGGGAGATGCATGGAAGATCTCTTTGTGGTATGTTTCTTGTCCTCTACCAAATCTCTCCCTGGCATGGTGCTGCCATTCCTTTTTGTGTCATCTTCTTTCCTTGTCTTTGTCCTTCAGCTATTTTCTTCTCTCCCTTTGATTTCCCCCCTTCCACTCACACACACTGATGGCCTCAATATGTATAGTAAGACACAAGGGGAAGGCGTGGGAGATTTAGGAATGGGGTTAGTGCTGAGTGGGAAGTGCTAAAGATTTTCTTAGTGGGTGAGGAGAGGCAAAGAGGCTGTGAATATTGATTTTGAACAGCTGAGGATGAGGCTGTTACTTATAAGATGAGGATATTATCCTGATGGGAATGGTGTTCCTGCTTAGTGATGTAACCAGAAGTCTGAAAGGTGGGCCTATTTTGTCCTTAAAACATAGGAAGAGCCTGTAGTATCATTTTTAGGTTGAGACAAAAGAAAATCAAGATATGGGCCACTCATTGCAGATGATCTTCTCTGCCTCCCCATCTCCTGCTTGGCCCAAAAGCAGCCTGCTGGGAGATGCAGCATTATTGAAGACTGTGGTCTCCCTTGCAACACATTCAAAGATCTGTAGGTCACATTGATTCTTAGTTAAACCTAACCCACAGCTTTGCATATGGGACTGCTTTAAAACAGCTGCCCTCTGTGATCCATTAAAAATAAAAAAGCCATTTAACATGGCAAATTCATAGTTTCATAGATTTTATCTTGATGTCATCTGAACTTTGGAATTATAATTCAGCAGATGTTTTAATACTCTTGTACATTAAATCAGATGTCAATGGGATACAGAAGGAACCAAGCTGCAATAAAACAGCAAAGGTATATACAATAATATATGTTGAGGACCCTTCTAATTGTTGCCAGGAGTAGTGTTTGTAATCATGGCTTCAAAGGCACCTTGGTGGGCTTCTGTGGCTAAAACCCCATTCTTCTAGCTCTCTCCTGTGATCTTTTGCCTGTCAGAGTTTGCTTTAAATCTGCGATAGTCGAAGATGCCTGAGACTCAGAATTTTTGGACTTACCTTGTTCATGGGATTTCATCTATCAGTGGTTTGTCTGCAATGGCAGATTGCATTTTTTTCCCAAAGTTGGTGGCAAAAAATAGCTCCCATGCCAGATACAATGTGAACTTGACTGTGCTTCCATGGGAGTGGGGAAGGTGATGTCTATATACCATCCTTTTAAACCTGGACAGACCTTTGTGATTATCTGGACCAACAGAGTATGACAGAAAGTCACACCATGTGACTCTTGAGGCAGGACCGTAAAAATGCCATGTGCTTCTGCCTTGCTATCTTGGGATGCTTGTTCCTGGATCCCAGCCACCATGCTATGAGGAAGCCCAGACTAAGCCCACACAGAGAGACCACGCAGAGAGGCCACGTGTAGGTGTTTCGGCCGACAGCCAGTGTCAACCTCTAGACATGCGAGTGAAGATGCCTCCGGATATTCCAGCCTTTAGCCATCAAGTCACCCCCAACTGAAGCCCCAGACACTGTGGAGTCAAACTGTCCCCATTTCTGTCTGACTTCCTGAACCACAGAACCGTGAGCATAATGAAAGGGTTGTTTTATGCCACAAAGTTGAGGTGGCTTATTTTGGAGCATTAGTAACCAGAGAGAGAGAATGAGGAAAGTCCTTGGCTTCTAATAAAATCCGAGCAGGATTTTTTTCCCCACATCTGTTTTGGCGAACAGGAGCGTCAGCTTCTGAATTGTTTTAGATAGTCTCACAGGTATAAAGGAAGTAGCATTTTAGTTTACAAAGGGGGTGGGAGTAGATTATTGTGATGTCCCCCGCCTTCTCTTGTTACTATTATTATAAACAAATAAACAGCTTGTCTGAGTGCAGTGGTGTTTACAACTGGTTGGTCACAACTGGTTACAGATTTCTTTGTTCTTTCTCTACTCTCACTACTTTACTTGACTAACCAAAAACCAAACAAACAAAAAAGTGAGAATTTGCTCTACACAGTTACCAAGTTACCCTTAAAAACAGTTGAAGCTGGCCAGGTGCGGTGGCTCACGCCTGTAATCCCACCACTTTAGGAGGCCGAGGTGAGTGGATCACTTGAGGTCAGGAGGTCAAGAGCAGCCTGGCTAACATGTGAAACCCCATCTCTGAAATACAGAATACTAAAAATACAAAAATTAACTGGGTGTTGTGGTGTGTGTCTGTAATCCCAGCTACTCAGGAGGCTGAGGCAGGAGAATCTCTTCAACCTGGGAGGTGGAGGTTGCAGTGAGCCAAGATCACACCATTGCATTCCAGTCTGGGCAACAGAGTGAGACGAGGTTTCACCATGTTGGGCCAGGCTGGTCTCGAACTCCTAACCTTGTGATCCACCCACCTTGGCCTCCCAAAGTGTTGGGATTACAGGCATGAGCCACCGTGCATGTCCTGCCTCTCCTCTTTAACCTTGAATCAACAAGCCAAATCTCCACTCTCCATTACTCTGTGGCTGAATTGCAGTTGCTGTGGTGTGTCCTTGTCTCCACATGGGGAGGTGGTGGCGAATGGCTGGTAAGAAGGAGAGGGAAGGAGGGAAGAGTTTGTATTAGGGTTTATGGCTGCCCCTGTGACTCTGCTGTTCAAGGGGAAAGGGCTTTGTAGTTTTGCACCAACTGCCCTGTTCATCTTCACAGTCTTACAGGTATCAAAGTTATCTCTTCTTCTTTCATATGTTCAGGGCAGATGGATCAAAGCAGTTCAAAGGGAAGTTTTGCCTAAATACATGACTATAGATCTAATACTCCCTGGGACTGTGTATATGTGTGTGTATGTAGTGGTTGTTGTTAATTCCAGCTCTGTACTATTAATAATTCTCCTGTTAGTGTCAATCATTAGGTGCAATTTACCTGTCTGGACAAATGGCCCTTACTATGCTTGTTGTACCTGAAAATACCAGGAAGGCCACCTTTGAAGTGCAGTGAATCAGAAGCACTATTTTTGAAAAATAGGCCAGGTGCAGTGGCTCATGCCTGTAATCCCAGCACTTTGGGAGGCTGAGGTGGGCAGATCACCTGAGGTCAGGAGTGCGAGACCAGCCTGACCAACATGGAGAAACCCTGTCTCTACCAAAAATACAAAAAATTAGCTGCGTGTGGTGGCGGGTGCCTGTGATCCCAGCTACTCGGGAGGCTCAGGCAGGAGAATCCCTCTACCAGGGAGGTGGAGGCTGCAGTGAGTCGAGATCGCGCCACTGTACTCCAGCCTGGGAAGAGAGTGAGAGTCTGTCCCCAAAAAACAAAAAAAGAAAAGAAAAATAGTCTATGTGGGACAGGTGAGTTTTAAGCAGCATCAAGTCATTTCAGAAAAGACAGAGATCTTCACCACCACCCCCCACCCCATGAAATGTCCCTAATTCCTACCTAAGAGCTAGATCCTTACAAATAAAATTGGAAATGGTAGTATTGTGTTCTGTATGTTTGCATTAAAAGGAAACAAAATGTCAAGTGATTAAAATTGGTACCTCAGGGAATTATTTATTATAGAAACATTTAATGCAGTGAGATCTCCCCTCCCCATCCAGACGTGTTTTTTTCTTTTCTGCAAATTTGCCCAGTGTTTCTGAAAATGCGAATTTAAAATGCCTTATTTCTAAGCTAAATATTGAAGTTAATCCTTACCTGAGGAGAACTAATGCAGGCCCCTTTATTGCCAAGAGATTTTTGTGCTTGGCATTTGTTTTTGTTTATGAGACTCAATCTATGAAATTGAGGCAGGAAGCCTGTCAAGTGGCTTCAGAAGGTCTGAGCACACTGGGGCTTATAAGACTTGAGGCGGGAAGTGGTTGATCAAACCTGAGCTTGCTTTGGGAACAAGTACTGAGGCAAGGGGAAGGTTTGGACCTTGCTAGTGATCATATAGGATCACTTTTGTTTAATATATGTGAGAGCTTTCAGCTTCCGTGTTTTTCTAAAGGCTTTAACAGCTTGGCCTGTGGACAAGCAATTATTTAATTAAAATTGGCACAGATGTCCAAAATTTTCCATTGTTCTTCAGACTACTTGTTTTTTGTTAGGTAGACACATTGTTATGAACTGGACAGGAAGCAAAATTGGAAGGGCAGGTAGGAGCAGCTGTTAAGGCCACGGACATGTAAGTTTCTGCATTATATAGGGTTGGGGTCTGCTTATTTGTCATGTGATTTTAAGCCATGTTATGTAACCTGTCTGAGCCTCAGTTTCCCCCTGTATAAAACAGGGATAATTATCGGACCTGCCTCCTCCAGTTGTGAGGATTCAGAGGGATCTTGTCTGTCAAGTGTTTACATTTTAGATTTTTATTGAGTCCTGTGAGGCTGATACTCTTTTCTTTCTAGCATGACATTGCAGTCGTTTTATAAATCTTGGCATATCTGAACTTTGGTCTGTGGATAAGTTGGTGGAGGTTTTAGTGGTTTGGATCTAGCATAATCATAATAATTTTTAGATATTATATATCTTTTTTGAATATTCAAAGTTTATTTTAAAATTTTCTTTTTGAAAACCTCACTGAGGTGAGTTCTTTACTCCTGGGAGGTCTTCATCCCCCTTCACCTATTCCATCCTAATCGAACCAATTCCTACTTGTTCTTCAAGACTGAGCTCAAATACCATGGCCTTGAGATCCTCCACCCCCAAATACTTAGGGGCCTTCTCTGGGCACCCTGAATTTGTTTCTTCTAACTACATTCTATTATTTTCTAAAGACCTTTCTGTCTCCCCTATTTGATAGCAGGTCCCTTGAAGAGAATAATTTCATCTTTTCCATTTTGCTATGTATCTCCAGCACCAGGACAAGACATCTTTATAATATCTTAATACATGCCGACTGCAACTTTTGGAGCTTCAATTTCCTAATTGTTCACTGGGTCATTGGGATGACTAAATGAAATAATGGCTGTGAAGCACTTTAGACAGGGCCTGGCCTGCCATGGGTTTTCATTAAAATTGGTGGGCTGAGAGGATAATAATTGCTGCCCTTCTGTAAAAGCCTGATATGAAAGGTTTAGCCTGTGATGCAGGATGTTGCCCTGCCATGGACAGGAAGTAAACACCCATTAACTGCCCATGTTGGGCCAAGCCCCTTGTGCTGAGTCCTGCCCCACCATGGGGGCTGAGCAGAGCTCTCTGGCTCACCTGCTTCCTGGTTGAAATACTCCAGTGTGGAATACCTTTCATCATGTCTGGTGCCTTTGGACAGTTTTAGCTTTTATTTCCCACAAGGCCCATCTTGTGCCATTATTTACCCTTGGTAAGTAATCAAGGTAGAAGCATCACAGTATATGTGTTGGGATTATTTTTGCCTTAGTCGTATTAGGTTTAAAAATTTTTTTTTTTAAACCCTGCGTTTATTTCAATAAGAAAATTTAATTGGGGTAGGAAGAAAGAGATGGAGAAATAGAGATTAAAACAGAACATCACCTCCCAGCCTGGTTTCTTGAGCCCAATTGGAGGCCTTAAAAGGCATCTGGGGAAGGAATGTCAAGCTGTTTTATCATTAAAAGGGAACAAGGGCTGGGCGCGGTGGCTTGAGCCTGTAATCTGGGCACTTTGGGAGGCCGAGGCGGGCAGATCACGAGGTCAGGAGATCGAGACCGTTCTGGCTAACACGGTGAAACCCTGTCTCTACTAAAAATACAAAAAGAAAATTAGCCGGGCATGGTAGCGGGCGCCTGTAGTCCCAGCTGCTCGGGAGGCTGAGGCAGGAGAATGGCGTGGACCCGGGAGGTGGAGCTTGCAATGAGCCTAGTTCGCGCCACTGCACTCCAGCCTGGGGGACAGAGCGAGACTCCGTATCAAAAAAAAAAAAAAAAAAGCGTGGGGGGAACAAGACCTGATTAACCAGAGTACATTTTCTCAAGATATGGTTACCTAGTTTAACTAAAATGTCAAGTTTCTTTACTTTTAGGTAGAGTAAGGTTAACTCTGTGTGGTTACAGTGGCTCTCTCGGGGGCAGATAGGTTACTTATTAGTTCGAAAGCACAATTGGGGAACACAGACTTCTCGAACTGGGCTGTATTTGCAAAACATGATGCAACTAGTTCTTAATGGCAAAACGATTGTGGAGCATTGGTGTGTCCTATTGTGGCTTAAAAGGGAACTTAGCAATCAGATAATAAAGAAAGGAATAAACCAACATTAATACCATGTGTAGAAAGTGATTTGAGATGGAGAAAACGATTAACTTCCCAAGGTGGTCTGAAAGTATATGTTAAAATAGACTTGTTTTATTCATGGAATATTTCACCATATATTTGCCATAAGGCCTGAAGACTCTGTTAGGTGCTTTTCCCATTTTTTTCCCCTCACACTTGAGGGGTAAAGAAAGATATCGGTAGGTCATAATCATTTATACATGTGAAATTTTGATATTGCATATGCTTGGCACATTGAAAGTAAGCATATCAGTACCATAGATGAGGAAGCATATTGCTCCCAGATTTTATTGATTCTTTCTCATTTCTGCCTGTCTTTCCTCTCCTTATCCCCCTAAATTATAATTTCATTGAAAAAGGGCTTCTTTTCAACACACACTGGTGCCTGTCAGGGAGTGCGGGGTTGTGCGGAGGAGAGCATCAGGAAAAATAGCTAATGCATGCTGGGCTTAATACCTAAGGGATGGCTGATAGGTGCAGCAAACCACCATGGCACATGTTTACCTACCTAACAAACCTGCACATCCTGCACATGTACCCCGGAACTTCAAATAAATTTTTTTTTTAAAAAAGGGATTCTTTTATAGCCCTTACCTTGAGTGATAAAGGGTCAGAATGAAAAGGTACTTCTAGAATGTAATGCGATTTTATCCCCATTTAGATGTGATTCTATTCTCTGTTAAGAAATGAAATAACTGTAAACACAATATGTAAGTGAACTGTTAAACTACTTCCATTAAATGTTTCAAGTAATGGAAATACATCAACACTAACCCTACAAGCTATGTGCCTTAAAAGTTCATAGCCTCATTTTTATGAGCTTCAAGGCTTTTTGCATTAGATGAAAGGAATAGTACCCTGTAAAAATTGGTATCTTATGGGCTTGAAGCTTTCACCAGCATTTTAGGAAAGGAAAGGGTAAAAAAAAAGAAAAACCCCCCAAAAAAACCATCAAATGGTTTCAGAGTATAATCTACAAATGGGATAAGTGATCATTATCTTTTGGCTCTAGTCAAATAAGGAAGGCCTAACAGATTAGTCTTGGTCTCTTAAATCTTAACCTCTAAATATGTAATTTTTATTAAAGGAGTATATTCTAGAGTAAAAACTAGGCTTAATACTTGATTTGTTGCAGAATTGTCACAATTAATGGGTTTTTGCAAGTGCTAACAAGTTGAGTCTTTTCATTTGTTACTTCAGCAAATGTTTATTGAGAGCTTGCTGTATCACTCATTTCTTGGCACGAAAAAGCTATGTAACAAACTACCCTAAACTGTGTGGCATTCAGCATGAAGTATTCTCACACTCAGGGGTCTGCAAGTTGACTGGGAAACTGTGCTGTATGTGTCTCATTCTGCAGCCTGGTCCTGGGACTGACATGACACACTGTCATTTCAGCACATACCCAGAGCAAGTCAGGGAAGTATAGTCTTCCCATGAAGGCTGGGGGAGGAGGAGGGAGAGAATATTTGCCAAAAAAAATAACGGAATCCACCACAACTACTGTTTGTTTTTTTTTTTTTTTTCCCGAGACAGAGTCTAGCTCTGTCGCCCAGGCTGGAGTGCAATGGCGCAATCTTGGCTCACTGCAACCTCTGCCTCCCGGGTTCAAGCGTTTCTCCAGCCTCATCCTCCTGAGTAGCTGGGGTTTCCCCCTGTTGGTCAGGCTGGTCTTGAACTCCTGACCTCAAGTGATACACCCACCTTGGCCTCTCAAACTGCTGGGATTACAGGCAGGAGCCACCACACCCAGCCAACAACTACTATTTTGCCTTGTCTTGTGAGACTAGAGTTGGCGAACAGTCCTTGCTCTCATGGGTCTTAGGTTCCTGGTGTCGAGGGGGAGAGGGTGTGTGTGGAGAGGGAAAAGAGGAAACACAAAAGCAATAGTTGAACAAGAGAATTTTAGATGGTGGGTAGGTTGACTTGGTACAGAACTCCATGAAATTTCATCATGGATATGATATTTTCTTTTTGAGACGGAGTCTTGCTCTGTCGCCCAGGCTGGAGTGCAGTGGCGCGATCTCGGCTCACTGCAACCTCCGCCTCCCAGGTTCATGCCATTCTCCTGCCTCAGCCTCCCGAGTAGCTGGGACTACAGGCACCCGCTACCACGCCTGGCTAATTTTTTGTATATTTAGTAGAGATGGGGTTTCACCATGTTGGCCAGGAAGGTCTTGATCTCTTGACCTCGTGATCCACCTGCCTCAGCCTCCCAAAGTGCTGGGATTACAGGCGTGAGCCACCGCGCCTGGCTGATATTATTTTTACTGAGTTCTGTGAGGCCGATATTCTTTTCTTTGTAGCATGACATTGCAATCATTTTATAAATCTTGGCAAATCTGAATTTTGGTCTGTGGATAAGTTGGTGGAGGTTTTAGTGGTTTGGATCTTGTATAAGGTCTTGCACAGTGCTGCTGGTGGTCAGGGTATGTGAGGAGGTGCTGCCAGACCACTTCCACTGAGGTAGGGTGGGTACATAGATGCATTTTTAAGTACTCCCTACAACAAAAACCATTCCCTGGGGAATGTAAAGTGCTGGAGGCAAAATAATCTGCAGAAGAAAATCTAAAGAACCATATATATCCCAATTAAATTTCTGCCTCTGCTAAGCAAATTGAGAAAATCAGCAGTCTGGTTCCTTTTCAGCTGTGAGAAAATTGGGAATAGAATACCTGACAAGGTGTGTGTTGGAGATGACGTCATTCGTGTATGACAACCACAAGAGTTGCTTGTTAAGAAGCAAGTATGCTAGTCATTTGATGACTTAATCTTTTATCTTGGCCGCCCGGGGCCTTCAGTTCAGGGTGTTGATTTCATCAGAACTAACCTAGAAAGAATGATATGAAACTTCGTGAGTGCCCGGCCCTCCGATGGTCCCAGCTGTCCCAGCACAAGCTGGAGTGTCTATTGCTTTACCTGGCAGAGAGCTCCGGGCTCAGAACAGGAAATGTGGGAGTTCTCCACCCAACTTTGACAGACGGGAGTGGAAAGGAGTGAAGCGAGCGGAAGTCTGACTTCATTTTTGGTTTTCAGACTGTCAGACTGGAAGGGTAACTTTAAGTGGGGGCTCGCTTCCCCCCCCCCCCCCTTAGTTTTTCATTTATAGTTATCACTAAATATATTCCAATGATGGAAAATTACGGCTTTTTACTTGCCATTTGGCAGCTGTGCCTGTATCTCTTTTTTAGTTTTTGGTGTGTATTTTAAATTTAGTTAGGATTGAATGGGGTGGAATTATGAGATTTAAAAAAAAATGAAGTGTTGCACTGTTAATTTAGGGTTAGGTGCAGTATAAAAAGACAAGTTATAATAGTAGCTGGCAATTATTGAGAGCTTATTGTGTTCTGTGTTGCAGGTGAAGACCTTGAAATACATGGTATCATTTTTTTTATCCTCCTTAACATTCTAGGAGGTAGGTGCTGTAATTATTTTCATATTCTAGATGAGGAAACTGAGGCTCAGAGAAGTTCAATAGTTGCCCAGTTGCGAAGTTCAGTAGTGTTACCTAACTAATGAATGGTGGGTCGTAGATTCCAATTTAATTTGTAGGTTCTGGGACCCAAATTCTTAGAACTCTGGTTATTTTTTAGAAAGCTGAAAAAGATCCCGTTTTTGTTTTGTTTTGTTTTTTGAGAAAGGGTCTTTCTCTGTCACCCAGCCTAGAGTACAGTGGCACGATCATAGCTCCCTACAACCTCAAACTCCTGGGCTCAAGAGATCCTCCTGCCTCAGCCTCCTGAATAGCTAGGACTACAGGTGCATGCTACCACACGCAGCTAGCTTTTTAATTGCCGCACAATTTTTTGTCTGAAAATATTCACAGGATTCCCAGAGAACAGACTTAGATAGCTGTTGAGGAGGATAGAAATGAATGCACTGAATAATTACAAATGGGAATAGAAGGGCCCGGTGGAGCAGCGCATGCTCAGCTGGAAGAGATTATGGGAGGTTGTTAAATTTGCTGCTTCAGGAATGTGCTTGCTGGTCTGTCATTTTCTCTCCTTCCCTGACAATAGTTTGAATAGGATTTGAATTTACCATTTGGGGCCTCGTGATACATTTAGGATCTGATCTCTTTCTCAAAAAAAAAACCCTTTAAGGGAGCCGTATATCCTTATGGGGAAATGGATGAAAAGGATGTGTCCTCTTGTCTGTATCACCTCTACTCTTTGAAAAATATTTAAATTTCTTATTAACTTGAGCTTTCAGTGGGATTGAATTGACCTGTCTTATTATTTCTTGGCTCTCCTGCATTGGGACGGTGTGAGCCACTCACCTACTAATGACTCATTGTAATTATTGGCTATTGCTGAACTCCTCTGGACAGCACCATTGTGTAACAAGTCCATCTCTAGACCATATTGCATTTGTTATTTATGTTTTTGCTTATCTCAGCACCTTTATGGAAATGTGTTTCTTGTTGTCTGTCTTCACCAGGGAGAAGCCAAGGCTGAGTGACTCATCAGAGGATCACGGTTCCTTCCGAGTTTTCTAGAGCCTGCAGTATGGGCAAGAGTTGAGGGTCAGTGGGGAACAGACAATGTTTTTGTCCCCGAGAAACTTATATGTGGATGGAGGAGCTTTCTGTCTAAGAACTCCATGCCCCTCAGGTTTAGCACCTGACCACTTAACCCTTTGTTTCTTTCCCATGGTTAAGGGAAACAATGAGTTAATTTCCTCTCTGCAAATGACTGGTCTTTGTGGAGGACAGAGGAAAGAGGAATGGAGCCAGTGATTGAAGTTTGTTCATTCATTGATGTGTGTAAGTTACAGTCAGCTGTTGGCTAGATAGCCTCAGTGAAACCCACTTCATGTGCCTAGAGAGTCCCCTCCTGTTGAAGGTACACAGGGCTTGTGCACCACTTTAAGAGTGTGGTAGAAGTGATGATACTGTGATTCCAGCTAAGCAATTTGAGCCAGCACCCAGCTGTCTGAGCCATTCTAGCTGGGACCCCAGATGGTTCACCCCAACAGATAGCTCAGGGAGCTGAGACAGAAGATACTGCATTCCCTGTTCACATTCTAAATGCACAGAGTTGTAAGAGAGATGAAATGGTGGTTGGTTGTTCTAAGCCACTAAGTTTTGGGTAGTCTGATATAAAACAGTAGATAATTGAAACAGATACATTCAAGAAGTCTTTAGTCAGCACCCAGGGTGGACCGACTGGGTTGCCTGTCTACCTCAGGGGGTGCTTAGCATATGAGGAGGGGAGATACTAATAAGCATTTCTAAGTTGAAAGTATTTTGAAAAGGGCACTGAGTCTCTCACTCTTTGCTGTGTTCTAGAGCATTGCATCTTGGAACCACTCACTTTCATGCTTTAGTCATTTACCAGTGTTTTTTTTTTTTTTTTTGAGATGGAGTCTTGCTTTGTCGCCCAGGCTGGAGTGCAGTGGTGTGATCTCGGCTCATTGCAACCTCTGCTTTCCAGGTTCAAGTGATTCTCATGCCTCAGTCTCCCAAGTAGCTAGGATTACAGGCACCCACCACCACGCCTGGCTAATTTTTGTATTTTTAGTAGAGATGGGGTTTCACCATGTTGGCCAGGCTGGTCTCGAACTCCAGACCTTTAGTGATCTGCCCATCCCTGCCTCCCAAAGTGCTGGGATTACAGGCTTGAGTCACTGCATCCGGCCTACCATATTTGTTTTAGTGTCTCATGGCTGTGGGTTGTCCTCTCTTATTTAGGAGATGGTAAACTTCTTGAGGGCAGGCAGGGAATTACCTTTCTTCTCTGGGGAGGGAGCACAGACTAGAGGTTATGGGCATGAACCTTGCAATCAGGTAGAATTTTGTTCCATTTCCAGGGTTAGCTAATTGTGTTACCTGGGAGAAGTTGACTTACTGACCCCAAGCTATGTGTGTGTGTGAGTGATTTATTAGCTACAGGTAATGCTTACTTCACAGAGTCTGAAAATGATGTAAGATGATGTCACACAGTGGTTGATGAGATCACACTTGAACTGCCTAACTCACAGGCTTGTGATCAAGTTTCATTCAATTTGATTAAAAGAAAATTAAGCGTATCAAGGGTGTAAAGGCTACAATGGTGAACAAGTTTTTGGGTTCAGTCCATGGAGGCTTGAACAGTGCTTGGCACCCAATTAGTGCCCCATAACTATTTGTTGAATGAAAGACTAATGTGTGAAGTGTGTTTCTCTGTGAGTTATTCTTGTTCAGTAGGTGTTCAGTAAGGGCTTGCTGGTTCTTCTAATTGCCTGTGGGTTTCTGCTGCAAATCACCCATCTCTAGCTACATGGGTTCTTGTTCTGTCAACATAGGTCCACACCCTGTGGAATAAGTGAGGCAGAGGTGTCATTTTAAGCCTCAGTGGGGAAACTGGTATCAGATGGGTTGCTGGTAAAACCATGTAAAGCAAAAAAAAGAAAATGAGTAATCTGTCATTTATAAGCAGCTCCATGTGGCCTGCTGTGATGGCTCTCAGTTAAATGGGATGCTCTTAGACATTTCATTTGCATATGAAGCATCTGGAAATAAAGCTGTAATGAAGCCAGGTGCATGTAGTCCCAGCACTTTGGGAGGCTGAGGCAAGAGGATCGCTTGAGCACAGGAGTTCTAGACCACCCTGGGCAATATAGTGAGACCCTGCCTCTACTAAAAATAATTAAAAAAAACATAGCCAGGCATGATGGCGTGTGCCTGTAGTCCCATCTACTCAGGAGGCTGAGGCGGGAGGATCTTTTGACCCAGGAGATTGAGGCTGCAGTGAGCCATGATCATGCCACTTCACTCCAGCCTAGGTGAGAGAGTGAAACCCTACAATAACAACAACAACAATAAAAATAAAGCCGAAATGATGCCCAGATTCTTGGAAAGAGAAAGGAATTTCTGATAAAGTCTCTGCCCCTTGTTCCCTTGTTGTCTTTCCTGGATCTGGAAGGCGTTGGTGGTATTGAGGGTTTTATTACTCAAAATATGGTCCATGTGCCAACTAGCAGCTTTCACATCTCCCGAGAGCTTGTTAAATACAGAATTTTGGTTGCCCTCCCAGATGTATTAGATGATAATCTGCATTTTAACAAGATCCCCTTGGAAGGGTCCTTGGAAAGCTTTGGTTAGACAGTCCTGGTATTGAAGGGAAGCAGAGTGTTGGAAATCAAGGGAAAGGTACTGCTTTCTGGCAGGCAAGACATAGCTACCACAGTTCACTGTTTTTTGCTCAGGTTTTCTTCAATGCAAACTGCACTCAGTCCATGTTATTTCACCACAGACAATAAAGGCTAGTACTCAAGGATCTGGAGGAGTAGAGGAAATACTTGTACTAAATAATCTATGGAAGGACTGTCTTTGTCAAGATATAGGTGAGTCACTGTTTCCTTAGATGTGCAACTGTGTGGGTTATTCAAGAAAGGGAGAGCTGACATTTATGAAGTGCCTATTATATGCCAGTTAGTGTATGAGGTACCTTCTGTGCATTTTTTCATCTGATTCTCCTACAACTTCTTGAGGATGTTATGGTTTTGTGAGGTTAACTTACCCATGACCAAACTCCGACTTTCTCTGGCACCCAAACCCTTCCATGCCATCATCTTGCATGCTTGTTTCTCATGGCATTCGGATTTATGTATTTTTATTTTTATTTATTTATTTTGAGATGGAGTTCTGCTCTTGTCACCCAGGCTGGAGTGCAGTGGTGCGATCTCGGCTCACTGCAACCTCTGCCTCCTGGGTTCAGGCAATTCTCCTGCCTCAGCCTCCCGAGTAGCTGGCATTACAGGTGCCTGCTGTCATGCCCAGCTAACTTTTGTATTTTTAGTAGAGATGGGGTTTCACCATGTTGGCCAGGCTGGTCTCAAACTCCTGACCTCAGGTGATCCACCCACCTCGGCCTCTCAAAGTGCTGGGATTACAATCACGAGCCACCGTGCCTGGCCTGGATTTATTTTTTAAACTGATACCACCGTGTGATTTAGGGAAGAGTCTAAGCAAGAAAGATATCTAGATCAAAACTCATATTTGGTCAGTCAGAGCAAAGTCTTAAAATGTTGTAGTGTTTGTTAAGTATTAGAATTTCATTGCATCAGAAACAGGCCAGGAGGTAGTCTGCTTGCATTAGCTCACCCAAGCTATTTCCTCAGTTTCCTGGGAACAAGAAAAAGCGACGTCTGGTTCTGTCACCTAGGTTTCATAAGTACACTGACACTGGAGAGGAACACTTTCATAGTACCATTGAGGAAGGACACTCAGAAATGGTATTGGAGGCAGAAGTGTCAAATGTAAGTCACTTGGAAACCAGCTTCATGAGTTTTGCCATATTCATATATTACAGTATCATTAACTTTCTTTTTTTTTTTTTTTTACCTTTTTTTTTTTTTTTTAGACAGAGTCTCTCGCTCTGTCGCCCAGACTGGAGTGCAGTGGCAGATCTCAGCTCATTGCAACCGCCACCTTCTGGGTTCAAACAATTCTCCTGCCTCAGCTTCCTGAGTAGCTGGGACTACAGGCGCATGCTACCACGCCTGGCTGATTTTTGCATTTTTAGTAGAAATGGAGTTTCACGCTGTTGGCCAGGCTGGTCTCCAACTCCTGACCTCAAGTGATCTGCCCACCTTGGCCTCCCAAAGTGCTGGGATTACAGGTGTGAGCCACCGTGCCCAGCCTCATTTACTTTTATTTTTTAGAGACAGGGTCTCACTCCATCACCCAGGCTGGAGTGCAGTGATATGATCATAGGTCACTGCAGGCTCAAACTCCTGGGCTCAAGTGATTCTTTTGCCTCAGCCTCCCAAGTATCTAGGACGACAGGCATGCACCACCACATCCAGCTGAGATCTGAGATTCAAAATCAGAAGGTTTGATAGAGAATTAGAAAGGAAATAATTTTTCCCAAAATATGATTTACCATTATTTATTTCTGTATCTGTATATATACCACCTAAGTTCTTCTGCACAATGGCCTATATATTTGAAGATGACTAAGTTTTTATAGTCAGCATTCTCTTTCTGAGCAGGTCCAGTTTACAACACTTGGCCTTTAGGAATGTTACGTTATACTGGGTTCAGGCTCATCATAGTTACTCTGTGCTAAGAGGCAAACCGGCTCAAAGGAACATCATGCCATAGCAGGAACTGAAATCTGAAGAATGAATCTTGAAGCATGTGCTTGAGAATGGCCTGACAGCTATGCTCATCTGGTGTTAGAAGCTTCGGCTAAACAAGGAGAGTCTCCCTTACCAGAGGGTCATTCTTTGGTAGGCGGTACTCATCCTAAGAGACTTGTAAATCTTCCGTTAGGGAACAAGCCTGAGCGGTTGATTTAGATGTTGGTCTTCCCTCAGTAACCTCCCTAATCTTTAACTTTTCCATTTTTGCCAGTGGTGGAATGCTGACCGAGAACCTGCCTGGTATTTATAGTACTTGGAGCAAGATACTGAACTTGAGTTCATGATCCCGCACCTTGCCGTGGTGACTTGTATTACCTCTTTCTTTCCCTCCCCTGCCTCACGTTAATCTCACTCAGGTCTTGCCAGCTCTTCCTCCTGTGTCTGCTACTTCCTCTTTATTTCCTCACAAGATAATCCTCTTCATTATCATCATCATCATCATCAGATCTCTAGACTTTAGTCATTCTTGAACTACTTTCTTAATTTCTTCATATCTGTGTACCACCTGAACCAGTTTTATTTATATTTTTCTTTCAATCAAATTACTTCTTAAACTTTAGTCTGTAAAAACTGTAAAATCATAGGTTTTATATGACAGCTAACTTTCCCCAAATATTCAGTAAAATGAACACAACAACTGTATAACATTAAAAAATTATGTCTGGGTCAGGTGCAGTGGCTCATGCCTGTTAATCCCAGCACTTTGGGAAGCTGAGGTGGGCGGGTCACTTGAGGCCAGGAGTTCGAGACCAGCCTGGCCAATGTGGCAAAACCCTGTCTCTACCAAAAATACAAAAATTAGCCGGGTGTGGTGGCTGGTGCCTGTAATCCCAGCTACTCGGGAGGCTGAGGCAGGAGGATCACTTGAACCCAGGAGGTGGAGTTTGCAGTGAGCCGAGATCATGCCACTGCCCTCCAGCCTGGGTGGCAAAGCTAGACTCCATCTCAAAATAGATAAATAAATAAAAATAAATTTATGTCTGGTATTACAAATTCATCTCACGTACCACTCCTGGCTCATGTACTGTTTATACTAATCTTTGACCTATAGCAGTGGTTCTCCACAGTAGCATTACATTAGACTCATGTGGGAAGATATAAAAAAATACCAATGCCTCATGCTTCACTGATTAAATCAAAATTTATGGGAATGGAGTACAGAACTTCTAAAAAGTTCATTGGACAAGTCTAGCGTGCAGCCAGAATTTAAAAACACTGAGCTGAGAATGTGGTCAAATATCCTTCCCATCTTCACTCTCTACCTGTTTGAATGTATGTTTTACATTATTTCTATATAAATCCTCTTAAAATCTTCCATGTTTGAGGCTTACTGGTTATATAAAGGCAGTGACAGTGCTTTGAATAGTGTCTGCATAGGAAGCATTTTAAATGTGTAATTTTGTGATGGAGCGTTGGTATAAAACTGAGCAAACCTAGGTTCTTGGCTCTGTCCTTCGACTTATTAACTTGAGGATTACAGGCAGTTGTCTGCATCTTTCTGAGCCTTAGTTAAGTCAGCTGTCAGATGGGGAGACTAATCCTTACCAGGCATATCTCCCAGAATTGAGTAAGGGTCGAATGAGAAAATATATTTTTAAAATGGTCTGTTAACTGTCTTCAGGGAATCAGGGCATAAAAATATTGTTAATAAGTCAGTGGGTGGGGGTGGTGATAAAAAATAGAATAGGAAAAGTTTGAGGACAAAATATTTCATATTAGGTGTGATAATTCTTAAAAATGAGTTCTTTCTAATTATAATGATAGAAGCTGTGCCATGTTTTTGCTCTTGGACTGTTGATTGTCCTCAGAATGAGACAGCTGGGCTCATCTTAGTGCTTGAACTGAACAACAGCTGCTAATTACAACTCAAGGAAAAACTACAGGCTGATCTGATTATGGTTTCTAGAGGTTAGACTCCCTTTCACTGTATCTCATTGTGTTCTTTGTTGTGTTTCTGCTATGGTAGGTTAACTCTGGTTTTGCCCTCATTTGTAGGTAGATTCCTGGAAGTGGCACATCTCTACGTTGTTAGTAGAAATCTTGCCTTGCAGCCGCTGATGGCTCATCTGGAGTGATGTGACTGAGGAGAGACCTCCACCCTCCCAATCTGCCACTGTACTTAGGGGTATTGTCTGCATAACCCCCTTCACTGGGGCCAGTCGCCAACATTGTCAACAGCACAGTTATGCCTGCTTTAACTTTCACCTCAAAAATAGCTGACCACTCTGGCTTCTGTGTTGAATGAAAAAAAATAGGATGTCACCAACACAAATGGATATCCTGAATTTCGGGACAAGTGTAGATTTGAGTAACTTGTAGGGGTCCCTGAATGTTTCCTGGTACTTACTGACTTTGTTTTCATACTTGATTGGAATGTCTTGAGCCCCAAATAGGCTCTGAAAAGCTGAGAGGTTTTTTGTTTTGTTCATTTTTTAAGCTTTTAACAATGTGTTCAGATAATAACTTACACTTATATCTTCAACCCGTTTTCAGATTCATGGTCTTATTTTGTCCTTATAACACTAGGAGGCAGGGGCATGCAAGTGCAGGGGCAGTCCTTGAATTTATTTACAGTTTTGATATGTAATTCGTGATGGACTTTACCACACTAATTTTTATTTTTAAAAGTACTGTAGTCGGGAGCAGTGGCTCATGACTGTAATCTCAATACATTGGGAGGCCAAGGCAGGCAGATTGCTTGAGCCCAAGAGTTTGAGACTAGCCTGGGCAATGTGGGGAAACCCCATCCCTACAAAAAATGCAAAATTAGCTGGGCATGGTGGTACTCACCTGTAGTCCCGAATTGCTTGGGCCCAGGAGGCAGAGGTTGCAGTGTGTGGGGATCATGCCATTGCACTCCAGCCTGGGTGACAGAGTAAGACTCTGCCTTAAAAAAGAAAGGAAAGAAAAGCAGGCAGGCAGGAAGGAAGAAGTGAAAGTATTGCATTAATTCTTAATTCTTGAGGGTTTTGGTGCCTCTTAAATTTTGCACCCAAGGTAAGTGGCTCGCCTGCCTCACCCTAGTTCCTACCCTGGCCTCCCACCTCTAATGTGCAGTTACCTACATCTTAGCTTCATATGCCAAGCACTGTGTTCGTTGACTTACAAATGTCTGTTATGTCTTTGATTTAATCCTTATACCAACCCTGAGGGGTCGGTACTGATGCCATCTCCATTTCATCTAGGATACTAGAGCACATGACAAGGTGCATGCCTTGCCCAAGGATGCACATTAGGAATAGCAGAGTTCAAGCTCTTCCCTCCCAAAGTCACATGAGTGAAATGTGTAGCTATACTGGTATCCCTTGACAGGTAGGCTTAAAATCCCTTCTTTAGGCCAGGCGCGGTAGCTCACGCCTGTAATCCCAGCACTTTGGGAGATCGAGGCGGATCACTTGAGGTCAGGAGTTCGAGACCAGTCTGGCCAACATGGCAAAACCCCGTCTCTACTAAAAATGTAAAAATTTAGCCGAACATGGTGGCGTATACCTGTAGTCCCAGCTACTCTGGAAACTGAGGCAGGAAAATCACTTGAACCTGGGAAGTGGAGGTTACAGTGAACTGAGATCATGCCACTGTACTCCAGCCTGGGCAACAGAGTTAGACTCTGTCTCAAAAAAAAAAAAAAAAAATCCCTTCCTTAATTGCACTACTTACCTTCATTGTAAAGAATGGACAGCTGATAAAAATTACATTATTCTCAAAGTACCAGTCCAGAAACAGCTTGTAAGAAGACCGTTGGACTATCACAAGCTAAACATAAATAATGTGACACCTATCTTAAAGAATATTTACGCAAAAAGCTTCTAAGGTGCCAGACGACATTTCAAACACGAATAACAACCCACAGGAGAAAACAATCTCAGCTTCCCAACCTGAGCCAGAACCAAGCTTTTGGAAATCCTGGTAAGGCCTGCACACATCTTGAAAAGGAAATCGGGTGCATCCAGAATGAAAGGACCAAGGCTGTGTGCACTTGCACCTGGGGAACATCAAGGCAAGAGCTAATTTTAGGACTGGCTGTCCTGCTCCTGCCCTTTATCTTAATTACATACTTCTGTTAATAGAGCTTAGCAATTGGCCCTGATTCAGATGCAAGAGACAAATTCAGGTGCACATCTCAACTCATCTAGGGATAAAATTAGCGTTTAGGTTGTAAGGGTATTTATAGAATCTATTTCTTCAGCTGAGCTTAGATATTTCTACTAAGATAAGACAATCTTTTTTTTTAAAAGTTAATATGGGTAAAATTGGGACTACATCAACAGAAAAAAACAATGTCATTTATCAAGGATGGTATATAAGTTTCATGTGCCAATTCCAATAGAGAATGATGTTGCAAACATGCCTGTGTTTAGTGAGAAGAGGCACCATGATCAATCAGCTATGTCTGGCTGGAAATGGAAGGAAATGACCACAAACATCTGGCCCATTTGCTCCTTCTATCCTATACCCTTTTACCCTTGAGCTGATTCTCCAAAAGCCAATGAAGGGCAGAGAATCTATCAACTAGGGAAGACGTCTTTACAAATACAGCATTTAATACATTCTTCTTGACTAACAGTTCTAAGCCAAGTCACTGAGCATGTTCAAATGGGGCACTAGTTTAATTGCTTTAGTTTCAAAATTGCCATTTTCTATTTCCAGTTTTCTTGGGTTTTCTGCAGTGCCACTCACTATCCTTTTCATCTGAACTCAGAGATGCAAAAAATGTGAGCCAAACTGGGTCTATCCCAACTGACTACTGAAAACCACCCCCTCTCCTTGCTCTCTTGTGAGCAGAGCTTCCATTGTTCTGAGACAATATGACATTTCCTCCAAACAGGTAGTTAGTAAATAAACCATCAAATACTGGAAACGATGTTTATTTTAAGTTTTCAAAGTACCAGGGGAAAAAAAGACGAGAGATTTCCACTTAAGAAAGTCTATTAGTCCTGTCCTTATTTCAAAAATGTTCAATTCCATGTAATCTTTTGGAGTATGATACCTAAAGGAATTTTCAATGAGACTTGAGACAGGTGCATTTCCAGCTTTTCTCAATTGCTTGGTGTGTACATTTCCAAGGAGGAGCCTGTATACCAACTAATTCTAACTCTCAAAGTCCATTGAGAACATTTCTGCATATGACCAAAATGATCAGGCTACCAAACTGGCCACTATGATCATTCTAGCTGTTCTCATAAGAGATTAAATTCATGAACAAGGTGTCAGCTTGAATGCTTCTCTGGCCTTACTTGACCTGCCACCTCCCATTCATATAATGTTAACAATAACTTGTCATGTGTTTGTGAAACACTGTGAACTTCTCCATCCAATAATATTCAGTATGTTTCCAGTCACATGGTCAGGGTAAAGTCATGGCTATCTCGCTCCTCACAGAAATCAAGAGAGTAACAGAGCCTTTTGAAAGTCACACATGCTCAGTAAATGAGGAAACACTGGGGTTGACATCAGTACCAAAGCTGGGGTAGGAAGGGCTACTACAGAGAACTGGATGGAGAGTTAGAAGGCCTGGGGCCTCTGCCCCATTTTAAATGAACCTCAGACAAGACCTCCAAATATCTGTCCTCAAGTTGCTTCATCTACAAAGAAAAGAGAAAACTTCCCCTTGTCTCCATGGTACAAAATTAATCTGAGAATGAAATGGTATTTTGTGCCAGGCATGGTGGTTCACACCTGTAAATCCTAACACTTTGGGACGTTGAGGCTGGAGAATCACTTGGGCCCAGAAGTTCAAGACCACCCTGGGCAACATAGTGAGACTCCTATCTCTAAAAAAAAAAAAAAAAAGAAAAAAAAATTAGCAAGGCATGGTGGTGCATGCCTGTGGTCCCAGCTACTCCCGAGAGTAAGGCTGAAGTGGGAGGATCACTTAAGCTGGGGAGGCTGAAGCTGCAGTGAGTGGTGATCGTAACACTGTACTCCAGCCTGGGCGATAGAGTGAGACCCTGTCACACACACACACACACACACACACACACACACACACATTTTATTTTGAAAATATTATATTAAACGTGTTTTAAAAGAAGGAGAGGGGAAATATGAACATGCAGATTGGTCATCACAGTTCCATGAAGCACTTACATCCCAGTATCAACAGAATTTTTAATAAATAAATGGTGTGTTTGAGGATCCATGAATGCAAAACCGCATCTTTCTACTAACCACCAGATTCCTAGTACCCAACACACTATTTATATAGTTTTTAGATGGTGTCTCACTCTGTCACGCAGGCTGGAGTGCAATGGCACAATCTTGGCTCACTGCAACCTCTGCCTCCTGGCTTCAAGTGATTTTCCTGCCTCAGCCTCCCAAGTAGCTGGGATTACAGGTTCCTGCCACCATGCTTGGCTAATTTTTGTATTTTTAGTAGAGATGGGGTTTCACCATCTTGGCCAAGCTGGTCTTGAACTCCTGACCTCAGGTGATCCACCCGCCTTAGCCTCCCAAAGTGTTGGGAATTACAGGCATGAGCCATTGTGCCCGGCCTACACTACCTTTTAAGAAGGCACTCAATTACTATTTGATGAGTAAAATATGACAACATGAGTACTTCCTGGGTGCTAGGTACGACTTCAAGTACTTTAGATGCATTAACTCATTCAAACCTCCCACCAACTTATAAACTGTACTATTATAATCACCTTATGGGGTGAGTACCATCACTATTCCCATTTTACAAATATAAAAAACTGAAACATAAAGAAGTTAAGTAATTTGGCAAAGTTACCCACCCTGGAAGCGGCCATTGTCAACTAATGTTCTCTCTAGGAGGAGTGCTGAGTGACTGTGTTAGCCAGGGCATCAGTGAATAAGTGACAGAATAATTGGGAGGGAGAGAGAGATAAGGAGGGGTGGGGAAATGACTTATTTAAAAGACTGCTATCAAACTCTAATTTCATTTTTAAAAAATTTTAAAACATAATATTCACCTAAAAAGAAACTGTATTTGGAGAAGAGCACCGAAACTTAGAATCAGGCTATCTAAATCTCATTGTCTGTTGAAATTCTTTTCATCCAAACTATGTGAGTGAATTTTAAAAGACAGAAAAGTCCAGAGTTGAAATGCTCACCAGTGGTTTTAAAGTCATTTCACAGAGAGGCCTCGGAGAGTCTCATTGTACTCCACATTATTCACATAAAAGAACTTCACTTAATTTTCCCCAGCTTCAAAGGAGAGCACTACTAAACATTGGTTCATAAATCAGTAACTACTGAAGCAGAAGGCAAGACCAGAGAAATAAATTATATGCACATATAAAGAAAAGCAAATATTTATGTCAGAAGGCAAACAAGTTTTACTTTATGATGTGTCTTGAACTTTTCCTCTATTCTGAGAAACCCCTTGCATTAAAATATTCATTTTCCCAGCCTGGGCAACAAAGCAAGACCCCATTTCAACAAAAACAAAAATAACCTGGGCATGGCAGCATGAGCCTGTGGTCCCAGCTGTTCAAAAGGCTGCTGCAGAAGGATCCCTTGAGCCCAGGAGTTGGAGGTTGCAGTGAGCTATGATTGTGCCACTGTACTGTAGCCTAGGTGACGGAGGGAGAGCCTGTCTTTAGAAAAATAAAAAAATAAAAAATCATTTTCCTTACTGTTAAGAAACAAACAAACAAAAATATATATTTTTTGAAGTAAGCCAGGACTTGTGCTCTCAGGACCTCTCATGAGAGCTTTTAGTACCTGGGATGCATCAGTCACAAAGGGCTTCAAATGTAGATTTTTGGCACTGGTGCCTACTGAGCTTAGATATACAGTCACTATAATGGTGACTGAAATGACAATACAATCATTACGATGTTACACATGAGCCCTATTACCAGACCACACACTCTACAATACAAGACACTGATAATTAATATTTTTTATGAGACCATAATTGTCTCGTAATGGCAGTCACTCCACGTGGCATATTATGTAGGCATTAAAAGCATTGATTTATTAGGTATTGATATTTAAAATATACCATCATTTTTACAGCTGTATTCTGGCATTTCTTCCCTTTTTAAATGCACCATGGAAGTTGCCCAGGTGTCTCTGGACTTCTGCTCAGGGTGGATGGCATGAAGCATTTCCCTGGTGAGAAGGAGAAAGGTCAAGAGCAGGACTCTGCCTTTTTTTCTGTAAAATGCACCTTGCAGATGATAGACCTTGCACCAAAGAAGGGGCATGTGGCATGCCCAAATGTCGGCCAAGAGATAAGCAGAGGGTGGGAATTAAAACCCCAGGCCAGTCTCAGGCTGAGAGGATCATGGAAGCCTTCTTCCTAAGTCAAGACCTCTTCCCAAAGCCACAGGAGAGGGCCGATGCTCAGGGAACTCGACCAAGAGGTGCAGGCACTTGTTAGAGTAAATCCAGCTCTGGTCAAAATGGCACTGCAGGAAAAATCTTCCTTCACTGTTTTATTTTAAGTTACATAGTGAAAGTCTCCAACCCTGCAAGGGGAGAAAGTGTTTTAAGAGATTGGTCTCTGGAGGCAGACAGATGCCTCGACTTACGAGACCTGATACAAATGATAAACTCTATGTAAAATACATACATGCTATCTCTTGAGCATTTAATACTGTATTAGTCTGTTCTCACACTGCCAATAAGGACATACCTGAGACTAGGTAATTTATAAAGAAAAATAGGTTTAATGGACTCACAGTTCCACATGGCTGGGGAGGCGGCACACTCATGGTGGAAGGTAAAAGACATGTCTTACATGGCAGCAGGCAAAAGGAAAAAATAAGAACCGAGCAAAAGGGGTTTCCCCTTATAAAACCATCAGTTCTTGTGAGACTTATTCACTACCACCAGAGCAATATGGGGGAAACCACCCCCATGATTCAGTTATCTCCCACCGGGTGCCTCCCACAACACGTGGGAATTATGGGAGCTACAATTCAAGATGAGAAGGGTGAGGACACAGCCAAACCATATGAAGTACTAACCACATATATCTAATACAGTCTCTCATATAATATTTTATAAGTCTGTGAGGGGCTATTATTATCTCAATTTTACAGATGATGAAACTGAAGGCAAGTTGTTTGTTCAATGTCAGGCAGGATTTGAGAAACCAGAATCAGAATCTGAAGTCAGCATAACTCCAAAGTTATGCTTAATGGTCATATTTTACCAACTCCTCAAAAAAGCCGAAGTGGGAGCCAAAAGGTTCACCTGCTTGCTAAAGCAGTACTGTCCAACAGAACTTGCAGTGATGTTTAAAATGTTCTACAGTGGAGCTATCCAATATAGAAGCTAAAAGCCACACATGGCTACGGAGCTCTTGAAATAAATGTGGCTAGTGTGACTAGGAAATTAAATTTCTTTTCTTTCCTTTTCTTTTTTTTTTTTTTTGAGATGGAGTCTCACTCTGTCACCCAGGCTGGAGTGCAGTGGCGTGATCTGCAACCTCCGCCTCCCGGGTTCAAGTGATTCTTCTGCCTCTGCCTCCCAAGTACCTGGGATTACAGGCACACGCCTTGATGCCCAGCTAATTTTTTTGGATTTTTAGTAGAGACTGGGTTTTACTATGCTGGCCAGGCTGGTCTCGAACTCCTGACCTCAAGTGATCTGCCTGCTTTGGCCTCCCAAAGTGCTGGGATTACAGGCATGAGCCACTGCACCTGGCCGGGAAATTAAATTTCTAATTCTATTTCATTTTAATTCATTTAATTGTAATTATTTAGATTTAAGTAGAATAAACATTGGACGGGGTAAGCTCTACAGCACATATATAATCTGTGGCTGTGCTTGCACTAATAAGCGAGCATTCCAACTCTCAGGCCAGGGCCTCTTCCACAATACCAAACATTAGGGGACCTGTGTACTAACTAGTTCTCTTATATATACCCATCATTTAACCAGTCTGCACCTCAGCTACTGATAAGCAACTCTGTGCTAAGTCACAATGACTTCTCTATCTTGCCTTTTTTTTTTTTTTTGAGATGGAGTCTCAGTCTCTTGCCCAGGCTGGAGTACACAGTAGGGCGATCTTGGCTCGCTGCAACCTTCACCTCCTGGGTTCAAGCGATTCTCCTGCCTCAGCCTCTCGAGTAGCTGGGATTATAGGCGTGCACCACCATGTGTGGCTAATTTTTGTATTTGTAGTAGAGACGGTGTTTCACCATGTTGGCCAGGCTGGTCTTGAACTCCTGACCTCAGGTAATCTGTTCACCTTGGCCTGCCAAAATGCTGGGATTATAGGCGTGAGCTACCACACCCAGCCATTACCTGTTTATTTTTCATATACCTATGTGCTATATTTCAAATGATCTCCAAAAGTATGGCTTAGAGAGGCTAAGTAATTTGTCCAGTGTCACACAGCTAATAAGGGGCATGACCCAGAATTTAAAACACCTAACTTTTTGGCCCCAGCTTTTTAAAAGCTGGACCTTAAAGCCACCACTGTTTGCTTGTATAATTAATCCCACCACTGTTCACTTGTCCCACCCTCATCCAGATGTGTCGGTTGCCCAGGGACAAGGCCATGTGCTGAAGGCCATGTGCTCAGCAGCTTTTCCGGGAATGATGGTCAGTTTGTAGTGACCCACTCTAGAGGCCAGTTCCTCTTTAATCACCCGCACATACTTTCAAGATGACTCTCTGGAGTCCAGGGTGCTGCTTAATATTGGAATATTGCTGAGCTCACAGTTTATTGAGAAGACTGATTCTGAATTTTTGGTCTCTTGGCCTGGTGCTGGAGCCATCTGAGCTATGCAGCCCGACACTGGAGTAATTGGCATGTCCTATTAACACCTAAGCTTTTCCTTTATGAGCACCCTTTGGATTGCAAGCCATCAAGTTTATCTACCTATCGACTCTTTGCAGAGGTGTCACATGGTTCCCAGTTTCTGATCCTGACCTGCATTCTGAAAACAAAATGAGGAACAAAGAAAGAGAAAGGATATTCATTTCTTTGGGTACTTCAAGGTTCTAATGAATGAAACAGAAATGCTGCCATTAAAATTCCCTGAAGCAAGACAACAGTGAGTTTTACTAGCACATCACCAAAGAAGTTAATCAGGTTTCCTTGGGGTTGCTGGGCTACGTTGCTTTGAAGAAAAATAGCACTTCCCTGAAGAGTAAGAATAGCTGAAACCACATGTCCCAGCGAGCTTTCAGCCAACTGCTCCTGAAGGAAACGGAATTTAACTGCGAGAATGGTTTTTGTTGGATGACGTTTTGATTAAGCAACAGGCTACTTTTCCACCCCGGGAATGTGATCATTTGAAGATAGATATATTATGACCCAAATAGAAGCTGGAGTAGAAGGAAGGGCTTGTAGGCTGAGGTTATGCCTTATTTGGTAAATTACTATAAGAAAATTGAACTGGGTGAGTTTAATATTCAGTCCTTATTTTCTGTTCCAGACATCTTGATATCTCTGTGAGTAGCTGTGGGGGGTGGCGGGGGGGGGGAAGAAAAGAAAAAAACTTTGGCTGTTCTTTCTAACTTGACTTCTTTTTCCAGAATTTTAAAAAAACGTGAGTGAGATGGATAGTTGGGCTCAGTGAATGAAGGAAGAGATGCTTTCTGAGTCCTCGAAATTATTGCTTTGTGAATGAAGAAATTAAGAGCTGAGCCAGGCGTGGTGGCTCACACCTGTAATCCCAGCACTTTGGTAGGCTGAGGAGGGCAGATCACTTGAGGTCAGGAGTTTGAGACCAGCCTGGCCAACATGATGAGACCCCGTCTGTACTAAAAATACAAAATTAACTGGGCGTGGTGGCGCATGCCTGTAATCCCAGCTACTCAGGACGCAAGGCTGGAAAATTGCTTGAACCTGGGAGGCGGAGGTTGCAGTGAGCTGAGATTGCACCATTGCACTCCAGCCTGGGCAACAAGAGTGAAACTCCATCTCAAAAAGAAAAAAAAAAAAAAAAAAGAAATTTTGAGCTGAGTCACCCCATTGTAGGATTTCAGATGACACTTGCAGTGATGGAACTGAGGATACTGTTAGGAATGGGGGATAGGATCCCTGGGTTGGAAGTATTTGGGGTATGATAGGAGAGAAAAAGGAAGTCCACCTAGGCTAGGAGACAGTCAGCTCCCTCCCCTGGCCTTCTCTTCCAAGCATTCTAGGCTCCTGGAGATTCAGCAGTGAGCAAGACAGAGCAGGTCTCTGCTCTTGTGGGAAGGAGGCAGAATTTCCTACTTATCAGTGTGGATTCTAGAGCCACAAACTTCCAGACTTGGATCCCAGCTTTACCATTTAGTGGTTGTGTGTCTTGGACAAGTTACTTAACCTCTTTGTGCTTTAGTTTTCTCATTTGTAAGAGGAGGATAATATTCTTACTTGCCTTATAGGCTTGTGAGAAACTGAAGTGCTTAGAACTGAGCCTGTCACATAGTAAATTTTCCATACAGTGTAAGCTTTAGCTTTGATCAGCTGCTATTATTATAAAGCTTACCATCTTGTGTGCACACATATGGCACGTAATAGGCATGTGAGTGAATAAATGCGGAAAAAAATAACAGCTAGTTTTGAGAGATAATGGGTAATGCAATAGGTGTTAGATGCACTGGTCAGGGAAGGCCTCTCTGGAAGTTAGAAACTTGAGACAGGACCTGGATTTTGAGTAGGAGTTGGTCTCCTGGTGATCTGGGGGCAGAGGACAGCGGGCAGAGGGAGCAGTGCCAACAATTCACCGAGGCGGCAAAGAACGTGGCAGGTTTGAGGAAGAACTAGCAGATGAATGTGGCTCAAGTCGGGCACAAACAGGAGATGGAGGCCTGTAGGGCCTTTCAGGTCATGGAGATGAGGTTTCTTTTTTTTTTTTATTTGGTAGTGGCAGGAGGATGGAGTCTCACTCTATCATCCAGGCTGGAGTGCAGTGGTGTGATCTCGGCTCACTGCAACCTCTGCCACCCGGGTTCAAGTGATTCTTGTGCCTCAGCCTCCTGAGTATCTGGGACTACAGGTGTGTGCCACCATGCCCAGCTCATTTTTGTATTTTTAGTAGAGACGAGGTTTCACTATGTTGGCCGGGTTGGTGGTGAACTTGTGGCCTCAGGTGATCCACCTGCCTTGGCCTCCCAAAGTGCTGGGATTACAGGCATGAACCACCGCGCCCGGCCGAGTTTTGATTTTATTATAAGGGTGGCAGGTCCAGCTGAGCGGTGGCGTGATCTGGTTTCGAATACGCTGTTCTGGGACACTGAAAGCATACTTACCTGTACCTAAGTGTGTTTTCAGGATGAAGTCAAGTGGAGTCCTCGTAGGTTGAGGGTGACAGTGACAACAAAGTGATGATGTTGACAACCTTTCACATATGCCACTGCGGGATGGTGGTGGGGCCAAAGGATTAGACTCCATGATGACCTATGGTCTCCTTTCCAATGTTGAGATGCCTAAAGCACAAGTTAGATGGAAAGAAAACCTATAACATCACAATCATTTATAAGTAGGTATTGAGCATCACTAAAAAGCCCAGGGTGCTTTAATTGACATTTTGGTTTCCTGGAATTGGGATTTGAAAGATTACCTGCTGAGATGGTTTCCATTTCTTGTTAACTTGTAATATGTGCACAATTTCTGCTTGAAAATACCTGTAAGAGACACCACTGAGAGTGAAGCTGTCATTTGAGGATGCCTTCTACCTGTTGTACCTTTTGAACAAAGCAAGTGTGAAAGCATGTAATTTGAATTAGGGCAGGTAATAAAGCTTCTGCTAATTTACGATGACACTGCACAGCTTCTAAGTCTTCTTCATGGTTTACCTGTGCCTTAAGCTAAGTGTGTTTCGATTAATTCTTGTATGTAATTGAGTTTGGTTCAAAGTCAAACGTGAGGGTAATTAACTCCAGAACATGATCAAAATATTTTTTAGCCATCGACAAACTCATTAGTGAGAAAGGTCTTTTTTTTGTTTGTTTGAGACAGAGTCCCAGTCTGTCACCCAGGCTGGAGTGCAGTGGTGCCATCTTGGCTCACTGCAACCTCTGCCTCCCAGGTTCAAGTGATTCTCGTGTTGCAGCCTCCTGAGTAGCTGGGATTACAGGAGCACACCACCACACCTGGCTAATTTTTTGTATTTTTAGTAGAGACAGGATTTTGCCATGTTGGCCAGGCTGGTCTTGAACTCTTGTCCTCAAGTGATCCACCCTCCTCCGTCTCCCCACAGTGCTGGGATTACAGGCATGAGCCACCATGCCTGGCCCAAAAAAGATCTTTTAAATAAATTTTGTATGGCCTACATCTTAGCATCCCTCATCCCACTCCGTTTAAAAAATGGCTATATATAAGTAATTACATCATTTAAGGTATTGGTGATGGTTTGCTTAATTCGTGAATATCTTATGACTTTTACAATATCATCTTATGTCACATAGGGGTTGTCTAGGGAGGAGCAGCAAAAAGTCACCACCAGTGCAGAGAGACATAGCCGAGTTCACCAAATGTTCCTGGCTTCTTGGCACTCAGAGTAGAACTGGGATGAAACACTTGCAAAGGACAACTTTGAAGGCACCAACCTAGGATGAAGCCATAAATAAAGACTGTCCTTTGGAATGGAGATTCTCCATCATTCAGTAGCAACTGACTTCAGCCTGGTATTTGTTTCTCTTGAATTTCCAGCTCAAAAATATAATTTGAAGTATTTTGTATTAGTACATGCCAGCCACTGCCACCATCCCTCAGAAGCATCTTACATAAGGAAGAATGTGCAAAATAAGGATACTCAGGCTTGATACGGTCAGAGAAGAGCTTGAGAGAGTCAACAGCTGTCAGTTATGACTTAATCTTAGTCCAAGTCTGAGTGACATTTCATTGCAAAGGAAAAACTAGAGAGAAATCAGTGTAAAGATTTGGTGATGCAAAAATCATCTTTCTTTATTATTTTATTTTATTTTTAATTTTTATCTATTTATTATTTTGAGATTGGGTTATGAGACTGTCTAATTTTTGTATTTTTGGTAGAGAGGGGATTTTGCCATGTTGCCCAGGCTGGTCTTGAACTCCTAGGCTCGAACGATCCGCCCACCTCCACCTTCCAAAGTGCTGGGATTACAGGCTTGAGCCACTGTGCCCGGCCTAAAAACCATCTTTCAATTCAGACTTGGGTAATAAGGCATTCTAGAAAGTATTTTCTTAAATTTTATGCCTTATATAAAATGTCGAAGACCCCAGCATTTCAATATGCTGGTATGAAGACTAGAAATGACAGATTATTTTGTGGTCTAAATTCTTTTTCCTTTAAGTTTGGCCTGTGCTCCATAAAGAGACAGACATAATTTTGGAAATTCGCTTTCTTGGCACTGATGTGTTTGCTGAGTCAAGTCTTGAATTTTTAGAATGAAAACGAACTATTGCCATGAGTTGAAAGTTGGGCAGGAAGAACATTTCAATCATTTTTGGGTTAGGAAGAAAATCCAAGTTGACATTTCTCATGGATATTTACTGTTTTTTTTTTTTTAAATAGCTATTTCCCTTTTAATCTTTGCAACATAATATGAATGATTTGAATAAGTTTTTGCAGCTGTACAAAAATAACCCTGCCTATGGTACTATGTTAATTTGTTACTGGCTTTGCAATTTAGAAGATTTGATTATTTCAAACTCCACAGCCTCTATGATGTCCTCCAATGATCCCTGCCTTCTTGTATTTACACCTTCGTGCAGTCTGTTCCCAGGTCTGTGAGACCAATAGCCTAATGATGGCGTTTCACTTCCAGGATAAGGTTATAAAAATCTGCCTTCTGTCCTAGTCATCCTTTCTATTTCCCTCTCTCTTGGATCTCTTGCTCTGGGAGAAGCTATGCTGTGAGCAGTGCTGTGGAGAGGCGCACACAGTGAGGAACTGAAGCCCCCTGCTGACAGCCATGCGAATGAGCTTGGAAGAGTATCCTTTGGACCAGTCAAGCTGTAGATGACTGCAGCCCCACTAACACTGCAGAGGTGTGAGAGATGTTGAGCCAGAACCACCCAGCTAGGCCAGTCTTGGATTCCTGACCCACAGAAACTGTCAGATAATAAATGCTTATTGTTTGAAGCCAATAAGACTGGGGTTACTTGTTACACAGCAATAAATAACTGATACAAACTGGCAACATAAGGTTGGTTAATCCATGCATCCATCCATCCATCCATCCATCCATCCACCCATCCACCCATCCACCCAGCCACCCGCCCACCCGCCCACCCATCCATCCATCCACTCCTCCCTCCCTCCCTTCTTCCCTCCCACTCTCCCTTCTTCCCTCCCACTCTCCCATTTGCTCACTCTTTATGCTTTCAACAAATGTTTGAGGGCCTACTATTTCCCAGGAACAGTGCATAGTGATTAGGATGCTAAGATGATTGCCACAATCCATGCTTTGAAGGAGCAAAATATCTAGTTGTCTTCAGCAAAACAAGAGTTGAATTCTACTTTGTTACTTTCATAGTATTAAATTTGAATTCTAGAAGTAAATAAGAAAGATTTTATTTTTCTGTACCTTTCCTTTTTTAATATTCTTCATGCTAATTCTGAAAAAGGAACAATCAACATCCATTTAAACCATATTTGATGTATACTATAAAACTGAATTTTAGATGAAATTAATGCAAAGCATATTTTATGGCATCAGCATTTATAAATTATGTAATGCTTTAAGTGGATTATTTGTCTTCACTGTTTACATTTTTTTCCCTGATTATATGAATTGTTCTGAAAACAAAAAGGTACTAAGGAATTTAAGAAAGAAAATGAGACTTGGGTCAAATAAATAATAATATTGATAGAGTGCTTTCTCTATGCCATACTCTGTGCTAAGCAATTTATGTACATTTCTTTTATTAATCCTCACAAGGAATTGTAAGTATTATCCCTATTTTATGGATAATGAAACTAAGATTTAGAATAATTAGGAACAAAGTCCAAAAATCAGTAAGAATTGAAGGTGAATTTCAAATGCAGAACTAAGCTCTTAGCTGCTCTGTTGTGCATATGTTTATATGGCTGTGTAGTGACATGCAGTACCATGCTTCGGGAGTGCATAGTTTGGCTAGGAGACATTCACTTATACCATCTCCTGTGTGTACACAGAGCCCTTAAAGCGTGGTTTGGCCAAATTTGTATCAGAGTATCATGGGAGCTGCAATAGTCAGAACTTTAAATGGTGTATCTTATTAAATCGTGTACAACCCAAAGGAAATTTTTTCTACTTCCCTTACAAAGGTACTGAAGATGAAGAAAAAAGAGTAGAAAATACCAGGTTAGAGAACTTAACAAAAATTTACTTTATCTCATAACATTTTGGTGACTGTTAGGAAAGGGGGCTGAGATGAGTGAGAATAGGGGGCACCTGTTCTGCTGAGAGGAGAACAAATTGCCTTTTATTTATTTTATTTTATATTTTATTTTATTTTATTATTTTTTGAGACAGGGTCTCACTGTGTCACCCAGCTGGAGTGTAGTGGCATGATCATAGCTCACTGCAGCCTCCAACTCCTGGGCCCAAGTGATCATCCCATCTCAGCCTCCCAAGTAGCTGGGACTACAGGTGTGAGCCACCACACCTGGACTGCCTTACTTTTCATCTGAGTAAAAGTGTAGTTGGTAACCACCAGGAGGTAGTATACTAGTGAAGTGGTTGGGAGAACAAGACTTGATTGATTGGCTCTGGCTTTCATAGGAGCACCGCTGTCTTTCATATGTTTAACTTTCATCAACTTGCTGGAACTCATTTGAGCTTATTTTCCATATATAAAATAAGAATAAAACAAACATGTTTTTGTGTTGTTCTGAGGATTAAGTGTATGCGTATATGTGCCTAATAAATGTGGACCGTGAATAGTTGAGTATCTGACTGCTTCTCTTGATGTTTTTCCCCTTGTTGTTCTTCATCGTTATTCTTATTGTTAGCAGCTGATCTCACCCAGTCCTAGCCCTTCAGGGGGGATCATAATGATTTTAGCAAAAATACATGATATTTTGGACTGAATAGAAACTGCAAATAAAAGGAAGTGAAATGGCTCTGGCCGAGTAAAGATCATATAGTGCCTACTGCCCAGAAGTTGTTTACATAATAGAAACAAAGTTAAAAGGAATACCTAATTAATTAATTTATTATAATTTTAATAAAGGAAGAAACATGTATATGTCACAGGCATATGTCTTAGACATAGGAACCTGACTGCATCAGAAAATATTTAAAACTACCAAGATGTAGTCAATTAACCAGCAAAATTTCTTCTGCTGGACATTTTCTAAAATATATTCTCTGCTCCTTTCTCGCAATAGTTAACAATTTGAATTAGCAACAATGGCTTTATGTTATAAACCTCTTTCCACGGTCTTCTCTCCTTCACCTTCTTTTCTGCTGCTAGTGTGTGTGGACTTCTTGTCTGCTGTCTTCTGTCCCTGTCAGTTTTTCAAATGAGAGATAAGAACTGCTTTGCAATGTGAGGTGGCAGAATTAGGGACCAGTCAGGCTGCCAGGCTGGAGGAAGGTGGGCCTGAGCAAGCCTTGCCCAAGCACCTCCTTTCTTATTTCCTAGAATAGTCTGTTGCCCTTTGCTAGTTCTCTCATCCCTGGCTAACAGCTTGTCCTATTTGCCTTTGGATTTTATTATCTGCTCCTTCTTGCTGAGGTACGACATGATTATTAAGTGTGCCCAAGAGGAAACTCCATTGAGCTCTTGGGGTGAAGCAGCGTAAGAAGTTTGCTCCTTAGGAAAAATAAAAATCTTAACTGGTTCTGGTCCTTGGTCACTGGTACAGAGGTGGAGAGAAGTAGAGCTGGTTAAAGTCCAGGGAAGTGTGTCAGGCAGGAAGCTGGGAGGGCTTCTCCCAGCAGGGTGCAGGAAGGCTTCTGTGTCTTGTGGAAGTGATGATGTGCCCGAGTCTGCTTCACGAGTCTTTGTAGATGATAACAGGGCTCCTGTGAGCCCTCAGGTTGTTCACAGTTTGTTTTCTTTGAATTGCGTGAAAACATGTGCTTGACTTGGATGTAGATTTTATTTCCTTTCAGGGTGGAGGGTTGCAGACAGTAGAAGATGTTGGCTGCCAGCTTGGAGTGACTGCCAGGGACAGCTGAAAGGGGAAATTTAACGAGAATGTTGAGGCCTGAAGTGCTTCAGGGAGCATTTCAAATTGCATCTCTTTAGAATCAGATGGTCTCCAGAGATCATAATGGGTTATGAGAGGTGCCAGGGTTTGTTTTCTTCAGGCTCAACATCACTTAAGACCATAATCCATAGACTCTTAAGGAATGAAGCACAGTTCTACATTGGACCCACCTTCTTCAAGGATCTGAGGCTTAGTGGACCTTTTAAATAATGATTCATCAAATGTCATAGTTCATGGTTTTATTTATGTATTTTTGAGACGGAGTCTCGCTCTGTTTCCAGGCTGGAGTGCAGTGGCACAATCTTGGCTAACTGCAGCCTCTACCTCCTGGGTTCAAGTGATTCTCCTGCCTCAGCCTCCCGAGTAGCTGGGACTACAGGCGCCCGCCACCATGCCTGGCTAATTTTTGTATTTTTAGTAGAGATGGGGTTTCACCATGTTGGCCATGATGGTCTCAATCTCTTGTACCCGTGATCCGCCCACCTCGGCCTCCCAAAGTGCTGGGATTACAGGCATGAGCCACCGTGCCCAGCCTATTTATTTATTTTTTAAAACTGATCTATCTGTAGTTTTAGAATGCAGCTGATCCTTAGCCACACTGTGGCAAGTATTCATTATTCTTTCAATGTTCTCTTGGTGGCAAAGCCATGACCATTGAGACTTAATGTATCTGACTCTTGCTATAAACATGCTGTGTAACAAACTTCCCTGGAACCCATAACCTGCAACAGCAAGGATCTCATTCTCTCAGTCATAGCTTTGTAGGGTAGCTTTACTTAGGGTGTGGGTTGGCTGGTGTTGGCTCCAGAGTGTGGGGTTGGGTTCAGGTTTGTTCCATTTATTTCTGGAGTATAGGGATGCTGTAAAGAATTGTGAGCAATGGTTCAGTCCACCATACCATATTAAGCTTTCTTGATTCTTTTTTTTTTTTTTTAACAAAATTGTAAAGTATACCTGACACAAAATTTACCCTTTTAGCCACTTTTGCATGTACACTTCTGTGGCATTAGTTATGTTTATATTGTTGTGCAGTCGTCACCACCATTCCTCTCCACAACTTTTTCATCTTCCCAAACTGAAACTCTTTATCGATTACATATTAAGTCCCCACTTCCTGGTACCCCCGATCCCTGGCAACCAACATTGTATTCTAGCTCTATGAATTTAATTATTCTTGGTACCTCATATAAGTGGACTCATAGAGTATTTGTCCTTTTGTGATCGGCATAGTTCACTTAGCAAAATGTCTTCAAGGTTATTCACGTTGTAGCATGTGTCAAAATAGTGTTCTTTTTTAGAGCTTAATAAATATTCTGCCATGTATGCACACCTCGATTTGTTTATTCATTCATCTGTTGATGGACAGTGGGTTGCTTCTGTTTCTGCTCCTTTCTCACTGAGTTCCCATTTTTCCTATGGGTGGAACCATCTGAGTTGGTTTAATGACTTTTGCCAACCAAGACCCTGAGCCCAATCCTATTCATTCCTTTATTCAGCAAGTACTTATTAAGCCCCCATGGTATGCTGGCAACTGTTCTAAAGGAGCTTAAATGCTCTCAGTACTTAGAGCTGTGCTGTTAGGTGGTCGAGGGTTACATGTGTCTATTTAAATTTAATTAATGAAAGTCAAATAAAAAATTTTAAAATGCAGTTCTTCGATAATAGGAGCTGTATTTCAGGTGCTTAATAGCCCCATATGGCTAGTGGCTGCTGTTTTGGACAGCACATGATGGATATCTTCTTGCAGAAAGTTGTGTTGGACAGTACTGACTTAGAGGGTTTAGGGAAAGCCCTATAGCAGTGGTAAAGAGCAACAACTCCTTAAACCACAAGCTTATGAAGGGGTCACCTTGTGAGTGCAAGCGTGCTCTAGTTATTCAGCCACATTTGAGCCAAAAGCTAGGCAGTCAGCGTCCTTCCCCAGCACTTGGGAAGGTGAATGAGCAAGCAGTTCAGTTTCTCCCAGGTCAGTGGCAATTTTATCCCCTAGGGAGCACTTGGCAATATCTGGAGATATTTTTGGTTATTGCAACTACGAGGAGGGGGAATGGAGGCCAGGGATGCTGATAAACATTCTACAATGCACAGGACAGCCACCCCCCAGCCCCTAACACAGAACCATACCAGCCAAAATGCCAGTACTTCCAAACTTGAGAAATAACTCCGCTCCCGGTGAAATGGTTACAGATAACAGCTAGGAACTGTGAGAGCAATGTTTTGTGGCATGTGGAAGAAGCTACTATTGTACAGTGAGAGGAAATGAAGTCATGAAGATGGAGAGACTCCCCACGGTGTTCAAGTCTTCACTTCCCTTGTTCTCCAGACCAGCCTCAATTCTTCCCTTGGGTTCTATGAAGGACCTCAGTATGATAATAACTTTACTCTTTCGCTTGAATTACTCTGAGCTGAGTGTTAGCCTTTTGCTAAATGTTCCTAATACAGCAAATTACGTAGTCCTTCTTTTGATTGTATCCCATGTAAAACTTGGTCTACAAATATGCTCTCTGACTACCTTGGATTTAAGGTCGTCTCATCAAATGTTTAGCATACGATAAGCATTTAATTGCATGAAACTTACAGGGATGTTATGACTAAATTTCAAACAAACCATTACATTTCCTATGAATAAAAGTTTATTTTAAATGGTCTTATGTAGAATATTCGTATATATGTAATTTAAAGTGAGAAAACTGTGTAGAATTAAAAAATTCAATCATAATAAAAAAGGGTATAGAGTGAAAAGTCTCTAATATCCTGACTTCTCCAGTTTCTTGTCCTAGAATTGTTTATACGTATACAAGTATACTTGTTTCCCCTCCTTTCTCTTGCTCGCCTTTAAAAAAATATAATATATATATATTATATAGAGAATCTGTGTGCATATACACACACACCTTATTTTAAAAATGATATGTGTATATGAGTTTCTGCTCCTTGTTTTTTTCCACTTCACGTTTACAGCTACATTTTAGAGCTCTTTTTCCATCAGCACCAAGATGGATTCCATTCTTTTCAATGACTTGGAGTTTACCTTTGAATCAGTGTTCTGTATGTAATTCATTAAGCCTGTCCTCTGCTGATGAGCATTAAGGTTCTTTTCAGACTTTTGTTTTTACAAACAATGCTGGAATCAGTAATATATCGTTGTATTTTGATCTTTATGCACATATAATTGCATTTGTAAAATAAAATCCCAGTAGTGGACTTTCCTGGTTCAAAAGGTGGACACATTTCATGTTTTTGTTCGATATTGCCAAATTGCTCTTTCAAAAAGATGCATCATTTTTCACTTTTGCCAACTGTATAAGAACATGCCTAAAATTTAATTCCCTTTCTTACCATATTTTTCTTTCCATTTCTGTCTCTCATTTACTTGCTTCCCTTAGACCTAGTCTAGAAGCTGTCAGGCTTTCAGTTCAAGGGTTTATCTCATTACATTCCGTACAGCACCAGTCATAGGAGCATTTGTGAAAGACATAACCTGTCTCCTTTGAGAGCACTGCCTCAGTTTCCTCCTTGACCCCCAGGTGTGGGCATTACCGCTGCAGACTCACGCCTCCTCCCCTTTAATCGCTGGCTCAGCTTCACCTGGATGAAATCCCCTTCCTCACTCTTCCTTCCCTTCCATCCCCTGGGAGGTCTTCAAGAGCTGGTACTCATCTATAGAGCCTGAGAAGTTGAAATCTGTTAACTTGCCTTGGGTGCTTGCCAGTACTTAAAGACAGGCCTGGTTGGACCACTGCATTCTTTGTCTTTGTAGGAGAAGCCATATTTGTTTGCATGTACAGCGTCAAGAAACGTTTCCTGTCGACTGCTTTGGCCTGGCATTTCCATTAACACTTTCAATTGGGAGATGGTTTCTCTAGCTTAGCTGGCAGAGGACCCAGTTTTACAGCCCATCTGCTTCTCTCTGTTTCTCAGCCATTGGCCCCAGTTGGGGCAACCTGTAACTGGAATCTGTGGCCTATAGATTTTAACTGGGTTACTTTTTGGAGGGGAGGCAGGTCGGGGTGGGGAAATCCTTTCATCCTGACATTATTGGCGTAACCTTTTTTTTCAGTACGCTTCCATCTTTGAGGAGGAGATGACACTCTGGGCTCTTCCTTGCTCTCCTCCCGATGTTTTCTTATGAAAAATTTTAAACATACAGCAACGTTGAAAGAATTTTTTAGCAAACACCTGTATGCCCGCTACTTAGATTCTGCCACTGACATTTTACCATGCTGTTTTATCACATAGCTGTCCAACTGTCTATCACTCTGTCTACCTTTTTGGGCTTTTTCAGTGATGTTTCTCCAGCATTTCAAAGGCACCATGGTATGGGTAGTTAGGAATATGTGCTGTGGTGCCAGACTGTCTGGGTTTGAATCCTGGTCTACTGTCCACTAACTCTGTGACTCTGGGCAAGTTGCTGAGCCTCTTTGTGCCTCAGTATTGTCATCTGTATAATGGAAATCGCGGTAGTGCTAACTTCATAGAGTTTTGTGAGATTAAATGTATTAATACATGTACGACACTTAAAACAACGGTTACTGTCTATTAACCATTTGGTATATGAAAGAGAGTAAGTGCTAAAGTAATGTTCATTTCATGGATTTAAAAAAGACTAATTCAGTAGGTGTCATGGATTTTAGGGAGAAGCAACTGTGTGCCTGGTACTGTGCCAGACATTTTATGTACATTGCCTCATTTGGTCTTCAAAACCACCTTAAGCAGATTATCCCCACTTGCAGATGAACAAGCTGATGCCTCGTAATTAGCAGCAATGGGGTTTGATCACAAATCTATTTTATTTCTATGGCCATAATCTCTAGGCTTTGGCCGCGCCCCCACTCTCCCCGCTCCCCCCTACCCCTGCCCACCTATCCTGGAGTACAGTGGTGCCATCATAGTCCACTGCGACCTCGAACTTCTAGGCTCAAGCAATCCTCCTGCCCTGGCCTCCCAATAGTTGCCCTTTCTCTTTTTGTCAGTCGCAAGATGCAGAAATTTCAGGATTCTATAAGGTGGCAGAGATTTCTGTGATTGAATAAAACAAATAGGTAGACGCACCTAACTATTATTTATTATTATTATTATTTTGGTGTAACTTTTAGCTATTGAAAAGTCAGTCTTGCAGAAGAGAGAACACCTTGCTGTTTTTTGTAGTTTGGTAAAATACTGTCCCTTCCATTAGTATTTCCAATTCAGAGGGCTTTTGCTGTATGGGCTTTAACTGACTTAGCTGAATAGGAATTACCATGGGGTATTTTGGCAGTGCCATCATTGGTCACCTGTTTAGCTTCTGAGATGCTAGCAAATTACTCTTAGTTTGTTGTCCAAAATATTTTGTGGGAAGAAGGTTAGAAAATAGAAATAAGTATACTACTGACTCTATCTCATACATGGAAGTTTTGAGGACAAACCACACTCCAGTTGGTCATTTACCCTAGATTGTGGCATTGATACCGTCTTCTATCTCTGAGAAGTAACCCATAGTAAGCAGTATAAAGAGGAGGGTGACTGGTGGGGCGTGATGGCTCACATCTGTAATCCCAGCACTTTGGGAGGTGGAGGCAGGCGGATCACTTGAGGTCAGAGTTCGAGACCAGCCCAGCCAACATGGCGAAATCCCATCTCTTAAAAATACAGAATATTAGCTGGGCATGGTGGTGCATTCTACTAGGCAGACTGAAGCAGGAGTGTTGCTTGAACTTGGGAGATGGAGGTTGAAGTGAGCCACTGCACTCCAGGCTGGGCGACCGAGTAAGACTCCGTCTCAAAAACAAACAAACAAAACCAAAAAGAAAAAAAAAAAGGGTGAAACAGAGTCCTCAGATTTTGTCTTCTCACTTGAGTTCCTGCTTCAGTTCAAATTCATTCCTTTCCTCCTCTTCCATTAATCCTTTCTCAGTTCTTGAGATTACATCAAGTAAGTCTCTATCAGGTGTTAATATGTCTTCAGCACCCCCTAACATTTGCTAATTTTCCTTCCTAATTGAGAGACCATACCTTTTAATGGCAAGATTTTGCTTTCAATGTATTTGCTTTTAGTTACTTCATTTTTATGGCAGCTGGTTCTGCATGTCTATTCCTAGAGGTGATATGAAGTTTCCATTTAAAATATATTTAATTACATGAAAATAAAGTGGTTTTAAAAAGGGTAACGTGGAATAGTAGAAGTGGTACCCATATGTGGCAAAAGTCAGGAGGCTGGGATGCAAATGATGGAAGTTCTTTTGAACACTGAATTAAATGATCCTCGGAGTTTGTATGTCTGGTCTCCATTGACAATGGATACTCTGGGCAGATGGAACATTTACCAAATAGTTGCATCTGTTTTGAAGGTACTCAGTGGAAAACCATTTATACTCTACATCTGTTTCTTGGCTAAGAAAAATATATGCAGTAGATTCTGGCCACTTAGGAAAGTTTTAGAGCAAGGCTAATTATGCCTTGGGGCTTTGGCGAATGTGCTTGTCTTTATGAAAGAGTCCTTGGCATCATCAGTACCTAGAAGTAGATATGCATATGCATATAGTTTCCGGGAGAGTTTCTTATTGAAATTCTTTCCATTTCTTGTGTGGCCTGGACATCCACAAAAAGGGGACTGTGTATCTGTTGGACTTGGGGGTGGCTTCCTAAGGCTGTTGAACATAAAAAAGGGGCATCCTCAGGGAATCCCCTGAAAGTGAACCTAGGATATGCCTGAGGATTTGCATGATTCCTGGGGATTCTGGTCAGGGAGACAAAGGTGTGCAGCTGCTCAAAAAATCTGTCTGAGTGGAGTTAGTGCTAAACAACCTGAAGTTTGGAGAGGAGTGGAAGTTAAGGGCGATAGCCCTGCCTTGAAAAGAGAACCACATACTCACCGGTGATAACTTGTGGACAGTTCATGGAGCTATGAGAATGGGAGCAAATGAAAGAGATGGTGGTTCCCCCCGCCCCCGCACTACCCCCAAGATGTATAAAAGGATATACCTTTCTTTCTATCTCAATAAGAAAGGAACCAGTGACTCATGCCCTGTTCTATGAAGTGTTCTTCTCTCTATGACTCATTCACTCTCTGACCCACAGATATAAGTCCCTGTTTGGAGTGTCAAGGTGATTTCAGATGACCTTTCTTTCTCCTTTGTAGGGTCTGATTTTGATATCAGTAGGGAGGTGATACTCCCACAGTTAGGGCTGCCATACCTCAGCAGGTGAGTGGTTTGGCTTCTCTCAAGTCTTAACATTGTTTTTGTTTGTGGATCTCTGACGCTAAGGTAATTACTGGGGGCAGAGGTACACTGTGAATGAGACAGGGACAGGATATTGAAAGACAGGGCAGGGCAGTTGCTGTGCTTAATGGGTTAAAATTGTGTTGGTTTCTCAGTCTTCAGGATGGTGGCTCAAAGCTTCCTTGCAGAAATGTGATGCAGTAAAGATTAATGTTAACACCCTTAACAATTATATTAGATGAACTAGACTCAGGAATCTGACTCACTGCCCTTCATTGGAAGCTTGGCTTAGTCATTTCCCAGCCTTGTGGTCTCAGACAAATTTCTTAATCATTATGAGCTGTATTTGTCTAATATATGAAAAAGTGTTGACCTTCAGTCCACAGATATCATTAAGTACCACTCTATCCCTGGCATTGTGCCAAATCTTGAAATAAATAAATGTATACAACAAGCAAAGCTCTCTGTCTTTATGAAATTTTTCTCCTGTTTTGGGAGTGTTGTGCGATTTCAAGTAAAATAGTGCATGTTAAAGTAGTTCGCATAGGGCCCTTTTAAAATCATATAAGAATTATTATAGAAAAGTTACAAACTGCCCATCCTACATTACATTGTCATTATTTTTATTTATTTATTTATTTAGAGACTGAGTCTCGCTTTGTCACCTAGGCTGGAGTACAGTGGCGCGATCTTGGCTCACTACAACCTCCGCCTTCTGGGTTCAAGTGATTCTCCTGCCTCAGCTTCCTGAGTAGCTGGGACTATAGGCGCATGACACCATGCCCAGCGAATTTTTGTGTTTTTAGTAGAGACGGGGTTTCACCATGTTGGCCAGGATGGTCTGGATCTCTTGACCTTGTGATCCACCCACCTTGGCCTCCCAAAGTGGTGGGATTACAGGCGTGAGCCACCACACCTGGCCGAGCTACTTTTTTTTTTTTTTTAAGAGACAGAGTCTCGCTCTGTTGACCAGGCTGGAGTGCAGTGGTGCGCTCTCGACTCACTGCAACCTCCACCTCCCGGGTTCAAGCAATTCTTCTGCTTCAGCCTTCCCAGTAGCTGGGACTACAAATGCCACTCCCAGCTAATTTTTTTTTTTTTTCCCCACTGTGTTGGCCAGGCTGTTTTCGAACTCCTAAGCTCAGGCAATCCATCTGCCTTGGCCTCCCAAAGTGCTAGGGTTACAGACGTGAGCCACTGCGCCTGGCCAGATTGTCATTATTTTAACAGCAGAACTCTCTGAACAAATTACTTCATTGTTTTATATGCAGTGTTTAAAAAAAAAAACTCATCTTGTTTTAACTTTTTTTTTTTTTTTGCTGACACTTGAGGTAAAACCTAATTTCTCTGCTCATTTTTTTGTGACTTTCTTTTTCTTTTCTCCTCTTCTTCTTCTTTTTCTTCTGCTTCTTTTTTTTTTTTTTTTTCCCCCCGAGACAGAGTCTCGCTCTGTTGCCCAGGCTGGAATACAGTGGCATGATCTCTGCTCACTGCAACCTCTGCCTCCCATGTTCAAGTGTTTCTTGTGTCTCAACCTCCTGAGTAGCTGGGATTACAGATGTGGGCCACCACGCCCAGCGTTTTTAGTAGATATTGGGTTTCACCATGTTGGCCAGGCTGGTCTTGAACTCCTGACCTCAAGCAGTCTTCCCACCTCAGCCTCCCGAAGTGCTGTAATTACAGACGTGAACCACCTCGCCTGGCCAGTGTCATGACTTTCTAATGGACGTTTTGATGTAACAAAGCTGATCTTCCTAAATAAGCAAGTTGGAAAGTACATTTGTTGTGTGTGTAGTTCCTGGAGGAACTTTAGTACACTTGAAAAATACAATTCAGAGGCCGGGCGCGGTGGCTCACGCCTGTAATCCTAGCACTTTGGGAGGCCGAGGCGGGTGGATCACGAGATCAGGAGATCAAGACCATCCTGGCTAACATGGTGAAACCCCGTCTCTACTAAAAATACAAAAAAAAATTAGCCGGGCATGGTGGCGGGTGCCTGTAGTCCCAGCTACTCAGGAGGCTGAGTAGGAGAATGGCGTGAACCACTGCAGAGCTTGCAGTGAACGGAGATCGCACCACTGCACTCCAGCCTGGGCGACAGAGAGAGACTCCGTCAAAAAAAAAAAAAAAAAAAATACAATCAGATTAATGTCCATGAGAACAAACAGTCCAAATATGCTTTCTTCTTATCTTGAAACTACTGATATGACGGATAGGAGGAGACAAACAACCTCTTCATGAAGACTATGCCCAGTCACTTCATGGAAGCTGTCCCAATTTGGAAATAGCTTTTTCCAAAGCACTTAGCTGATTTGCTCAGGTGGCTCCCAGACTCTTAGCTCTAACCAAGCAATTTGCTGTAAACTTCTTTCTTCTCAGCACAATGGAACATTCATGATGTTTATCTGGCAGAAACTTTATTAAGGGAAGCCTGACAGGAAGGTTGGGGGAAGAGGAATGGAGTCTGTCTTTATTGGAAAGTTTGTTTCTTGAAACGTGTAAAATGACACGAATGGATGTGGTTCTTTGATATCAGTTCACCTCCTGACTGCGCTGAATACAAGGAACCCTGTTTTCTGCGGAATGCCTTAGTAAGGCACTATCTAGGCACTCACTAGACCTTTAAAAACAAGTCATTAGTTTCTCCAAGAGGGCTTCATTTTAATATTATTTTCTAAGATACCCTGCATAGCATATTTAAGGGTCTTTCTATGTTGAATGCACAAATGATTTTTCAGTGGATTTTTGGGGGGTTTTTACATGTTTTCCTTAATTTACATGAGGACTCTTTATTATACTGATCATCTATTTAGTTAACAGTGTACAGTTCAGTTATGCATTTTGCAGTGTTGCATAAGGAACTGGAGTTGAAAATAACAGTTGTAGTTACCACCCAGGAAGGGAGGGGCTGAATAACTGAATGAATTTAAAGAGGTGAGGGGAAATGCATTATGGGTAGATAGTACCAAGCTCAAGGTGACTTCTGTAGATTTGTGTTGACTAATTCTTCGACTGGACAGAGACCAGTTCGTTTCCTAGCTGTCTGTCCTACCTTTAATGCATTGCAGTAAGTGGTAATAGCCTGTTGCAGGGGTACACCAAATGGACACAGGAATGCCCCCTTCTGCCTTCCCCTCTTATCCCTAGATGAATGGTGTCATGGAAATTCAAAGGTTATTCCGGGATTTCATGTTAGTTGAAAGCAAGTTTTCTTATTTCTCATTTGGCATATCAATTTTTGCAGGCCTGCCATTTCAGGCTGGCCCATGCTCTGTACTGCCTATAGCATAGAAAAGACAGATGAACTTATAGCTTAGAGCCAAGGTACAGAAAGTAAATAAGAGTGATGTCTTCTTAATAGACAAGGAAGGAATCTATTTAACTGGGGTATTTCAACTCTTTTCTCAGAATTTTCTTTGTGGCCATATAGGAGCAAGGATGGTGAAGTTATATGGAAACAAAGGTGGGGAAATTACAGACAGAAATGGAAGAGTTGAAAGGAAGGAAGGATAACAAGAGCCCACCTCCCTGCAGTCTGCTCAAGGGAAATCTTGTACAATTTGTGTGGACAATGAAATTTATAATTTTGGCTTCAAGCTTGGGTGACTTTCTCCTCTCTGATTATAGGAAAAAATATTATAATTAAATTAGGATTACGCACTTTTTCCCCTCTTCAGTGTCCTTACATAGGACAGACATCCTTCTTGTTTGGTGACCACAGGGACCAGTGACATCCTAGTTTTCTTGGAATTGTTTGTACTTATTGCTTTATTAGAAACCGCCCTATAGTCAGATGTCTTGCCCACCCTTCTTCAGTTCTTTTCCCCCAAGATGTCAAAACCCTGGTGAGGAATCTGTGAAATGTGAACTATGATTTGGTTGTATGAGGTTCAGTGAAACAGCTGGAGGTTTTCCCAGCAGAAGGCTAACGCAGAATTGTCTAGACATCACTTTTTTCTTATCTAGTCAAGCTTTTCTGGGAGCTTTTCCACATGAGGAATCTAGGCTCAAAGGAAAATCAGTTTGACTGGCTAAAAGCTCATCTGGCAAGTTTAAATCACTCCGGAAACATACAGAGCTGCAGTCATTGGTTTGACAAGAACAGAAAGATACTTGTCTCTGTTGTTGCTAGTATTAAAAGAGAATTTATTGGCCGGGCGCGGTGGCTCACACCTGTAATCTCAACTCTTTGGGAGGCTGAGGCAGGCGGATCATGAGGTCAGGAGGTCGAGACCATCCTGGCTAACACGGTAAAACCCTGTCTCTACTAAAAAATACAAAAAAATTAGCTGGGCGTGATGGCGGGCTCCTGTAATCACAGCTACTCTGGAGGCTGAGGCAGGAGAATGGTGTGAACCCGGGAGGTGGAGCTTGCAGTGAGCCGAGTTTGCGCCACTGCACTCCAGCCTGGGCGACAGAGTGAGACTCTGTCTCAAAAAAAAAAAAAAAAAAAAAAAAAGAGAGAATTTATTTATTTGTCCATTAAGACATTAGGATGGGCGTGGTGCCTTACACCTGTAATCCCAGCACTTTGGGAGGCTGAGATGGGAGGATCACTTGAGTCCAGGAGTTTGAGACCAGCCTGGGAAACATAGGGAGACCTTGTCTCAATAATAATAATAATAATAATAATAATAATAATAATAATAATAATAAAAATGCTGGGATGGTGGCCCATGTCTGTAGTCCCAGCTACTTAGTAGGCTAAGGTGGGAGGATCTTGAACCCAGGAAGTAGAGGCTACACTGAGCTATGATCACACCACTGCACTCCAGACCCTGTCTCAAAAAAGGAAAAACCAAAATAACAAAAAGAGCATCACTCACTTACTGTGCACAGACATAGTGCCTTGCCCTGGGGAATCAGTGATGGGTAGAATAGTGATGTTCTTTGTACTGAATTAAATCATTGTATAGCTAAGAGGATAAAGACAACTTGAGTAAAGGGCAAGTAGGAAAGGAATAATGTCTTAAGGGAGTAGAAGACAAAGGATGCAGTAGAGAGGAAGGAGAAATCAGAGAACGTTTGAATGCAGTAAGCTTGAGGTGAGCCTGAGATATTTTTGGAATTTAACCAAAGGAAGGGGCTGTCAAACAAAGCTAGTTCAGAGTCCCAGGATTTGTATCTTTTGGAGTGACTGTGCCCTCAGAAACTTCCAGAGACTTTTAGAACTCATTCAGGCTTTGGCTTTGGCAGTTGTAAGAAGCACCACAATTCTTTCTACTCTGGACAAGGGGCAAAATGTGGTTTTTTTTGTTGTTTTTTTTTTTTGAGTTACAGTCTCACTCAGTTGGCCAAGCTGGAGTGCAGTGGCACGATCTCAGCTCACTGTATCCTCTGCCTTCGGGGTTCAAACGATTCTCGTGCCTCAACCTCCCCAGGAGCTGGGATTACAGGCACACGCCACTGTGCCCAGCTAATTTTTGTATTTTTAATATAGACAGGGTTTCACCATGTTGGCTAGGCTGGTCTCGAACTCTTGGCCTCAAGTGATCCTCCTGCTTTGACCTCCCAAAGTGCTGGGATTATAGGCCTGAGCTCCCCCGCCTGGCTAAATGTGTATTTTTGCTCACAAGCACCATGGGCATCAGCTTTAAACCTCCGATATATGGGCCATATTACCCGGAACTCTGTTGTCTTCTGTACGACTTTTGGAAGTTAAGTCTACCCATGCAGATAAGGATATTTAATTCCACACTAACCTCAGCTTCTCTTAGGAACCACTGCAGAGAATGCCCAGTTTTTACCCAGTCTAAGGCTATTTTCGGTCAAGGCATGAAATGACTTTGTCATTGCAGTAAACCCTAGTCACTGTGCAGGTAAGCCTCTTCTTGAGATGGATTGCATGCATACCTTTTTGATGATACAATAAGCAGGTCTTTATTGGATGTGAACAGAGTTTAAAATGTTGCTGAGTTGAACATTGGAGGGTGAAGGGATTTCTCCATAGAGTTGTTCCTGCATGTTAAGAATATTGAGCTAAATTTAGAATGTCTTACACTGTACCTATTTTTTCCTGTGTAAGTCTCAAAAACTTGATTTAGACTTGAAGGTTTTATGAATGTCCCTACTTTTTTGTTTTAAGAGGGAGGAAGAGGGAAGGAGAGGGAGGTCATTTGATTGAGAAGGGCATAAATCGCAGTGGATGAGTTACCACAAAGTCAGTCCATATGGGTTACAACAGTTCAATCAAGAACTAGGCCAGGCGCGGTGGCTCACACCTGTAATTCCAGCACTTTGGGAGGCTGAGGCGGGTGTATCACCTGAGGTCAAGAGTTAGAGACCAGCCTGAACAACATGGTGAAACCCCCTTTCTACAAAATTAGCTGCGCGTGGTGCTGCATGCATGTAATCTCAGCTACTTGGGAGGCTGAGGCAGGAGAATCACTTGAACCTGGGAGGCAGAGGTTGCAATGAGCCAAGATCATACCACTGTACTCCAGCTTGGGCAACAAGAGCAAAACTCCATCCCAAAACAAAACAAAACAACAACAACAACAACAAAGAACTAAAACATAATAGCAACCAGGAAGCCCCCGGGTAGGCTCGCTCCCTGGTAACCATTGTCCTGACCTCTATTCCCATTTTCTTGTTTTGGAACTTTGTACAGATAGATTCACTCAGTATGGATTCTTTTATACCTGACTTCATTTCCTCAACATTGTATTGAGATTTGTCCATGTCGCATGTAGCTGTAGTTCATTCCTTTTTCTTTTCTTTTTCTTTTTTTTTTTTTTGAGATGAAGTCTTGCTCTGTGGCCAAGGCTAGAGTGCATTGGTGCAATCATGGCTTATTGCAGCCTCCACCTCCCAGGCTCAAGCGATCTTCCCACCTCAGCGCCGCGGGTAGCTGGGACTACAGGCATGTGCCACCATCCTCAGCTAAATTTTTTTTTTTTTTTTTTTTGTAGAGACAGGGTTTTGCCATGTTATCCAGGCAGGTCTTGAACTCCTGGCCTCAAGTGATCTACCCATCGACGCCTCCCAAAGTACTGTATTATAGATGTGAGCTAGTGTGCCCAGCCCATTTTGACTTCTGTATAATACTATAGCATGCATATATCTACATTTACTCATGTGTCCTACTTTTGATGAGATTTGTGTTGCTTGTAGTTTGGACTATTACAAATTATTATACTGTCATTATGCCTTTTGGTATATATGTATTTTCATTTCTCTAGGGTATGCCTCAGAGTGGACTTGTAGGATTGGGTTAGACTATGCATTTTTCTAATCCCAATAACATAATTTTTTTTGAGAAGGATTCTCACTCTGTCACCCAGGCTGGAGTGCAGTGACGTGATCTTGGCTCACTGCAGCTTCTCCCTCCACGGTTCAAGTGATTCTCCTGTCTCAGCCACCCAAGTAGCTGGGATTACAGGTGTGTGCCACCATGCCAGGCTAATTTTTTTGCATTTTTTATATAGAGATGGGGTCTCATCATGTTGGCCAGGCTGTTCTTGAACTTCTGACCTCAAGTGGTCCTCCCGCCTCAGCCTCCTGAAGTGCTGAGATTACAGGTGTGAGCCACCATGCCCTGCCTTCAATAGGTAATTTTAAGCAGTGTTCCAGCTCTTCTAGTTTATGTTACCACGAGTAGTCTATGGGTTTCCATTATTTAACGTCCTTGTCGGCGCTTGGTATTGATGATCTTTTAATTTTAGCCACCTGAAAGTATGCCTACTTTGAATTTTTTAAATTTCTGTGTTTCACTGTAAAGAAATGAGAGTGAGGTTTAGAGCCAGAAACTCTGAATGAGTTTAGCTTTAACCCTGGTTGAAGGGCTACTAGGTGATCATTTGAATCCTTAACTGAAGGTGGGGCCATTTTGTTAGACTTCACCCTACAGAATCTCACACACCAAGGTCCAAATGCCGGTGGCAGGCTATGTAAACCTACATAGTTATTTACCTCTTTGAGACTCAGTCTCCTTATCTGCAAAGGGATGTCATTTTAAATTCCTCACCGAGTTGGTATGAAGAGCATCAGTCATTCCACCAAAAAGCACTTAGTTCCTGGCCCATAGTTATTATCAAACAGTGAGTCACAGGAAGATGCGGCTAGCTACATTGCTGTAGAATACTCTTATATTTATTTTAGTTTATCTATTTTTAGGGGAAACAAAGTTATTTCACCCAGAGCATTAGACGTCAAAAGTCGATATATCCTTTCTGGAACTGCCTTGTTTGTTTGATGTCCTGGTGTTTTGAAGGCTGGCATGTTTATGGCCGGGCAGAACCATAAACACTCCTTCGGCCCAGGGCTGCCCTGGATTTGTGTATATTTCATACATGGGCAGTGGAGAAGGAAATCATCTTCAGCTTGTGTTTTGACACAGAGAAGTTTTGCTTTTCGTTTATCTACTCTCTGCATCCTCCACCGAAAACAAACAGAACACTCTGGCATGGGTAAATATTGTGACTGGCGGCCTCAGTGGTGTTGTTTTTCCCTTTGCTACAATTGCTGAGAGACTGATGGTGGCATTGTAGAAGATCCATGGTTGTCATTCTGATACTTCAGCCAGAACCATAGCAGTTCTGGAAATGAAAAAGTGAAGTAAAGAAAAATAAGAATTACAAGACAATTTTTTTTTTCCAAGGGAAATTGTAAGGCATTTCAAGGATGGAAAGGCAAAAATGTTATATGGTTTTGCATTTCTTCTCCTAGCAGCGATATTCATCATGCCACCACTCCTGAGCCTTAGAATAGATAGACTCTTCAAAGACAGCTGAGCTTCATTTCAGGTGGGTTCCCTCCGAGCCTTCTCCTGCTTCATTTGCCCTGCTTAGTGAAACTCAGCTAGAATCAAGGTGCAACTGGTCTAGGAGGCTAGGAGAGGTGTAACCACTTACTATGTAGCCACTGAGAGTTTGGCCTGGTGGAATTTCATTTGCAATTAATTACGTTTATTTATTTATTTAGTTTTAAGAGGCAGTGTTGTCCAGGCTGGCCCTGAACTGCTGGGCTCAAGTGATCCTCCTGCTTTGGCCTCCCAAAGTTTTGGGATTACAGGCGTCAGCCACCACACCTGGCCAAGGTTATTTTTTATTAGCTTAAAAAGTTATTTACCTCTAACGTGTTTTCTTCGCTTCCCCCCTCCTCCCTGTCTCTGTGTTTCTCCCCATCTCTCATTCTCTCTTTCTGTCTCTGTCTCTCTCTTTCGGGAAGTTAAGTAAGGGAAGAAAGACCAGATGAGAGAGGTTAAAACTGCTGGGCTCTGATTTCACAAACAGGTAGTCTTTTGCTAACTGCATGATTTTGAGCAAATTCCTTCATTTTTCTAAGTCTCAATTCTTTCATCTCTCAGTGGAGGTAACAGTTGTACCTCTTTTGTTATGAGGGTTATGTTCAGAATGACAAATGTCAGAATTTGCACAAATAGCAACAGCTGCCCTTACCTGGCACTTCCTCAGTGCCAGGCACTGTTCTGAGTACCTGCTTGGTATATATCCCAGCAGCCCTGGGGGTTGGGGCCTGTGGTTTATAGGTGAAGAAACTGAGGCAGAGAGTGTTTAAGAAACTTGACTTAAGATTCCTCCAGCAACAAGTGGCAGAACTGAGATTGGAGTGCGAGGCTGTGTAGTCCAGAGTCGAGGTCCTCTGTCGCAGCACTGCCATTTCCCCGCCGTGCCGCCTGACAACACACCCCGCCCCTCCTCCTTCTCTCTGTAGATAACTATTTCAGTTTGGCATAACTTCCTTTGTAATTTGTAGCAACAAACCTGGGGTCAGACACTCCACTGCCTGTGCATCTTGCCTGTTTCCGGATCCGCCGTGTCACAGACATTTTCTATGTCAGTGCCTATGGCTCTACCCAGGTAAAAAATTAACCACCTTGGCAAGCGCTGCCCATGTCGCTCCTGCTTGCCGGGGCTGGCTTTCTTTCAGAGCAACCCCGTTCTAGCTGGCCTGCTGCCTAGGCCCTGGCTTTCTTTCCCACAAAATAGCTTCTGAAAAAAACTGTGGGAAACAAATGGCTTCAGAGGTTTTTAGAAACAGAAGTGCAAACTCTAACAAATTTCATCTGGCCCAAAAATGTTATTACCCAAAATCTTGAAAATATTTTCTTATAGGATTATTCCCCCAAGGTTGTTAATCTGAGAACGATCCAGGCCTAATAGGCCTGACTTTTTGCCCCCTGATGTTGGAGTCTTGAGTAGTTGAGTGCCGGAGTATGGGGGGTTGGGGTAAAAATATTCCTCTGGAGGAAATGAAGTCATTTTATTTAACATTATAGCTACCACTGGGACTCTATCATTTTAGAAAGGGAATGCCAGTTCACACAGCCAAATGAAGCTTTTAAATTAGTCCAAGAAACCTTTTAAAAGGTAGCACTAGGTTTTCAGTTCCACAAACATTTATTGAGTCTATCTGTCCTAAAGATTTTTGCCATAGTTAAATTTTACCTAACGAACATTGCCTTTCTAGATAAATGTTATTGTAACATTATCTGCTTCTCTCTTTCAGTGGTTGGCATTTTACTTTCGGTGCTACAGAGTGGCAGCAAGCTACACTGTTTCTGTGCTGAGGTTGTTGTCTGAGAGAGATTTATCTGGCCCTGTGAGCCCCGCACAGCAGGGAGACAAACCTTGATTTGTTCAGTGGAGGAAAGAATGTGGCCTTGTACACCTGCCTCCCTGGATACACCTGTAGGGCTGGTTTCCCTGCTGAAACCTCCCTGTGGAGCTCTTGACACTGGTGCAATTGGCTCAGCCCTGGCAACAGTGTCAACAGAAACTGGGCTCGGAGGGACCCAGGTTTCCGTGTCCTTCTCTTGCTGGTTAAATCCCAAGTATGTGTGTAATCGCTCTCAGGCTGGGGAGGTGAAGTTGAAACCTGGCTTATCACTGGGCCTAGATTCTCCTGTAGCATATTTTAGATAAGAGTGGAAAAAATGCCAGGCCCAGCATTAGCTGCCCTGAGACTGAGGAGCTTTGTTTTTCCTCATGAAGGCCTTTGGTTTCGTCTGGAAATCTGCCTGTGAATAGGCCAGAAGGTATAAAGGCAGCTGTCCTTACTTATCTAGTTTTAATTTTTCAGCAAGTGATTTGGAAGCAAGAATGAAGATTTGATCAGAACCTTTGCTCACTTGCAATGAGTAGAGTCTTGTTGCTTGTTTTCGTTTGGCATTGCCCTCCCTTTGAGAACACCATAGGCAGCTGCTCTCTGTTGGAATTCCAATTCTGTGACCTTGGGCAAATTACTTAACCTTTCCCTGAGCCTCAGTTGTCTCATCTGTAAAAGGGGGATAATAATAGTACTTGACTCATAGGTTGTATTAGGGATTGCAGAGTTAGTATTTGTAGTCCTTAGAACAGTATCTGCACATGGTAAGTGTTATGAAAGTGTTTGTCAAGACAAACAACAGGAAATACTTTGTACAGTTAATTATATGAAGTGCCAGTGATATTTATGTGGCTTTTTGTTGTTGTTTGTTTGTTTTTGAGATGAAGTCTCGCTCTGTCGCCGAGGCTGGAGTGCAGTGGCATGATCTTGGCTCACTGCAAGCTCCACCTCCTGGGTTCACGCCATTCTCCTGCCTCAGCCTCCCGAGTAGCTGGGACTACAGGCGCCCGCCACCACGCTTGGCTAATTTTTTGTATCTTTAGTAGAGATGGGGTTTTACTGTTTTAGCCAGGATGATCTTGATCTCCTGATCTCGTGATCCACCCGCCTCGGCCTCCCAAAGTGTTGGGATTACAGGCGCGAGCCACCGTGCCCGGCCTTATGTGGTCTTTCTGGTTGGTAAATATTCTAACACACACAAATTAATCATTAGATCAAAAGAATTGTGTTTTGGTACGTAGTTAAGGTGCTCTTTTCTTTTAAATATACACTCCTTGCTGTTCTTCCTGTTCCCTTTGCAGAGCAAAAGTATCGGAAAAAAACAAGTGCAAGCACTTCCTTCTAATATTGGTTTAGTTGTGGTCAAAAACAGGAATTATGAGTCATGAACACCAAATTGACAGGAATGAGCCAAGGCAAAATTACATCCTAAGGATGGGGGTCATCTTTGACAAACAGACACACAGATTCATCAGGCATTAAAACAGCATTCTTAACCTTGGAATCCACGGGTCCCCAAAAAGTCTGTCAGAGAAATAGGGGATCTGCAAATTTGGGTGGGCTAAGAGTTATCTATCTACACTTTCACTAACCCCTAACTGAATTTGAGCATTTCCTTGAATTATGAATGTAGGCAACAAACCACAGTGACAGAAGCAATACTTATGACTTTGTCGTCAGTAGGAATCTCAGATATTTTAATATCACATTGCAATCTCATTTACTCTTATCACTACAGTAGCTAATAGATTCACCATTATTTATTTATTGTTCTTCAGTGCCTTAAGAAAAAGCATGATTATTTAAGAATATTTTGCTCACTACAGTTCAGTATAATTAGGTTCCTTTGGACTCTTACATATTTTATTCATTTATAAACATTATTCTGAGGTAATAATAGTCATCACCAGACTGCCAAAGAACTCCATGCGTAAAAATGATTAAGGAGTTTTAAAGTTGAAGGCTTAAGCTGATTGGAATCTCTAGAGCTGTTCTGTCCAATAGAAATATAATGCGAACCACTTGTAATTTAAAATTGTCTGGTAGCTACTTTAAAAAGAGTAAAAAAGAAGTGAAATTAATTTTAATAATACATTTTATTCAATTAGATATATTTAAAATAATATTTCAACAGGTAGTCAATAATAAAAGTTACTTGTGAGATATTTGACGTGTTTTTCATACTGTCTTTGAATCAGATGCGTAATTTATACTTCAGAGTATATCTCCATTTCGATGCAACAGTTTCATTGGAAACATTTGATCTGTTTTTACGTTTAACAAAATTTCACTGAAAAAGTAGATTCAGGTGGTTCCAAACACAATGAAATGTTTTCCACTAACAGCATTGAGTATTTTCAATTTGAATCATTGAAGATGAAATAAAACGAGAAATTCAATTCTTCAGCCATGTGAGGTATATGACAAGTCCTCAGGGTCTGCTGGGGGTTACCATATTGGACCATGCAGCTCCAGAGCCTGACTACATGCAGAATTCTCTGGGAGGAGAAAACAGTGATTGAATGGATGCTTTGAATGCGGCCCAACATAAATTCATACATTCATGAACTTTCTTAAAACATTATGAGATTCTCTCTCTTTCCCTCTCTCTTTTCTTTTCTTTCCCTCCCACCTTCCTCCCTCCCTCCCTCCTTTCCTTCCTTCCTTCCTTCCTTCCTTCCTTCCTTCCTTCCTTCCTTCCTTCCTTCCTTCCTTCCTTCCTTCCTTCCTTCTCTTTCTTCTCACCAACTATCATTGTTCCTAGTGTATTTTATGTGCGGTCCAAGACAATTCTTTTAATGTGGCCCAGGGAAGCCAAAAGAATGGACACCCCTGCCCTGAGGTATCCCTGCACTCTATCTGTCCCTGAGTAGGTCCTCATGTTGGTAGTGACAGCACACAGTGCATACCTCTGTCTGGGACTTCATTTGATTCAAGGGAAGCTTTTCCATTTAAGTGGTGGCTTTTGCCGACCAGTGGGGGGTAGCATTTTGTAATTTCCGTTCCAACCAGTTGAAGAGGGATTTACAAATTCTTGGAAAGATGATAATTTTTTTTCCTTTGAGCAATCTTTGGTATAACAACAGAGTTTAATTTACATAGGGATTTTTAGTACTTTGCTTATATTCTTTGTTTGTTTTTCTCCTGTAGTGTTTTCTAGAGAGGGTGAGCTGCAGGGCACATTTTAATCTTTTAAATTAGTTTTTCATGGATTCTCAACATACTTTCTCTGAGGATCCTTCAACAGCGAGGGCGGGGTACAAGCCTGGGCTTTTAGTCTTTTGGGGCCATGGGAGAATATGCAGATCTATGCAGAGTACCCTTACCAGGAGGGTTCTTTGAGGCTTCAAAGAACCCAGATCTTTGGCTAAAGTTGTTAGAAATGTCTTTTCCTTTTCAGGAGTGGTCTCTGAACTAAAGCTAGGTAATTTCAGCCAGTGCTAAGTTACCCACTTGGGTGGTCTAGTCTACTTTCATCTCCTAACTTGTTTAACTTTAATACTGAATGTGGCTTTTCGTTTCTTTTGATTAAAATTGACAAGCTGTAAAGTAAAAAAAAAAAAAACAGTAATATTGCTAGTTCTGTTTTTTTTTTTTGTTTGTTTTTTTTTTTGTTTTTTTTTTGTTTTTTTGTTTTTTTTTTTTTTGATGATCTGGCTCTGTTGCCCAGGCTGGAGTGCAGTGGTGCCATCTCGGCTCACTGCAGCCTCCCCATCCTGGGCTCAAGTCATCCTCCCATCTCAGCCTCCTGAGTAGCTGGGAATATAGGCACATGCCACTCTGCCCGGCTAATTTATGTATTTTTTGCAGAGGCAGGGTTTCGCCATGTTGCGCAGGCTGGTCTCAAACTCTTGAGCTGGGATTACAGGCATGTGCCACCGTGCCCAGCCCCAATCTAGTTTAAATATAAAACTGGAGCCAAGATATAAAAGTAAAAGAAACTTTTTTCCCTAGATAGGAAAGTTTAAAAACTTGGGAATTTAGATAGATGTGGAGGTTTAAGTTTAGATCCTACCAGTAAGTAGACTCTCCCCATGTAGCACTTGTGGTATATCTTAGCACTTTGGAGAGAAAGTTGAACTCTTTTCAGCCTTAGAAACTTGGAGGCATGTCTCATACTTCAGCTGAATGCTGGACATGTTGAATATTATACTGTGCTAGGGCTTGTGACCAACAATAAAAAGTACATTTCCTTCTTTTGAGGGATTGTAGTCTTGGTAAAATGAAGCAGTAAACTTGGTCAAGTCTAAATGACGATTGAGACAGAAGATAACATTTGTCAGTGAATTCTGTTTTGTTTTCTTAAGTCTGCACCTAACAGGAACTTAGCAATTTCCAGCCAGCTAGTAGTAATAACAACAGAAATAGCAATTGACCTTTAACACCTCGTCCAACAATGTTTAGTGGGTGGTTACTCTGTGTTAAGCATTATTCTAGAATATAGGGACACAAATGTTGGACACAGCTTGCACAGGTTTATTATGCAGGTGATGGGAAGGTTTCTGATATGACACGTGCTCTGGACCAAGGGCCTTGCATTTTAATAAGTGGAGTGAATAAAAATTTATAGCCAAATGTCATGTTGGCAGCAATGGAAGTGTGCTCCGGAGGTGACAAATGCTTTGAGGAATATAGAGTGTCTGACAGCACAATGTGAAGAAATGACAGCTGCCATCTTTGCCTGTCTTTTTCTCTGTGCTGCATTTGCTTTGCTCTTGTCACCTTTCTTAGGCTGGTTACTGGGCAGTTGGAAGAGACTGTGGAGAATTCAATTCAGTTGTTTGGCTTAGGGACATAAAATTGAACTGCATAATTCATGGATAGGTATCTGCAGCATCGTCTTCGTGCCCTGTAGAATGGGTTGACTGCCAAAGGATTTTACGATTCTAAAATCCTAACAGATTTTAACAGTTGCTTAAATATTATTTCTTGGCATATATAGCTTTTTAAGTCTGTGGGTCAAAGATAGATGTACTCATTTGAGACTTAGTGATTTGTTTTATAAGTATGTTGAATAAGTTGAGCCAGTTTGAATTGTGTCCTTCTCTTTTAAAGAAAAGATTTCCCAAATTTAAACCTGGATTTAGATGTTTTTTGGGTTAACCCTACTGAACTTTCCAAAATTTTCAGGCTTCTGGGCCTAACTCAAACTGTAATTTCATGAGGCCGGCCAAGTGATTTTTAATCTCATTTAAAAGTTACCATAAGCTCTACTTGAACCATTTGGGTTTTAGTATAATAAAAGGGCACATGTATTGGGTTTTTTATTTAGGCTATTGCAATAAAGAGAACTTTCATTAATGAAGAAAGTCTCAAAGAAAAGGCAGAAAATTTGGGGTTTTATGAAACAAGGGAGTCATTTAGGAAGGCTGGAGATATATCTTATAATATTCCAGGGCAGAGTGTCCATTGCTGCTAGCAGCAATTATTTTTAAAAAGATACTGCCAGGCTGGGTGCAGTGGCTCATGCCTGTAATCCCAGCCCTTTGGGAGGCTGAGGTGGGCTGATCACTTAAGGTTAGGAGTTTGAGACCAGCCTGGCCAACATGGTGAAACCCCGTCTCTACTAAAAATACAAAAAAATTAGCCTGGTGTGGTGGCATGTGCCTGTAATCCCAGCTACTCAGGAGGCTGAGGCAGGACAATCGCTTGAACCTGGGAGGCGGAGGTAGCAGTGAGCCAAGATCGTACCAGTGCACTCTAGCCTGGGTGACAGAGTGAGACTCTGTCTCAAAAAAAAAAAAAAAAAAAAAGAGAAAGATATTGCTGATTGCTGGGCACAGCAGTTGCTCAATGCCTGTAATCCCAGCACTTTGGGAGGCTGAGGCAGGAAGATTGCTTGAGCTCAGGGTTTGGGACCAGCCTGGGTAACATAGTGAGATCTCATCAATACTAAAAATAAAATAAATTAGCTGGGCATGATGGTGCATGCCTGTGGTACCAGCTACTCAGGAGGCTGATGTGGGAGGCTCGCTTGAGCCTAGGAGATCCAAGCTGCAGTGAGCTGTGATTGCACTTCTGTACTCCAGTCTGGGTAACAGACCGAGACCCCGTCTCAGAAAAACAAACCAAAAAACTGATATTGCTGATTAAAGCTTTCACTTGAAAGCCTCAACAGTTAATCAGAAACGTACAATTTATAATTAGTGTAAATTGAGCATAATAATTTTATTATAGCTTATCTCAGTGTATTCATTTGATGATTTAAAAATATAAATATAGGAGTTTTCATCCCTTAAATTTATGTCAGAATTTAGAGACATGTTGTATTATTCTTTGTGTTCCTCCATTTTAGGTTGATTGTATAATTTTTCCAGGTTTTAAATATATTTAGGAGATATTTATACCTTACATATGCTGTTTGGGGTATTACAAATTCTAATCCCAGAATTACTATAGATAAAACCATAAATATAAAATGATAGGGGCCTATTATCTTAGCATTTTGTTAGTCTGCTTTTAGGAACCATTTGCTATGGCTTACCAATACAATTTTCTTTCAACATTAGGATCCTCTTTCCTTGAAGAACTACAGGAAACACAAGCTCGGGAGTTATTTTACATAACAATGAGGATGAGATGTTATTTGTTTATAAGTTATTCAGTGTCTAAAAGCCTTAGGGTACCAAACATAACACAAGATAGAAAAGAAACAAATTTGCCTTGACATTTAGCTGTAAATTGAAATTAATTCATATAAAATACTGAGGTGAAACACTTCAGTTGTAGAGTTTTGCATACTGCTTAGCTTTCATGATTTTGTCACTTTAGATTTTAGTTCAAAAGTGTGCTTTTAAACTGTATAAACTCATTAGCTGCATAAAATTCTCCAGCTATCCACTTTTTCCTATATTTTCTTACTCTGCAGGTGAAAACAGCATTTTTAATATTTAACATTCTTAAGTGATCTGTTTCATGTGGATTGTTTTTCGTTTTCTTGTCCCTGGCCCTACCTCTTCTGGAGTCAGCGCAGGCTGGTGGGTGCGCTGCCAGATCTGGGTGTGCGTGTGTGGTGTCAGGATACCATTATTGGGAAATGGATGACTGCAAAACAGTGAGGCCTACTTGTAGGCAGATGACATAACCAGCAGCTCACTGAATGCCATTGCCAAGACAAATAGGTTTGAGCTCTCCCCTCTTGGTGGCTGTTCTCGTCCATGCTGAAAGTCATTGCCACCCTTGGCTCTGCTTTTCTCTAACCTGGAGGAGGTTGCTGAAATTTCTGCCCAACGGAAAAAAAAACCAAAGGGACCAAAACAGGATGTAAGCAAAGTTTTAATATTCCAAACCAGGAAATAAATGATGAAATGCAGAAAAGGCAGGGAGGAAATTCTAACTGGCACCAAGTTGGGAGGTCAGCGTCAATAGCCCACAAGACGCTGACGAGGACTTGTAGTTCCCGAAAGTTCTTTAACTTGTGTTTCTTGTGAGTTGAAGTAACACATTTTTTATTCCTTCTTCATCACCACCCTTTCTAATTCCCAGTCATCACCCTTAGTGCCCTGGGAGGGCATGCAGGAATGGCAGGAAGTGCCAGGACCTCACTTGGACAGATACCCTCGGTGGCCACCCCCTTCCAGTGTCCATGCTGTAGGCGGACCCTAGGGCCAGGCCCAGAGAGCTTTCTAAGGTGCATTTCCTCTTAAGTAAAACATAAATTAGAGAGCAGGAAAATGTTGGCTCTTGATTTTTTTTCAGGGAATTTATTTAATAAATACTATTTTAATACTAAAGATTTTTAAAAGAATGATTACCACTTTATTGCTTGCCTCTCAAGTGTGCCTTTAGCCACTGCTCTGTCTCTAGCACCTAGAACAGGGATTGGCAGTGTTAGAAGAACAACTTCAGCCAAATTAAATTTAAAGAAGTTTAAGTGAGCAACGAATGATTCACGAATTGGGTAGTCCCCAGAATCACAGCAGATTCACAGAGACTCCAGGGATGCCCTGTGGTCAGAATAAATTTATAGGCAAGAAAAGAGAAATGACATACAGAAATCGGAAGTGAGATACAGAAATAGCTGGATGGGTTACACCTTGGCATTTGCCTTATTTGGAAAAGAGTTGAACACTCAGCAGTGTATGACTGGTTGAAGCATGGCTACTGGGATTGGCCAAGACTCAGCTATTGTTACAGCTGCATACTCCTAAATTAGTTTTTCACCCTTGTCTACCTATTAGACAAGGTTGGTCCACAAGGACTCAAATATAAAAGTACAGAGTCCTTCTCAGGCTATACTTAGTTTGCTTTCACAGCAGATACTACATACCCATTAAGTTTTCATGAAATGAATGTGTGGTCCCCAGATCATCAGCCTCAGAATCTCCTAGGTGGTCATTACAAAATAACTATTGGGTACTAAGTTTAGTACCTGGGTGATGAAATAATCTGTACATCAAACCCTCATGACACGAGTTTATCCATATAACAAACCTGCACATGTATCCCTGAACCTAAAGTAAAAGTTAAAAACAACAACAAAAAAACCAAATGCAGTTTCTTGAGTCCACCCTGGCCCTTCAAAATCAGGATGTTTGGGAGAGAGCCCACAGACTCTGCATTTTAAAAAGGGCTTCCCCACCAGATCCATTGGTGCTCCCAGATTTGAGCACTCTTGCCCTACGGACACACCACTTGTTTCCAATTTCCTTGTTGCTTTTCATATATGTTGTAACGTGATGGATGAATTTGGTTCCCGTCCTCTATTTCATGCCCCATCACAGCAATATTATGTAATGGATATCCTCAATATAATGAATGAATGCTAATATTACATAATGAATATTTGCCTGGTTGTTATATTTTAATGCTGTCGGACAAAATTGACACTCTCTTTATTACCTAACCATTTCCCTATTGTTGGGTTATCCACCTCTCTACCCCAACTATCTTCCCTTATTCTGTAATGCTGCAAAGAGTATGAAATTTAGACATATATCTTTGTTTTATTTTTTAGCTATTTCCTTGGTGAGCTGGTCATACTTCTAGAAGTTTCTTGCACACAGGAGATCTAATATCCAAAGGACTCCCTTCATGGCTCCCTCCCTCCGTCCCTTCCTTTTCCTTCCTTCTGTTCTTTCTCTCTTTTGCTCTTCCTTTCCTTAGTTCTTTTTCTCAAAAAAAGGCATTGGAAAGCTATTAGCATTTAAATAGCACTTTATTTTTTTTTCCCTTGAGATAGGGTCTTGCTCTGTTGCCCAGGCTGGAGTGCAGTGCTATGAGCATGTCTTACTGCATCTTCAACTTCCTGGGCTCAAACTATCCTCCAACCTCAGCCTCTCGAGCAGCTAGGACTACAGGCACGTACCCCACATCCATCTCATTTTTTTATTTTTATTTTTTGTAGAGATAGAGTCTCGCTATGTTGCCCAGGCTGGTCTTGAACTCCTGGGCTCAAGCTGTCCTGCCTCTGCCTTCCAAAGGGCTGGGATTACAGGCCTGAGCCATTGCACCTAGCTGAGCACTTTCAATTTCTGCTATCTTGCCTGCTTAACAAGTAACATTCCCTTTTAAGGGAAAAATAATCCAGGGTCACTTTTTATTAAATTTTACTAAGAAATGGCAAAACTGCTTAATGGAGTTGAACCAGGATTCTTAAACAGCTACTTGAGTTAGGCACAGAGTTAGGCACTTTTAGATTCAGTCAGAAAGAATGTTTTTTTCCTGGAACTCAACTTTTTTCATTTGAGAAATATGAAAATTGGCCCACAAGCTATATGATGCTGCCCTGTCACAGTGGAGGAAAACAATGCCCAGTTCACAAATAAGTTTTGAGTTCTGTAGAATGAATATATTTCTTAATTGCAGGATATCTAATGACTTGTACTGTTGTTAAGGTGTACAAAGTAAGGCTTTCTCAAACTTTCTTGAACATGAAACTCTTTAATATGTTGTGATACTGCTTCTCTACAGAATATTCTTCTTGGAATACTCATCTAAAGCAGTGTTTTTCAAATTGTAGGACAAGATTAGTGACTGTAGTGAAATCTGTACTGTGGATTACAAACCAGAATCTATATACACACATATATATATACACACACACACACACAATCACACACACAATTAGTGCATCACATATAGTAGGGTATTGTTTCCTGAGAAGTTTTTTTTTTTTTTGAGATGGAGTCTCGCACTGTCACCTGGGCTGGAGTGCAGTGATGATCTTGGCTCACTGCAAGCTCCGCCTCCCGGGTTCAAGCGATTCTCCTGCCTCAGCCTCCCGACTAGCCGGGATTACAGGCGCCTGCCACCACGCCCAGCTAATTTTTTGTATTTTTAGTAGAGACAGGGTTTCACGATGTTGGCCAGGCTGGTCTCAAACTCCTGACCTCGTGATCTGCCCACCTTGGCCTCCCAAAGTGCTGGGATTACAGGTGTGAGCCACTGTGCCTGGCCCTGAGATGATTTTCTTTTTTCTAGGGCATGAGTGAAGGTTCAGAGAGAAAAAGGGACATTTTCAAAGAATGTTTCTCCATCTTCTCCCAGCAAAAGAAACACAGAACAAAACAAAAATACAGCCAATCTGGCACGACGAATGCAACTGTAAACATTATAATTTCTCCATCAAATAACAAGAGTTATATAGATTGTATTTGTTTAACAAGCACTTATATACCACTTGCTATATATAAACAGTATTGTGAACATTTTACAAATTTGTTTTCTTTTGAGACAGAGTCTCCCTCCACCACCCAGGCTGGAGTGCAGTGGCATGATCTCGGCTCACTGCAACCTCCACCTCCCGAGTTCAAGGGATTCTCTTGCCTCAGCCTCCCGAGTAGATGGGATTACAGGTGCACACCACCACGCCCAGCTCATTTTTGTATTTTTAGTAGAGATGGGGTTTCACCCTATTGGCCAGGCTGGTCTCGAACTCCCAACCTCTTGTTATCTGTCTGGTTTGGCCTCCTACTAAAGTGTAGGGATTATAGGGGTGAGCCACCGCACCTGGTCGCATTTTACAAATACTGATCCTCAAAATAAAATTTGATCTGCATAACAACCCTCTAGGGTGTAGGTGCTATTATCTGCCTTTATGGATGAGGAAAGTGAGGCACTTGCTAACATTCTGTATGATATACTTAACTGTAAAATCAGAAAGTGACAGTAATCATTAGAACTTTGACCTCATATTTAACAGTGGTAGTTAGAAACCAAAAAGGGAGCCAACCCTTTTATATTAGAGTCGGGATCATGCCAAATGTTTTTTCTGGCCCCCGGGTAATGGGGCTGGGAGACCAAGAAAATCATGTCCAAATCCCAGAATGATCAACTGTCTGTTTGAGGCTACTAAAAGATAGTAGTTCTCCAGAGCACAGATAAAACGTCTTCAGATATCATTTGCTCATTACTGGGCAAAGCATGTGAAAGCCAATCACTCTCAGTAAGGAATTCTTTTGGTTTACAACTGAATATTTCACTAATGTCAGGATTTCTCCTTTTGGTGGTTTTGTATGTGTTTTTTTTTTTTCTGCAAATGGTATTATATTAGCCATTAAAGTAACACTTCTCTCAGACTGTGCTGTGCATATAGCAACATGCTGTGTGGTAAAGCTCCTGGTCACAGGTCAGGAAGGAAAATGGCATTTTCTAAGAAAGCTAAGGCTGGGTATGGTGGCTCACGCCTATAATCCCAGCATTTTGGGAGGCCAAGGCAGGCGGATCACTTGAGCCCAGGAGTTCAAGACCAACCTGGGCAACACGGCGAAACCCCTGTCTCTACAAAAAATAAAAATAGTTGGGATGATGGCTCATGCCTGTAGTCCCAGCTTCAGGAGGCTGAGGTGGGAAGATTAATGGAGCCCGGGAGGCAGAGGCTGCAGTGAGCCAAGATTCCACCACTGCACTCCAGCCTGGTCAGCAGAGTGAGACCCTGTTCCAAACAACAGCAGCAACAACAACAACAGAAAGTTAATACTTTTCCTTTAATGCCTGAAAGCCATTGGGAAACAGTTCTTATTTCTGAGGATGTTATTTTCTTCATTTATGAGAGAAGCCAAACTCAAGAGCTTTAGACTTTAAAGTTGGGGTTTTCATTTCAGTGGTGTTCAAATAGCAGTGGTTCTTAAGGGGAGGTGGGGGTGGGGATGTTGTCCCCATAGGGGACAGTTCACAATCTAGACTTATTTTTGGTTGTCAAAACTGGGAGAGTGCTACTGCATCTACAGGGTAGAGGCCAGGGATACTGCTTCAACATCCTACAGTGCACAGAAGCAATAACTAGCGCCAAATGTCAATAGTACCAAGGCTGAGGAAGCCTACTTTGGAGCAATCTGATGCCGTTTTGTATTAGTGAACTGTCTTGGTTTTAACTAGGGGCAATATAATTCTTTTTTTTTTTTTGAGACGGAGTCTTGCTGTGTCACCTAGGCTGGAGTGCAGTGGCTCAATCTCGGCTCACTGCAACCTCCACCTCCTGGGTTCAAGCTATTCTCCTGCCTCAGCCTCCCAAGTAGCTGGGATTACAGGCACCTGCTACCATGCTCAGCTAATTTTTGTAGTTTTTAGTAGAGATGGGGTTTCACCATGTTGGCCAGGCTGGTCTCGAACTCCTGACCTCAGGTGATCCGCCCACCTCAGCCTCCCAAAGTGCTGGGATTACAGGCATGAGCCACCGTGCCCGGCAGGGGCAATATAATTATAATTCTTTGTACCTTGGTTCCATTTATAGTTTTTTTCTTGAATACTGTTTCATGTGAAATTACAAATTTTGAGGGTGGAAGCAGGGGAGGGAAGAGGTGACATCTGGTGTCAGTTGCCAGGAAAACTGTAATACCTCTTAGAGTTTCCCTAATTGAATATGACGGGATGGTTTAAGGTTTGGGGTTTGTGAGGAGTTGAGAGATCTTCCACTGAAACGTGCTATGAACAAACTAAATCATGGTTAATACCTTGTGGGTTGCCTCTGGATTGTGCAGTCTGATACGCACTTTGGTTACATTTATTTTGTTTACTCCTTGTAGTAGTTCCATAAAATTCAGAATGTTACCAATACTAAAGCTGAGGAAACAATCTCAGTAGAAAAGTAATGGGACCCGTGTTATAGACTGAATGTGAATCTCCCCAAAATTTATATGTTGAAATCATAACCCTCAATGTGATGGTGTAAGGAAGTGGGACTGTTGGAACCTTTGGGAGGTATTTAGATCATAGGGGTGGAGCCCTCATGAATGGGATTAGTGCTCTTATAAAACAGACCCCAGAGAGCTTTCTCACTTTCTTTTCTGCCACGTGAAGATACAGTGAGAAGATGGCAGTCCATATCCCAGAAGAGGGTCCTCAGCAGAATCTGACTGTGCTGGAACCCTGATCTTAGACTTCAGCCTCCAGAGCTCTGGGAAATAAATTTCTGTTATTTATAAGTGACTCAGTCTATGATATTTCGTTATAGCAACATGAACGGACTAAAACATCCCCTAATTTCTTGTGAGAGTGTGGCATACAGAGTAAATTCTTTGAGCAGCCATTCCTAGTATTGCTTTCCCTAAGCGCTCTCTGCTTTGCTTGGAATAAGAGGTAGGAGGGTTTGGAGAACACTCCCCTGGGTGTTATTCTAGTGCTTCACTGCTTTCCCTCTTAAAGGGCGGCCTAGCCTAGCTCCTGGCACATGTTTGCCAGTGATGTAGAAATTCTGTTTCTAAGGATTAAAGAGGTAGGGATGAAAATAATTAGGCAACTTGCAGCCTCTGCCACACTCATATTTCAAGATTCTTCTTTGATTTTTTTCATTTTAGTCACTTAATGATTCTTCCTTCTTGTTTTATTCTTCCTTGATCTCCAGGGACTGTAAAACAATCCAGAAACTTAGTAATATTATGAACAAGCATTTATCAGCTGGCCACAATGTGCTTATTAATGTTCAAATACTATGAGGAATGTCAGCTTTGCTCCCCAAACCTTGTTAGACTCAAACCCTCATGAGACTTGATACCATGACTACTAATGTCCTTTTATTCCCCAAATCGATTTCCCTTTCCTTTCTTACTGGGTTTTAGATGCAGATGACACAGTCCAGGGAAGATCGGAGGGCCTGTCTGAGTATGGAGAAGTACGAGCTGGTATTTTATATAGCCTATGACACTCCTACTTAATGACTTAGATGGGCTCATAATTTCACATTCACCATTGAAATATTTTTTCTGAAGTTAGAAAATGAACCATCGTTAGGGCTATTTGACAATATTTCTTTGGGATACTTTTCCTCATTCAGTTTGTTTATGAGTAATTTAAGATCCACTGTCATCATCTACATTTAGCTGTTGGTAATTTGTGCGGAGTTCACATTGAGTTATTGATTTTACCCCCTACAGTGTAAACATGAAAGACTATGAAATAATGATCTTGCTGGTGAAATGTTTGTATATTTTTTAATAATGAGGACTAAACATTTGGCTGTATGAGTCTTCCTGCCCATAGGAATAGAAATGTGGAAACCTGCAGGAGATACAAAAGGCATTTTTTTTAAAAAAGGGAAATAGAAAGACTCTTCATGTACAACTGTAGGGCCACAATAACTTCAAAAGAATTTATTTCATTGATGACTTAGTAGCCCATTTAATGCATAATCCATGTTAGTTCAAAGTAAACTAGTTTATGTGTTTTTCTTTTTCTTTAGCAATATAATTTTAATAAATTGATTTTGGGATGGGGGCGCAAACGAATTACTAGTGCTAGTGTTTTACTCTAGTGGCTGAGGTCTCCTAAATTAATGAGTTAAACAGGACAGGATATAGCATCAGAAGAGAGTTCCTGCTGTTTACCTACAATGGTTGCATCCTCACTAAAAAAATATGCACTGCCCTCTGCTACAAAGACACCCACCAGTTCTTTTGTCTTTGAGGACTGTTTCCCCTTGTGCTCTGCCAGTCTATCACAATAAAATGATTTCAGTGATGTGGTCTCATTGCAGGAAATGTTTAATGAGTCTCAGGAAAACTATAAATAAATCTTAGGTCATTGTTACACCGAAGAACATCTTCAGGCCTTAGATAATTAGGATGTCCCGCCTAGGTTTATTACGAGAAATCTTCATTCAAAGAGGTGCATGCTTGATACTTTATTTTAATTTATTTTATTCTGGGCTTTAAATTGTCCTGTCTCAGTGCGGAAAAGGAAGAAGTGTCAAGTCTCTTGGCGAGTAGGGAGGTTGTCATTTTTAACAATGTCCTTATAAGATGGAGGGGACATTCAGAGGTTGGTCATCTTGTCCATCTCCAGCCTGCAAATATTAATAGTACTCGAATCACCTTGAACAGATAAGTGAGAACAGAGCTTGTTGTTAAAGGTCCTTAAAGACCTTTATTTATATTAAGTTAATATATTTAATATAATATTTATATTAGTTCATTTAATATATTTATATTAATTTATTTAGTATAATTATGTTAATATATTATAATATTCATATTAATTTAATATAACATTTACATTAAAGCACATTTCAAAATTGTTTCCCCAAGTAACATTTTAGTTAACTTAAATGGAAAGAAACTGTTCCTATCCACTGACCTAATTCTTTATTTCTCATGGAAGCTCTATTTTTATTTGTAGCTTAGGTAATTGAAGAATGTTCTTGGTAGCTTGAAGTCTGTCTTCCTTGTATGCACTTGGATTTGATAGGAAGAGTGATCATATTGACCCATAATATGGAATATACTTTTTAAGGTCAAGTTATCTGGTCAGCCATTTATTTCCTAATAGAGTATTGCTTGATCCGTATTCTCTTGATTCTGATAATGTCTCTTTTTCTTTTTTTATAAAAGTACATTAAAAAAATAAATGCCATATTTTATTTTCCAACAAACGGAATGATAGCCTGATTAATTCTTATTTGGGCTGGAGTAATCATCTAACAGAACAATGTCCCTTAGGCAAAATCTTACTTAATTTTGGTGTAGTTTCATTACTTATCTCTTTCCCTTTTTTTGGTGTCAAACCTTACTGTCTGCAGTGGCTCTTCTGCTTGTCAGAAGTTAATTAAGTTGTAACTAAAAAAACCCCAAAAAACCCACAAAATAAAAGAAGTGGCTTAAAAATTCTATTTAGCAGGTTAGGCATAGCCAGTTGTGCTTGTGCTTATCCAAAGCAAGCCACCTAGCAAACACACATGCACCCTGATGGCTTCACACCGCAGAGGCTGCCGGTGCCTGTGGTCAGACCATCATCCACAAATTGCTTCACCAGGGGAGTGCTCTCAGCCCCTGACACAACCTCTCTCTTTCTCTGTGGGCCTGTGGGCCACCTCCAGGAAAAACCTGACTTCTAAACAATTTCCTGGTGAGCCAGCTGGGGAAGGAGAGGATTTCCGTAGCTGAACACTGAGCACGGCCATTCAAAACAGACAAAGCTAGCAAGCGTTGGAAATCTGAGGCAAAAGGGCAAGGGAGAAGTGTCAGGGTGGGGCTGGCTGAGGTCTGCAAATAGGCTGCAAGAGTTTTCAAGGTGTTTGTCAGGCTGCCATTCTTTTGACAGCTCTTCAAAATCTCAAACAGTAATAACTTGCTATTGGAATTCAGATTTCAGAACATAGGCCTCCTTGTCTATTGCTAGTTTATTTCCCTGATGAGATTCTCTTCCTGGGACAGTGGGTGTGGTGTAGGGTTTGCTCTTGGTAAGCTATACAAAATTGTTAATCATCAGGAGGAGATACTGTCTGTGGAGAAAATTAGGTAGAGATTAAAACAACCACCACCACCACCATCACCACCACCACCACCATCACCACCACCACCACCATCACCATCACCACCACCATCACCACCACCACCACCAACAACAACAACAACAACTTTGAACCTGAGCTCAGTGGCGCACACCTGTAGCCCCAGCTACTCAGGAGGCTGAGGTGGGAGGATTGCTTGAGTCCAGGAGTTTGAAATTGCAGTGAGCTGTGATTGTGCTACTGTACTCCAGCCTCGATGGCAGAGTGAGACCCTGTCTACACACACACCACACAGATACACACACACCCCGCACGAGACTTTGAAGGTGTAAGGTACTTTGGAGATTGCCCTCTTCTATAACTAACATATTAAAATGTACCCACCTTCCTGATGAAATATAATATATATATATCTACATAAGATTTTTTTTTTTTTTTGAGAGGGAGTCTCTGTCACCCAGGCTGGAGTGCAGTGGTGTGATCTTGGCCCACTGCCTGAGTAGCTGGGATTACAGGCGTGTACCAGCCACACCCAGCTAATTTTTGTATTTTTAGTAGAGACGGGGTTTCGCCATGTTGGCCAGGCTGGTCTCGAACTCCTGCCCTCAGGTGATCGGTATGCCTCAGCCTCCCAAAGTGCTGGGATTATAGACGTGAGCCACTACACCTGGTCACTACCTAGGAATTTTTGATTTGCAGTTGACTTGCTGTGGGTTACGCTTAGGAATTTTGATTCTGCTGTTTCTCTTTGTATTTTGCAGTCAGTTCCCTTCCTCCCACCATATTCCTGTTATTTCTAGGGCCTTGGGAGGTTTGTTGGCATAGGTACTGTGTCTGTGGTACTAATGGATTATGTCAGTCTGTTCTTAAAACCCTTCCATGGCTTTCCATTGATTTTAGGATGAAGGTCAGTTGAAGTCCTTAACCTGGTCCTGTGTGTTGTGGCTTTTTTCTGTCTGCTGCCTAACAAAGCCCCCAGGCTTAGTAGCTTTAAAGAAAACCAATGATTTGTTATTGCTCATCATTTTGTGAGTTGGCCAGATAGTTCTTAGGCTGGTTTCACCTGGGCTTACTCATCTGCCGAGTTCACCTGGGTGGTGGTTGAGCTGGAAGTTCTGATGTGACTTCCTTCACATGTCTCTGGCCTTGGTACTGGCTGTCCTCTGAGGCACCTTGGTGTCTTTTCCACAATGGTTTATTTTCCTCCAGTAGGCTAGACTGGCTTCCTTATTTGGCAGTTTCAGGGCAGCATTTCAAAAGCAGGAAGGTGGAAGTGGCAAGGCCCCTTGAGGCCCTTTCTTCAGAGCTCACACAGTGTCACCTTTACCACATTCTATTGGTCAAAGCAACTTCCAGGCCAGCCAAAATTCAAAGGGTGAGGTAGTAGACTCTACCTCTTTTTTCTTTGAGACAGAATTGCGCTCTATTGCCCACTCTGGAGTGCAGTAGCAGCCTCATGGCTCACTGCAGCCTCAACCTCCTGGGCTCAAGCGATCCTTCCATCTCAGCCTCCCGAGTAGCTAGGACCACAGGCACATACCACCACAGTCAGCTAATTAAAACATTTTTTTTGGTAGAGATGGGTTCTCACTTTTTTGCCCAGGCTGATCATGAACTCCTGCCCACCTCGGCCTTCCAAAGTGAACCACCATGCCTGACCTCTACCTCTTGATGGAGTTTGCTGCAGAGAATTCAATCTACAAAACCATTCTTCTTATTCATTCCACATGCCCCCTTTTGTTCAACATTGTAATCACTAAACCTCTTTCAGTTCTTTAAACTCACCTTGTTCTCCAGCTTTTGGCCTGAAAACATGTGTTTCTCTCCACCTGAAATATTCTTTCTTGCCTGTTTTTTCTAGCTGACTGCTATACATAGTTTAGGTTTTAGCTTCAATGTCATTTACTAAGGATATTCTTCCTTTCCAAACACCCTAGATTTGGGGAACTGTAACCTCTCTTCTTTGATCGAATAGTTCCCTATGCTTTCCTTGTCATAATAGCACTAATCATTCCTTTACTGGAATGTTTACTTTTTGTTTTTGTTTTGTCTTTCCTGATAAAGGCAGGACTGGTATCTGTGTTGTTCTTTACTGTGTTTGTACCAACCACAGTGGCTTACTATAGATAGGATTAAATAAATACTTGTGCAATGCAGATTAAATTGGTGCAGATTACTTATTGATGTTTGCTCACAAGAGGATTTCAATGTTCCCCTTTGGAATGTCCCACCACAACCTCCCCTTAAAAAAAAAAAAAAACAACAACTTTTTCTTCTCAGCCCACAATCTGGCACCATTAAATGGCCCAATATAAGAGGGACTCGGTTTTATAATTAGGTTGGGAGCCTTTTTCTTAAATGTACTGCACCACAATCTGGCACCATTAAATGGCCCAATATAAGAGGGACTCGGTTTTATAATTAGGTTGGGAGCCTTTTTCTTAAATGTACTGCACCATTAGTCCTGTTAAATCACTTGCTAACATCAAATGAATGTTTGGAAAAAGTCCTACTTGTAGTCTATAAAATAGATGGTTAAAGATGCCACCTGAAGGTAAGCCTTTATTTGTAAAGAACAGAGAAAGATTTTCCCCTGCTTTATCCGACCTATTGTTTCTTCTTTTTCTGAACCTCTGTTGTATTTAGAATCATGCCTATAATCCTACCATTTTGGGAGGCTGAGACAGGAGGATCCCTGGAGGCCAGGAGTTTGAGACCAGCCTGGGCAACCCAGCAAGATCCTCTCCCTATCTTAAAAAAAAAAAAATGGTAAAATATATTAAAAAAAAAAGAATCAGTTCATTACCCTAATTACCCTCTAATTATTCTTGTGCACATCTTGGTGTCTCACCTAGATTCACCTCTTTGAAGGAATAGGGATTTGTTTTTGTTTTTGTTTTTTGTTTGAGACAGAGTCTCGCTCTGTCGTGCCCAGGCTGGAGTGCAGTGGCGCGATCTCAGCTCACTGCAACCTTCGCAGTTCAAGTGATTCTCCTGCCTCAGCCTCCCGAGTAGCTGGGATTACAGATGCCCACCACCAAGCCCAGCTAATTTTTTGTATTTTTAGTAGAGATGGGGTTTCACCATGTTGGTCAGGCTGGTCTCGAACTCCTGACCTCAGGTAATCTGCCCACCTCGGCCTCCCAAAGTGCTGGGATTATAGGCATGAGCCCCCGCACCTGACCGGAATGGGGATATGTTTATAATACATTTATTTGCTGCTGTGCATACATATGATGATAAACAATTAATAAAATAGGCTCATTTAAGATATCTTTCTTCTTTTACTCCGAATACTATATTTAGTGTAACTTTGGAGTTTCAAGGAGTATCTATCCTAATCTAGCCAATTGTAGCTAGCCTCCAAGACCCCTCCTCTCCTCCCAATAATTTTCACCTCCATATATTCATGGCCTTGTATGGACTCCTCCTAAGCTGAGTAGGACTGACATTCAAGCCAACAGTATGTGGTAGAAATGGCACAGTATTGTTCCCAAGGCTAGGTCGTAACAGAATTGTGGCTTCTGCCTTGCTTTCTTGGATCTGTCACTCTGGGGAAGGCTAGCTGCTATAGTATGAGGACAGACAAGCAACCAATGAGAAAGGTCCACGTAGCATGGAACCAGGGTCTCTCATCAGCAGCCATATTAGTGAACCATTTTAGAAGCAGAAGCAGATCCCTCAGCCCCAGTCAAGCCTTCAGATGAGTGCAGCCCTGACCAATATTTTGATTGCAACCACATGAGATCCTGAGCCACGAACTAAACTGTTCCTTACTTGTAGAAACTCTGTGAGATAATAAATGCTTATTGTTTTAGGCCACTGCACTTCAGCCATTTTGCATTCTCTCTGGACTCCAAGGCTAAGATATGGCTTTTGTCTTCAAGTGGATTAATATTGAGTTTAGTCCTGGAACAGGTTCTTTCAGCCATACACACTTAAACAAAATACTTATTGAAACAAGTATAACTGTAAGCTTCCCTGAATGCCTGATTTTCAATGGAGCATTTGGTCTTAGGTGCTGCCTAGAGGCAGATGGTATTCTCTTTCATATCAAGATTTAAACTTTGAAAAGATAGGACTGTTAAGTAAATGTAGTCTGGTATAGAGTAATGTAGCATCATACTTTATTTAAACATAATTATGAATCAGCTTTGGTTGCAAGTAATAGCCTAAGCAGGAAGGATAATTTATTATCTAGAGACGGCAAAGTCTCATGGAACCCAAGGGGAAGGATGGAGAGGGCCTCATGAAGGATCTTCTTTCCTCTGATTATGTTTCTTTCTATAGATGGGCTTTCTCTGATTTTCCATCTACGAGGTGGAATTTGGAAGCCCCTTTGGCTCTCTTATTATATGATGGCTTTAGTCACAGAGAGTTTCTGTGGTTTAGCTTCCTGGAAAGAGAGAATTTCATAGGTAGAGCTTCAATTAGGTGCCGATGCCTAAGGCAATCAGCCATTGCTGGGGTGGGTGGAACTCTAGGGCTGCCCGGAGCTTTTTTCTGTTGATGGTATATATATGTTCGGGATGGTGGGAATGCTGAAGGGGATTGTGTTCCAAAGAAGAAACCTAGGGGGCAGACACATACCTCAAAGTTACCTGCTATGGGAGAGAGCAGTTTTAGAAAACATATTACCTAATCTTTCTTTTTTATTTTTGTTTCGTGAAACTGAGTTTCACTCTGTCGCTTAGGCTGGAGTGCAGTGGTGTGATCTCAGCTCACTGCAACCCCCGCCTCCCAGGTTCAAGTAATTTGAAAAGAACATAATCCATAGTCTTCGAACAGACCTTGTTTGCATTATTTTATGTTGGTTGGGAGAGAAAATGTGCAAGAAAATAATCTACAAGTCGTATCAGAAGAGTGCAAGTTCAAGGCATTCTGTCCTAACAAATAAAACAGTTTAGTGAAGTATTTTGAAATATTTGTAAGCATTTGTGTCCACAAACATTAGAAAACTCGATACGATTTTTTCCCCTGTTTCCATGTGTTTGGATTTTCAATCTGTTGATTTATCTCTGTGGCTGATTTTCTGGACTATTTGGTAACTCCAAGTTTCAGGAAAGTATTTAAAAATGTGATAGTATTACAATGGAGAGCAGGTAGTTTGGTGTCATCAAGCTTTTCTATGAGTTGGCGTATACACTTACCCTTCTCTAGTCACAGTGCAATAAAAAATATAGGTAGTGATTTTCATTGGTTTCCAATGATCTGTTTCATTTGAACCCACAATTGGGTTCAAATCCACATGTAATGGCAGGTTTTCATATGCCACAGAGAGGAATAATAGCGGAACTGTTTTTTTACCCTGTAATATAAGTTGAAGAGAGCACAAGAATGCAAGTGGACTTTTACTGTTGTTGTTGAGACAAGGTCTTTCTCTGTCACCTGGGCTAGAGTGCAGTAGCACAATCTCGGCCCACTGCAACCTTGACTTCTGGGCTCAAATGATCCTCCCACCTCAGCCTCCCAAGTAGCAGGGACTACAGTGTCTGCCACCACACCTGGCTAATTTTTGTATTTTTTATAGACACAGGGCTTCGCCATGTTGCCCTGGCTGGTCTGGAACTCCTGTGTTCAAGCTGTTACTGGAAAGGGGTCTCGATCTAGACCTCAAGAGAGGGTTCTTGGATCTCACATAAGAACTTGAGGCAAATCCACAAAGTGAAAGGATGTTTATTAAGAAAGCAAGGGAGGGCCGGGTGCGGTGGCTCATGCCTGTAATCTCAGCACTTTGGGAGGCTGAGGCGGGTGGATCACGAGGTCAACAGATTGAGACCATCCTGGCTAACACAGTGAAACCTCATCTCTACTAAAAAATATAAACAATCAGCTGGGCGTGGTGGCACGCTCCTGTAGTCTCAGCTACTCGGGAGGCTGAGACAGGAGAATGGCTTGAACCTGGCAGGTGGAGGTTGCAGTGAACCAAGACTGTGCCACTGCACTCTACCCTGGGACACAGAGTGAGGCTCTATCTCAAAAAAAAAAAGAAGCAAGCAATGGAGTAAAAGAATAGCTACTTCGTAGGCAGAGCAGAAGCATGGACTGATTGTTGGCTATTTTTATGTTTACTTCTTGATTATATGCTAAACAAGGGGTGGATTATTCATGAGTTTTCCAGGAAAGGGGCGGGCAATTCCCAGAGCTGAGGGTTCTTCCCTTTTTAGACCATATACGGTAACTTCCTGACGTTGCCATGGCATTTGTACACTGTCAGGACACTGGTGGGAGTGTCTTTTAGCCTTCTAATGCATTATAATAAGCATATAATGAGCAGTTAGGAGGACCAGAGGTCACTTGCGTTATCATCTTGGTTTTGGTGGGTTTTGGCTGGCTTCTTTACCGCAACCTGTTTAATCAGCAAGGTCTTTGTGACCTGTTTCTTGTGCCGACCAATCTGATCCTGTAACTTAGAATGCCCAACCTCCTGGGAATGCAGCCCAGTAGGTATCAGCCTCATTTTACCTAGCCCCTATTCAAGATGGAGTTGCTGTGGTTCAAACACCTCTGACAAAGTGATCTGCCTGCCTCTGCCTCCCAAAGTGCTGGAACCACAGGTGTGAGCCACCGTGCCTGGCCACAAGTGGACATTTTGATAAATACGTCTCCATCTTATTTGGGGAAGTTAGTAGTAAAGACTGAGACACAATGGAAAGACCTTGGTTTTTCCTTTAGATACAAATAACATTTTTTTTTTTTTTTTTTTTTTTTTTGAGACGGAGTCTTGCTCTTTCGCCCAGGCTGGAGTGCAGTGGCGCTATCTCGGCTCACTGCAAGCTCCGCCTCCCGGGTTCACGTCATTCTCCTGCCTCAGCCCCCTGAGTAGCCGGGACTACAGGCGCCCGCCACTGCGCCCGACTAATTTTTTGTATTTTCAGTAGAGACAGGGTTTCACCGTGTTAGCCAGGATGGTCTCGATCTCCTGACCTGGTGATCCACCCGCCTCGGCCTCCCAAAGTGCTGGGATTACAGGTGTGAGCCAACGCGCCCGGCCTAGAAATATAATTTTTAATGTGATTTGCCCTTCTAGGAAAGCTGTGAGATACACAGGGGAAGTATTTTCCTCTTTGGCTGATAAAGGAAACTGCAACTTGGTTCAAGTGACTTGCCCAAAGTTTCATAACTCTTAGTAAAAGTCAAAGAATGGATTAGACCCCAGAATTTCTCCCCAGCCCACTCTCCATTCCACAGGCCTTTGGTGTAACTCAGCTTCTTACCCTGAATTATTACCATGGATTGATTTGCTCTTTGAGGCCCTTTTGTTTGTGGGCATTTGTTGGAGTTTTAAACTTTTATGGCTTTTGTGCCCCGAAAGGGTCTCAAGTTATTCAAGATAGAATTATCTAGTATCTTATGTGGATTGCATTGTTGAATTCTTGACGTAAAAATCTTCCTTGGCTGGGCGCGGTGGCTCACGCCTGTAATCCCAGCACTTTGGGAGGCCGAGGTGGGTGGATCACGAGGTCAGGAGATCGAGACCATCCTGGCCAATATGGTGAAACCCCATCTCTACTAAAAATACAAAAATTAGCTGGGCATGGTAGTTGGGGGTCCCAGCTACTTGGGAGGCTGAGGCAGGAGAATCGCTTGAACCTGGGAGGTGGAGGTTGCAGTAAGCTGAGATCGCGCCACTGCACTCCAGCATGGTGACAGAGCGAGACTCGGTCTCAAAAAAAAAAAAATCATCCTTGATATCTGCATGTGTGATGACTGAGTTTTTGTCAATTTTAGAAAGCCTACATATGAAATGAATTTGAGTTAGATTGAGGAGAAAGGATGAAAGGATGAATGAGGTATATAGATAGGTTGTCCCAAACAGGGGTGCTCTACAAACAGGTTCATTGTCACAGGTTTTTTTCTTTTTTCTTTTTTTTTGCGGCATTGTCTCCCTTTGTCACTCAGGCTGGGGTGCACCGGCAGGATCATGGCTCACTGCAGCCTCGACCTGCTGGGCTTAAGTGATCCCTCCCGCTTCGGCTTCCCAAACTGGTGGATTATAGGTGTGAGTCTCTGTGGTTCTGGGCCTGCTTTTTTCATTAAATAAGCTGAAAGCATCAATGATAGCCTCTTATGTCCTGCCCACCCATTATCATTGTATCTCAGAAAACTCATGCTAATTGCATTTTTAATTAAAACTGTTTCAGTCATCTTCGGGGTCCTTTTGAAGTACAGAGAAGGTTTCATTATTTTGCTTAGAGGCTGAAATAATGGGCACCCTGCAAGGTGTGGTTTTCCTTATGTAACAGCTCTCATTGTGGTTGCATTTTTATTTGAAAACGTAGGTTTTAAAAGGGAAACTACACATTTCATATTTAAAAGAAGGCATTGACCCATTTTCTCTAGTGATTAGAACCGTGGAAATTAGACTTAATGTAGTTTGACATGTACTATAGAATTTTAGTCTTTCGGCTGAAAGGAAACAATGGAATACAGCAACTAACTCAAAGTTACTTGCTTGCCACCGTGACAATGTTGAGAGATGTAGTTGAGATTCCTGCCCTCATAGAGCAGTTGAGGCCAGCGGAAAAGCAATACATTGATTTCATCTCATGTGCTCCTGACAAATGAGGTCATCCAGTTTCTGTTGAAACAATGGTACCAGTTCAATATCTGAAAAACTTTCTTTAAGTTCATTCTTATATTCTTGTTGCCTCAAGTTCTCAGAGCAAGTGCAATCAGTGCTAGTTAATGGTTAAGAACCAGCTCTGGGCAGGGAGCACTGATTGTAGTGTTTGCCAATTTCCTTTGTATAAATGCTCCCTCCACGGCCAGTATTAAGTGACCACTGTAAACTCAGTGAACCTAGTATTGGGAGGAGTTGCACACAGTTGGCTGTCTGGTGTTAATATGTATCAGTCATTGCTCTACACACCAGGGGTGCATCAGTGAACACTGCTGTAAAAAAATCCTTGTCTTCATGGAGTGGGGCCGAAAATAAATTCATGTAAAAGTAACTCGTGTTGCATATTAGGAGGTGAAAATTCTAAGAAAAAAAAGAACAGAGTGAGGGGGATTATGTATACTGAAGGGACTTGGGTTGCAATTTTAAGTAGGGTGATCATATTCCTCAAGTGGCTTAATTTTCAGATACTCATCATTCTTGATTGCTTTTTCTGAAAAGGACATGCTGTGTTAAGTAGTTGATTTTCCTGAGCGCCAGGTGTGGTCTGCTTGGCTCACTGTGAGGACAGGATCTCCCTTCCCTTGATTCAATCCCTGACAGGTTAGGAATGAGCCTAAGAGTCCCTTCTCTCACCTCAGAACCCTGTCATACTCTTGGCTGATGTTGATCTTGTGGTCAGCCCAAACCACAGTCCCTTTCCACAGGAACTGCCAGCCAAGCCAGGTTTTCCTCATTGTATCATTTTACCAATGATTGATTGAACCTAAAAGCAGTACTTTACATTGATAGCTTTGATTTCTCATTATGTAAAAAACCTACAGAAGCACCCTGATTTCTTGGCAAATAAATCTGCATTTGTGACATCCTTAGTTGTTAATGCTGCTTGAAGCAATGTTTTCCAGTGTGGGACCACCTGTGATGGGTGAGGGCATTGGGAGCAGTTCACACTTGTGGCATTAAATGGCTTTGGATCCTGCAATGAGACAGACCCTTTGCAGGTCACATTCAGTGGGCGTGATTATGTGGTGGAGAAAATGTTAGTTTGGTGCCTGTGAGTCTTTAATATCTTCTTGCACTAGCAAATCTACCTTTTCAGGAGATGAAAAGGCAGAGTTGTTACCGGAAAGGGGTCCCCATCCAGACCCCAAGAGAGGGTCCCTGGATCTTGCACAAGAAAGAATTTGAGGCGAATTCATAGAGTAAAATGAAAGGAAGTTTATTAAGAAAGTAAAGAAATAAAAGAATGGCTACTCCATAGGCAGACCAGCCCTGAGGGCTGCCGGTTGCCCATCTTTATGGTTATTTCTTGATTATATGCTACACAAGGGGTGGATTATTCATGAGTTTTCCAGGGAAGGGGTGGGCAATTCCTGCAACTGAGGGTTTCTCCCCATTTTTATTTATTTATTTGAGACAGAGTTTCACTCTTGTTGCCCAGGCTGGTGTGCAATGGCGCAATCTCGGCTCACTGCAAACTCCGCCTCCTGGGTTCAAGTGATTCTTCTGCCTCAGCCTCTTGAGTAGCTGGGGTTACAGGTGTGCACCACCGCGCCCAGCAAATTTTGTACTTTTAGTAGAGATGGGGGTTACACCATGTTGGCCAGGCTGGTCTTGAACTCCTGATCTCAGGTGATCCATCTGCCTCAGCCTCCCAAAGTGTTGGGATTAGAGGTGTGAGCCACCACGCCCGGCCCCCATTTTAGACTATATAGGCTTTCTGATGTTGCCATGGCATTTGTAAACTGTCATGTTACTGGTGGGAGTGTAGCAGTGAGGACAACCAGAGGTCACTCTCATCACCATCTTGGTTTTGGTAGGTTTTGGCTGGCTTCTTTACTGCAGCCTATTTTATCAGCAAGGTCTTTATTACCTGTATCTTGTGCTGACCTCCTGTCTCATCCTGTGACTAAGAATGCCTTAATTTACTGGTAATACAGTCCAGCAGGTCTTAGTCTTATTTTATCTAGCCCCTTTTCAAGATGGAGTTGCTCTGTTCCAACCCCTCTGACAGAGGGAGGTGTAGGGAGGGAAAGAGGGAGAGAGAGAGAGAGAGAGAGAGAGAGAGAGAGAGAGAGAGAAAAGAAGACTTCAGTCTTGGATCTTCTGCAGATGACAGTTTTTAGGTAACAATAACATTCTTTTATTTACATTGTATTTATTTTTCAGACTACCTTCTATTTAGTGTAGGTGATAACACACAATAATGTAATAAAATTTCCTTTCAGGTTAAATCTATTGAAGTTAAAAAATGACTTCATTTAAAGAAATACTAAATAACAGAAATGATTTTGATTTGAATTTTTCTTTTACTAGTTGTGTGATCTTGAGTAAGGTACTTAGTACTTGCCACCTCAGTTTACTTATCTGCAAAATGGAGATAAAAGCATTTACCTCAAAGGGTAGTTGTGAGGATTATATGAGTACATATGGCCAGGTGCAGTGGCTCACGCCTGTAATCCTAGCACTTTGGGAGGCTGAGGCAGGTGGATCGCTTTAACCTAGGAGTTCAAGACCAGCCTGGGCAATATGGTGAAACTGTCTCTACAAAAAATACAAAAATTGGCAGAGTGTGGTGGCTCGTGACTGTAGTCCTAGCTACTCAGGAGGCTGAGGTGAGAGGATGGCTTGAGCCCAGGAGGTGGAGATTGCAGTGAGCCAACATTGCCCCATTGCACTTCAGCCTGGGCAACAGAGGGAGATCCTGTCTAAAAAAAAAGTTAGTCCATTAAGGATGGTTAAGGTTATATGAGAGAGCTATTACTATTTTTTTGAGAGGTTGGGGTTCTTTATTTTTATCAATCTAACAAACGTTCTAATTGTTAAAGGAGTATTTAGTGTTCTAGGTTATAGAAATAGAAAGAGGAATAACCAGTATTGTGTGACTATAGTGAACAAAGTTCCTGTTGTTTTTCTCTTAACTCTGCATCAGGGAATTATGTGGTCACTGGCCTTGGGTTGTTTGCAGTTGTCCTTGTTGGGTCAAGGTGGGCCTTTTTACATCAAATCTGGGCAAGGTGCCCTTTATTGTCATTCTGTTTGGCCTTTCAGCCAGCTTTTTGTGTATAAGTAATACAAAAACAAAAAAACAAAACAAAAAAAAACACTACCTGCACTGAGGCCTTTTATTACCTTGGAATTTATTTCCAAAGGAAATTTCAAGGACAATTCAGTGGAAGAAGAAGTGGAAATCTAAAGGTGACTTAAACAGGCATCTGGTTTTTTCTTCCTCAGCCATCTCATGGCTTAAATGATAAAGTCTTCTCAATTCCTGGATGAGCAATGGAAGTAGACGAGGCAGAGACACAGTCGTCATGGAGCAGTGTATCCCATGGTGAGCTCTACAGGACTTGAGCTCCCCCAGTGATAGAAAATGTTTTATGGGGAGATCAAAGGATCTTGTGGTCAGACAAATTTGGCTAAGACCGGCATATGTAAAGCTCAACAGACTTATTTGTTTTCATGACTTCTCTCAGAGGGTTTTTATGGACAGAAATTCATCAAATGCTCTACAAAAGAAAATAATAATAACAATTACCTTTTATTTAGCACTTAACTATGTGCCAGGCATGACTGTGAGTACTTTACATGGATTAACTCGTAAATTCCCACAACAGTCTTATGAGGTAGGCATGGCTGTTTATTCTCATTTGATATATAAGAAAACTGAAGCATGGAGCAGCGAGGGGCAGTGTGGGATGTGGGGTTTCCTAACCGAATCTGACCAGAGACAGGTTTAGTGGTGGACCTTCGGTAATTAAGAGCCCACCAAAGCAATCTGGGAAACCTGCTCTAGTACTCTAAGCAAGCTGTGACTTACAGGTAGATAATTTGGGGATGCGGGATGGCCTCATTCTTGCCTCATATTGTTTGAGCATTCTGATTCCTGCCACGGAAATGATGGCTTCTCCTAGAATCCTTGTGTTATATAAATTCACCTCCCAATGATATTCTTGCTTGGTTTGATGCTAGAAATTCTTGAAATGGGACTCATGTATCTTAAAGTGACAGGCTTAATTTTCTAATTTTACAGTGTTCTGGGGAGGGAGATGCAATCCCACTGCTGTAGACCGACCTTTCTTAATTCGGGCATTTTAGTAGCTTCTCTGGAAGGCAAGAATTTGATATGTGGAAAGGAAAGACAGGTTTGAATAGGGCTTGTGATCCTACTTTAGTCCAGTGAAACAGCACTTGATTAATAAATCATTTAAATCTTCCTAAAGTTAAAATGATGGAAAATGCTACTTTTTAAATCAAGGTTTTAAATGAGTGTCAATTGGTAAAGAGCCATAATGGCATTTTTTACAGATGGTCTTAGCTTCAATTATTCATACATCTCCTTGAATTATTTTAGTATTACCCAAGAGATGAAATAATGTTGGATAAATTACTGCTTCTGCTTCTGTGGACAGCTGAGTCTAATACTTAAAAAACACTTTAATTATTTTCTGTTAATATTACTCTTAATATAAAATTCAGGTGCATTGATGCTGCAAGATTAGGTGCTTATCCTCTACAGTTTCAGAGCTGATGCTAGTTGGAATTGCTTCTTTGTGGTAATGAGGAAACAACGCTCTTTTTTGCATATGGAGAGAGCTGTACCTTAGGCCCAACATGTTACTTGGCCAAATGTGCTTGTGCAGTGTACCCCCTGTACAGCTGTATGTGATTGGCCAACCTTATCTCTTATCTCCCATAGCAGCCTTAATGTCTCCTTGTTAACTCTCATCTCACTTAAAGTTACTTGTTGAATGTCTCTCATTCTTGCTAGAGGGTAGACTCCCTCAGATATGGCATATACTTGTCATATTTATTCCAAGGACATAACAGTGCCAGGTACCTAGTGGGCTTTTTATGATGTTTATTATTTAAGATGTTTATTGAGGCCAGGCGTGGTGGCTCATGCCTGTAATCCCAGCACTTTGGGAGGCCGAGGTGGGCGGATCATGAGGTCAAGAGATCGAGACCATCCTGACCAACATGGTGAAACCCCATCTCTACTAAAAATACAAAAAGTTAGCTGGGCGTGGTGGTGCGCGCCTGTAGTCCTAGCTACTCGGGAGACTGAGGCAGGAGAATTGTTTGAACTTGGGAGGTGGAGGTTGCAGTGAGCCGAGATCACACCACTGCACTCCAGCCTGGGTGACAGAGCGAGACTCCATCTCAAAAAAAAAAAAAAAAAGATGTCTGTTGAATGCAAGCTTAACATGTGCATGCATGGACGGGTGGATGGATACATACGGAATGGATAGAGCAAGTATAGGTCTTACATAGAAGAATTAGAAATCTTTTGCCTGGGGCATGTGATCCTGGGATCTTGGAGTCAAATTGCAGGCCAGTATGGAATAATCAAATTTTATCTAAGCACTTCTAAGCCCTAAGGGAAGCTATAATTTGCAAATCTCCTCTGTTTTGAATCTCTTATGTTCAGCATAGCCAGATGTTCCTGTTATCAAGAAAAAAATGTTATGTTTTCCTATTATGTATAGTCCTACCAGAGTTCCTCATAGACATAGTTGTAAGTTGGGTCTTCTAAAGACTATAGGAAGGAGCAGGAAATACGCCAGTGGTTATTATTTGACAGAAACCTGCTGAACTTCCAACTGGCTGGTTCTTATTACTGTCTCTCCTTTCTGTACACCAATTTTCTTTGGGGATGAAGTGCTGGCATTGCAATGCTCCGTTGATTCATCGTGTTCTCCTCTCAGGTGTCATCATTTCCCTGGGCTGCTGTAATAAAATATCACAAACTGGGTGACTTAAAACATCAGAAATGTATTCTCTCATAGTTTTGGAAGCTAGAAGTCTGAAGTCAAGCAGGGCCTTGCTTCCTTTGAAGGATCTATAGATCCTTTGCCTTCCTTGTCTCTTTCTAGCTTCTGGTGGTTTCCAGCAATCCTTGGCATCCTTGGTTTGTATCTGTGTCATTCCAGTTTTTACCTCCTCTTCACATGGCTGTCTTCCTTCTGTGTGTGTCCATGTCTCTGAGTATCTGCTCATTTTTGTAAAAGGACACCAGTCATATTGGTTTTAGGGATTACCCTGATTCATTATGACCTCAACTGATTATATCTGCAAAGGTCCTATTTCTAAATAGGGTCACATGTGGTTCCAGGTGGACATGAACTTTGAGGGGATGCTATTCAACCCCGGTATACCAGGTTTTATCTCTTGCATTGGTTGCTAATGCATGAATCTAGGTCTAGTCTCTGCTGTATTTTTGTGTGTGACCTTGTGCATGTCATTTCATCTCTTAGAGTCTCTGTTTCTGTAAAAGGGAACTAATAATAGTACCTGTATCTTAGGCGATTTTGAAGGTTAAATGAGTGATGGAGATAAACCATGTTAACAAGAGCTAGCACATGGCAGGTACTTGATACACTCCTATAATTATTATTATTCGTTTTTCATATCTAACCAAAATGCATTTTGTATATTCTTTCCTTTTGTGTAGTGTGTGTGTGTGTGTGTGTGTGTGTGTGTGTGTGTCGTGTGTGTGGTTGGAGATAGGGTCTCACTCTGTTGCCCAGGTTGGAGTGCAGTGGCGCCATCGTGGCTCACTGCAGCCTCAACCTCCTGGGCTCAGGCTAACTTTCTTTCCTGATTTTCTTCTGTGTTCCTTTAACTTTTACTAGCAGGCTACAGACAATTGTCAATCATTTTGATTGATTCTCCTTTGATTGATTTTGTGGAATGACCTTTTCTTGAGGAGGAATGGATTAAAAGAGTGGTAAGAGCTTCTGTATTGATTGGAGGTTATTCCAATATGGTGGTAAAGATCTTAAGAAAATTATAAGTCAGCCGGGCACGGTGGCTCATGCCTATGATTCCAGTACTTTGGGAGGCTGAGGTGGGAGGATCACTTGAAGCCAGAAGTTCGAGACCAGCCTGGCCAACATGGTGAAACCCCGTCTCTACCAAAAAATACAAAAATTAGCCAGGCCTGGTGGCGCATATCTGTAGTCCCAGCTACTCGGGAGGCTGAGATGGGAGAATTACTTGAACCCGGGACACAGAGATTGCAGTAAGCTGAGATTGTGCCCCCTGCACTCCAGCCTGGGCAGCAGAGTGAGACCCTGTCTCAAAAAAAAAAAAAAAATTATACGTCATTGCTAAAATACAGATTGATTTAATAATCTTATCTTCTCAAATCAATTTTTTTTGTTATACATTGGCCTGAGCAAAATACCACGTAGTAGCTTTCTTCCAACATGGCAAACATTGTTAAATAATTCTGCAGTGGGTTAAAATGATAGTAAAAGTCAAGATTATATGTTTGCATTTTCTGTGCAATTATAACTTCTGAACTGAACTCAGTTTGGCAGTAGCGTCAATTGTAACTAAAAACTGCAGCCCAATTCCATTTTGTTTTTTTTTTTTGAGACAGAACCTTGCTCTGTCACCCAGGCTGGAGTGCAGTGGCGTGATCTCGGCTCTCTGCAACCTCTGCTTCCCGGGTTCAAGCAATTCTCCTGCCTCAGCCTCCTGAGTAGCTGGGATTACAGGTGCCCGCCACCTGGCCCAGCTACTTTTTGTATTTTTAGTAGAGACGGAGTTTCACCATGTTGGTCAGGCTGGTCTTGAACCCCTGACCTCGTGATCCACCCACCTCGGCCTCCCAAAGTGCTGGGATTACAGGCGTGAGCCACTGCGCCCTGCCATTTTGTTCTTACCAAATGTAAATGTTGTCATATAAATTAAAACCCATGGGGGGAGGGTAATTCAATTAATCTTAATTTTCATTTTCTTCTGAAATGTGAAATTAAATAAAAGTTGTTAAAAATGTTTTTGGGAAGGGGAAGAATGGGCTAAATTTAATTGTACTATATTGTTTTAAAAATATTTCTTAAGTCCCAGAAGAGAGTGAAGCTTATAAATATGGAATGCCTTGAGGTGATTGAATCTAGGAGAAGAGAGATTAGGTTTTCACCTGACACATGTATTATACCTTAAAAAGAGATGGTTCAGGATTAGAAATTCATACGGTGTTTGTGTGTGACTGTCAGAATTTGATGGAAGATCCAATATGTTCTGTTCCCCACTGCTTAAAACTAAAAAGAAGATAATTTTAGAGCCCTTGTTTTTTAATATCACTGTTTTTAATGACTATCACAGGGGTCTTTGAGAAATTGAGGGCACAGGTCGAGGTGTTTAGCTGGAAGGAAAAAATACAGCAGGATGCAGGTGGAAACCAGCTCTTTAAATAGATGGCTAATATGTGTAAATGAAGTTGGCCAGATTCTGTGTGGGCCCTAAAGGATGTGAACAGGACTGTTGTGGGTAATTTGTGATGTGCAAAACTCCCTAAAATAAGTGTGGCTGCCAAGAAATGTGGTTTGTTCACTGATTCAGAGCTTTCCAAGTCTAGTCTGGGTCATTGCGAGAAGTTTGTGTGAATTTAAACATCGGACCTGAAGTTAGACCAAGTGACCACTTAGATTTATTTCATTCCTGAGTTTCCAGGAATCTTAAGTTGGTGACCAATGGGATAAGATTGAAAAAAGTTAAAAGGGGTTAAGATGATGGAAGGTCTGTGATGTCTGGCTAAAACTGAGAGTTCTAGTGTTCAAAGCAGTAGTTAGATATCAGGAAGCAGGCTGACAGACTGTATGAGAGAAATTATTCCAGCCGTGTATAATGGTCACTGTTAACAAAGCCTCGAATGGGGGAACGTTGCCTTTTTCTAACTTGAAAAATGTGAGAGAGAGAGAGAGAGAGAGAGAGAGAGAAGGAGAGAGAATGAGAGAATGAAAATATATCCAAGTTACCTCCTGATACCTTCTCTTGTGTAAGCATTTTTTGTTTGTTTCTTTTTTGTTTGTTTGTTTTTTCTTTTTGTTTTTTTTTGAGACAGGGTCTTGCTCTGTCACCTGGGCTAGAGTACAGTGGCACAACTGTAGCTCACTACAGCCTCAAACTCCTGGGCTCAAGAGATCCTCCCCCTTAGCCTCCCAAGTAGCTGGGACCACAGGAGCGTGCGCCACTCCTGGCCAATTTAAAAATTTTTTTGTAGAGATGGGGTCTCCCTGTGTTGCCCAGGCTGGTCTCAAACTCCTGGGCTCAAACGATCGTCCTGCCTTAGCTTCCCAAAGTGCTGGAATTTACAGGCATGAGCCATTACATCTGGCCCTTGTGTAAGCATTTTGGAGGTTAAGAAGTAGAAAATCAAATTGTTTTTACATTTATAACTTCAGAATGAGAAGTCAGCATTTTGTCTCCTGGGGGGAAAGCTCCCTCAAATTCAATGAAATTAGTTTAGTGTTCTCCAAAGGAAAAGCCAGTGAAATTCTGTTGAGCAAGGATCATGAAAACTGATAGTCTTCAGTCTTCACAGATCAATGTTAACCATACTATCTGGTTTCATGTGTAGTGAGTGCCCTTGTGGGCACAGTATTGTTTCCCAGAATAATTTGGGATTCCAATTTTATACCCTTTTGGCTAGTTTACATTTTGTTTTGTTTGTTTGTTTTTTTTTTGAAAATGAGGATTATTATCCTTCCTTGAGAAAAACAGATCACTCTGCAGTATAATTGAACTCCTCTTAACTTTTTGTAAGCATTCTCCTTAACTTGCATTTATTTGTTGGTAGGGATAATTTGAAGAGAAGAGCATTTTAAATTCTTTGAATTTAAGCAAACAATAATTTTAAGCTGACCTGCGTAGTCACCAAGCAATAGGATGAAAACAACTCATTTGTTGGCAAAAGAAATCAGTTTAAGAATGTTGTGGAGGCCGGGCGCGGTGGCTCACACCTGTAATCCCAGCATTTTGGGAGGCCAAGGCAGGCGGATCATGAGGTCACGAGATTGAGACCAGCCTGACCAACATGGTGAAACCCCATCGCTACTAAAAATACAAAAATTAGCTGGGCGTGGTGGTGCACACCTGTAATCCCAGCTACTCGAGAGGCTGAGGCAGGAGAATTGCTTGAACCTGGGAAGCAGAGGTTTCAGTGAGCCGAGATCGCGCCATTGCACTCCAGCCTGGTGACAGAGCGAGACTCCGTCTCACAAAAAAAAAAAAAAAAAATGTTTTGGAGCAAGAGTATAATGCACAGGTGAATATATGTTCCCAACCCCAGATTTTTAACCAAGAGAAGCAAAAGTAGAGTGCAGAAAATTGACCTGAGAGAGTTATGTAAGTTTCTTCTTAAACTACAGATGCCCTTCTAGGTATTTAATAAAAATGCTTAATGATAGGAATTCATGTTTACTGATTCTGACCCTACCTCAGTGTGTAGATATTCTCTTTGTAACTGTAAAATTAGTTTCATTCTTTTATTTTTCTGAGTAGCTGTTTAAAAACAATAGACTTCGTTAGAGCATTTTTAGATTCACAATAAAATTGAGAGGAAGGTACAAAGATTTCCTATGTACCCTCTGCTTCCAGCCTGTGCACAGCCTCCCCCATTATCAACGTCCCCCACCAAGGTGGTACATTTGTTACAATTGATGAACCTACATTGACACATCATTATCACCCAAAGACCTTAGTTTACATTAGGGTTCATTCTTGGTGTTGTACATTTTATAGGGTTGAACAAATATGTAATGACACGTGTCCACCATTATAATATACAGACTAGTTTCACCGCCTAAAAATTCTTGGTGCTCTACTTATTTATCTCCCCACTCCCCTAACTTTTGATCTTTTTACTGTCTCCATCGTTTTGCCTTTTCCAGAATGTCAGATAATTGGAATCATATAGTATGTAGCCGTTTCACATTGGCTTCTTTCACTTAGCACTATGCATTTGTAAGTTTCCTCCATGTGTTTTCATGGCTTGATGGTGTGTTTCTTTTTAGTGTTGAATCATATTGCCTTGTCTAGATGTACCATAGTTCTTTTATCCATTCATTTACTGAAGGATGACTTGGTAATTGCACATAAAGCTTTTATAAACTTTCATGTGCAGGTTTTTGTGTGGACATAAGTTTTCAACTCCTTTGCTGAATACCAAGGAACATGATTGCTAGCTAGATTGTGTGGTAAGATTATGTTTAGTTTTATAAGAAACTGCCAAACTGTCTTCCAAAGTGGCAATATAATTTTGCATTCCCACCAGCAGTGAGTGAGAGTTCCTGTTGCTCCATATCCTTGTCAGCATTTGGTGGTGTCAGTGTTTAGGATTTTGGCTTTGCTAATAGGTGTGTAGTGGTATCTCATTGTTGGTTTTATTTTTCAATTTCAAAAGTGCTACTAGTGATGTAGAAGGATAGAGGAGAAAGGAAACCCTGTAGCCCCATGTAACTCCTCATCCTTTAGAGTTAATGGTATAATATGTATCTTTCTAGATGTTTCTCTCTTTATGTGTAAGAAGGTGGAAATGTCTAAGGATAAGCTTAAGAAATAAAAACAGATTATTTCAATTACCTTTGACATTATAAATTTAAAATATAAGAAAACACCTGGCAGTCCAGACAAATTTTTAAAGAAGTCAAAGTTAACTTTTTTGGACCATTAATATATTACGTGTATGATTATCCAAGATTTTAAAAAGTATACAATGAGAACAGTAGAACTTATCCCTGACAACTGTCTTCTCCTATCCTCATTATTTCATTATTTGGTTTCTCTGGAGGTAGTGGCAGGGTGTGTGTGTGTGTATGTGTGTGTGTGTGTGTTAGTGTGTGTATGATACATGTACTTAAGTAAGAAATTCATGTATATAGGCCAGGTGCAGTAGCTCACATCTGTAATCTCAGCACTGTGGGAGGCGATTGTGGTTTGGCTGTGTCCCCACCCAAATCTCATTTTTAATTGTAGCTCCCATAATTCCCATGTGTTGTGGGAGGGAGCTGGTGGGAGATAATTGAATCATGGAGTGGTTTTTCCCATTCTGTTCTTGTGGTAGTGAAAAAGTCTCACAATATCTGATGGTTTTATAAGGGGTTTCCTCTTTCACTTGGCTCTTATTTTCTCTCTTGTGTGCCACCACGTAAGGTGTGCCTTTCGCCTTCTGCCATGATTGTGAGGCCTCCCCAGCCACATGGAACTGTGAGTCCATTAAACCTCTTTTTCTTTATAAATTATCCAGTCTTGGGTATGTCTTTATCAAGCAGCATGAGAACAGACTAATACAATGGCTGAGACGGGAAGATCACTTGAGGCCAGAAATTTGAGATCAGCCTAGCTATCATGGCGAAACCCCGTCTCTACTAAAAATACAAAAAAACTGGTTGGGTGTGGTGGCATGTGCCTGCAATCCCAGCTTCTTGGGAGGTTTAGGCATGAGAATCGCGTCAACCCGGGAGGCAAAGGTTGCAGTGAGCTGAAAATGTGCCACTGCGCTCCAGCCTGAGCAACAGAGCAAGACTCTGTCTCAAAAAAAAGAAAAGAAAGAAATAGATGAATATATATATATAATATACTGTGTATTGAATATTATAAATTATATGTATATAAATATATACATATTATATATATTCACATTTTATATATGTATCATATAAATGTATATGTATTTCTTACACAGAAATGATAATAAATACACAAATTTGCATCTTGCTTTTTCAACATAAATCAAAGCTTGATTCACTAAGTTGAGTCCTTTTTTCAGGGTTATTTATTTTTAGAAATAAGGAAGCACAAATGAACTGCTTTGTCCATAGAGAGGAAAGCCAGGAAGTATAAAATGCCATTAGTTACCTGATAGTCATCATTTTACCAAGCAAAGAGAAGGCAGTTTTCAGGAAAGCATATGGAATATGGCTCTTGATGGAACTACGTGCCACTTGAAGGATACACTGGATAACCCAGAGGGATGATTCACAACCAGTGCAGCTGTAAACTTTTCTTTTAATTAGGTAGGAAGCACCTGTGTGTTATTCATCGTTTTTCCTCTTCCCAGTCCAGTCTCTTCAGGGATTTTAAAAAAAGAAAAAGACCCAAACAATTTGGAATTTAAATTTTCTGTAGGAGAAAGCAGCCAGTGTCTAAAAAGGGGCAAGTGTGCAGATCATCTGCTGGAAGACAAGGTGAGAAGAGTAACTTGAACGGGTGTGAATTTTAGAGGGCAAATGACTGTGCACATTGCAAGGTGTTTGGCATGGAGCGATGTGTTAGCATCCCGTTGGTGTTTGGATTTATGCTTCTGAATTGAGTATTTAAAAATATTTAACAGAATTAATGCTAAATATGTACAAGCTGCTGTTCAAATGTGAACAGTCCTAGCATTTGTATCTCCTGTGGGCTCTGAGCATTACCATGAGATGGCACCAGCATCCTTTCATGACCTCTGTGTGGCAAGAGGCTAAGTGAGACTGGTCATATGATTAGCAGTTTCTTGCAAGGGACTGATCAACATCATTTACCACACAATTTGCCTAAGAGATTGACTTTGTCCTTGAATGAGTTGTTCTAAATGTGCATTATAATGCTAGCCTAAATATGCTTTGTAAAAAAATTATCAACTATCATTTATTGAGTGCCTACTACATGCTGAGAGCTTTACAAATTTATTCCTGTGTAACTTTCACTACTATCCCAAGGGGGTGCTATTATCTTCATTTTATAGATGGGGAAGTTGATGCTCAGAAAAGTAACATATCTTACCCGAGGTCATGCAGCAGGTTACTCTAAGCAATTGAACTCTGTTGTACAGTGCTGAAACCCTTTGTATATGTACATATATCCTGTAAATATCCATCCACCATAAGCAAATTTGTTTGGCACATTTGGGTTGATACTGTTCTCAACTTTGTGATTTGTAAATTTAATATGCTTATTAGGCATTTGTCGAACATTAGGCTCAAATCCTCTTAAGGATGGTGGCCTTCCCAGAGCTCTCAAACTGGTAGCCTGTGGGCTGGATTTGGACTGCACCTGTTTTGTTTTGTCTGAGGGGAGCTAGAGTCAGCACTGTGTTTTAATTGAATTGAGCGTGAATGCCTTGAGGCTTGGCTTGAACTCTCAGGTCCCCTCTTAGTCTCCATAATTCTCTACTTTTTCAGACATTGTCTGCTTCACTAGTTGAGGTTATCTGCATGGCCCCTGATGGCATTTGAATTTGTGATGAAACCAGGAAGTACCCCAGTTTGAATGTGTTCATTTGTGGGTTCAGATTAATTAGTTAACAGATCGATCTTTGTTCTGAAATAAATGTTGCTGGATTTATGTTGCTCACTATGCAACAGAGAGTTGACTTTTTTTTCCAGGCTTTTCACAGGAGGCCCTCTGTTGGTAGAAGTCCCCGCCGGGTTTATGCTGGCTGAGTATGTATGCTGACCTGTGGATGTAGTCATATGGTGCATCTCTTGAAGGCTGATGTTTGGTTGATTGTAGTATGCCCTGAGGTGATTTTGATCATGAAGCTAAACCTAATGGAGAAAACATGAAAGCCAATTAGTTGTTAATAAGCATTAGGGGAGAAAGCAGGGTCTAAGATCCTCTTTTCTTCCTTCTTTGTCTCCCTTTGTCCTTTCTAATGGTCTCTCTGGGTTTAAAGCAATTGCTTTCTGGGTCCATGTGAGTGTTTTCTAAATTGCCAAGAATATTCAGGAGTGTTAGAACCCCTTGAATTGAAGATAAAGACCTTGGGATACACAGTCAGTGGTAGAATTCCTCCATGGTACTCTACTCACATTGCCTTCAAAAAATACGATATGTTCCGAAGGAATTTCTCCTCCCTGTATTTCCTCTGTTAACTGTCTTCTGCTGTGTTTTCAGTTTGTTTTCTGTGGAACACCTGCCTGAAGGATGCTCTTTGCAAATAAGTTTGCAAAATGCTTTTTATTCCAATACTTTGTTAGGGATTTGAAAGGCATCTCATGGTAAATGCTCCAAGCAGTACTGTGTTTAAGGAACCTGTTTTGCCCAATGCAGCATTTCCCAAATTAGTGAACTAACAGAACCCTTTCTGGAATCTCTCCTTTCTGAACACTACCTCCCCATCTTCCGAAACAACCTATACCTATTAGCTTTCTACAGGCCATACTTTGGGGTTGCCTCTCCCAAATTTAGGTCAGAATTTAGGTAGAAATTACCTGAAAGCATTGAACCATGTTTTGGATTTTTTGGGGGGGTTGGGGAGGAGGAATAATCCTAATTCCATCTAAATGCAATTTTGTCAAATATGAAAAAATGGTTCTCAAAGAATTGAACTTCATGGCTTGGAAGTGTTTATTTATTATTTTTTGTTTGTTTTTTGAGACAGTCTTGCTCTGTTGCTCAGGCTGGAGTTCAATGGCACAATCTCTGCCCACTGCAACCTCTGCCTCCTGGGTTCAACCTCCGCCTCCTGTGCCTCAGCCTGCTGAGTATCTGGGATTACAGGTGTGCACCACCACGCCTGGCTAATTTTTGTAGTAGGGTTTTCACCATGTTGGCCAGGCTGGTCTCGAACTCCTGACCTCAAGTGATCTGCCTGCCTTGCCTCCCAAAGTGCTGGGATTATAGGTGTGAGCCACTGCGCCCAGCCCCTTATGGCTTGGTAGTATTTAAAGAGATCAAACTAGATAAAAGTTTACTTTATTCTTCATGATGTCTGATAGGTTGTTTGCTGATATAGGTGCTGTGTCTGGTTTTCCTTTCATGACTTGTACCTAGTGTAGCTATTTATAGTGTATTTGACAAACTTTTCCACTTGTAGACTCAGGTAGGCCTGCTTGACCTCCTCTGGGGATATTTGTTAATGTCTTGTCAGAGTTGATAAAATTTTCCATGTTCATGCTTTCTTTTGATTCTCATAATAATCTTCTAAGGTAACTAAAAAAGAATCCTTATTTTCACATTTGATTAAGGAAGCTGGTCCTAAGAGATTAAGTCACTTGGTCAGGGTCTCTTGGTGAGGTACTTAAGTGAAATTGGTTTTCCAGGTGCTGGTCTTCCTTTTCCAAACTAATCCTACTTTGCGTGTGACCTGAAAAACATTTTTTTGTTACCTGTTTTTGTTTGTTTAAACATGTACTTGTTTATTAGACGAAACAGGGAGCCCAAATAAAACCAGATGTGAGCTGCTTTTAACCATCCCTGAATCGTAATGATCCATGTGTGAATTATCCCTTTGTAGCTAGTTTTTAATCCCAGACTGGGCTCTTCCAGTTTTTCAGCCTGCTGTTCAAGTCTCCCCAGCCCCTGACTTGGTTTTGTCAGAGCAGATTAGAGAGAAATTCTACAGTGCGAGAACACGATGTGTATGATTTAGGAAGCAGAACTCTTTTTTTTTTTTTTTTGAGATCAGAGTTTTCTTTGTTTTCCATTTACCTGAAGTAATGCATTGTTTCATTTAAACTTAAATAGCTTTCAAGATTGGGTTCATGAACATGTCAGTGGGCAGAGTTTCATATCTAGACTCGAGAGATGACAAAATAAATATGTCTAAGATAGAATTATTTTCACACCTGCCTTTTCCCTTTCAAGTTCTATCATCAGTGATTGAGAATTTAGGCTTTCAAGGGCACACTTGGATTTAAATCTCAGTTTGTCCATTTAGTAGCTGTGAATGCCCTTGGGCAAGTTAATCTCTTTGCCTTGGACTGGTTATCCTCCAAATGGGATAACCCTACCTATAATGAGGAATGAAATGCAGTAACGAACAGGAAGCCACTAAGCACAGTGCCTTACACAGAAACTTTAATAATAGATAAAAATATTTGTATCACCTTCTGGGTGCCAAGTTTGATGCTAGGAAATAATCCAATGGGCTATAAAAGTATGATTTGGTAATTTGTTTGGAGCATGGGTAAATGAAAACAGTAAGAATACATAATAGGCTTATATAAAAGTTTTGAAGAGAGAGCGGTTATGCTGTTGGGGTGTGGCTTTGAAGGGCTTAAAAATAATCAGGGGTGTTGAGTTTTGATCCCAAGGTTTAAGAATGACTTTAATAAGCATGCAAGTTAGGATATAGTTTGGTCCTAAGTGCAAAAAAAATCTACCCTGAATCCACCCTAAGCAGAAAATAAATTTGTTGTGAACAAACAATAGATACATGGAGCAGTTTACAGGATCTGAGAAACACCTGAAAAATGGGATCAGAAAGGTGGACGCTGGGCAGCTCTGGGGCTGCTGGTGGAGGGAGCTGAAGCCACATCTCTGTAGAGCGTCCCCCGGAGGATGAGCCAACTCCAACCCTTTTCTGTCTTTTTCTGCTTGAGATTCAAATTCCATGGACAAACGTTCAAATGTCCCAGTTTGAGTAAAATGTCTAAACCAGCCTATGGAGATAAGTTATTTTCATTTGACAAAACTGGGTTGCTTCTATCAGAAATGGGGAAAATAGATGTTGGATAGCAAAAGTCCACCATGTCCAGGCCAGGCGCTGTGGCTCACTCTTGTAATCCTATCACTTTGGGAGGCCGAGGCAGGCGGATCGCCTGAGGTCAGGAGTTCGACACCAGCCTGACCAATATGGTGAAACCCCGTCTCTATTCAGAATACAAAAATTAGCCGGGTGTGCTGGCGTGCACCTGTAGTCCCAGCCACTCAGGAGGCTGAGGCAGGAGAATCGCTTGAACCCAGGAGGCAGAGGTTGCATTGAGCCAAGATCATGCCACTGCACTCCAGCCTGGGCTACAGAGCGAGTCTCCATCTCAAAAAAAAAAAAAAAAAAAAGTCCACCATGTCTGAAAGAGGCCTCAAGGTAGACACCCATCTACTGTGTTGGATAGGTGATGAGCAGAGATTTAACTACTAGGTCAGGACCTTCATGTCGAGAAGTAAAATTAAAGAGGTATTTTGGGATTATGGCCTGAAAGTGATAGGAAGCTACTGTAGAGTTTTGATGGAGGTTGGGGGCACTCGTTTCTAACGCAGGATGTTTTAAGTAAGTAGTTCTTTAATAAGTAGTAGTGACTCTTTTCTCAGATTAGATGATCACTTTCCCAGCTATCTCATGCTTCCATGTCCTCCATCGTATCAGTGTTTGGCATGGTGCTGCCCCAACAACCACTTCGATTAGTATGTAAACAGGAAAGCCATTTGCAATGGTGGCGTACTTTATTGGTTGTTTTTCAGTGATTGATTTTCAAGGGTGCTTGTTTTTCCTCTGGAATATGCATTTGAAAGACTTGTGTATTTTCAACAGTACAGCATTGCATTTATCCTCATTTTTAAATGTGTTTTCATTGTGATAACTTTTTCATGGGGGGATAAAAGATCTTTTTCCAAATTTGAGATTCTCAATTATATCTATCTCTTAACAAAAGTACTCTGTAACTCTTCACTTTGGCAGCCTCAAATACTTAAACATGTTTATTGTTTTATATTCAGTTATTTAAGGTAATATTATCCAAACATAGACAGAAGGTTATGAGCTAGATGAGGGGTCCCCAACCCCCAGGTCATGGACTGATGCTGGTCTGTGGCCTGTTAGGAACTGAGCCGAACAGCAGAAGGTGAGCAGTGGGCAAGTGAGCATTACTGCCTGAGTTCCGCCTCCTGTCAGATCAGTGGTGGCATTAGATTCTCATTGGAGTGTGAACCCTGTTGTGAACTGCACATGTGAGGGATCTAGTTGTGCGCTCCTTATGAGAATCTAATTAGTGCCTGATGATCTGAGGTGGGACAGTTTCGTCCCCAAACCATCCCCCACCCCTGGCCCATGGAAATATTGTCTTCCACCAAACCGGTCCATGGTGCCAAAAAGGTTAGTGATCGCTGGTGTAGATACTATCTGGGTTTGATTATCTTGCTTGGAATCCCCACATCCCTGAAATAAAGCGGGCAGCAGCTAATTTACATTCTTTTCTTTTTACATTTTTTTAATTTTTGGGGATACAGGGTCTCACTCTGTCACTCAGTCTGGAGTACAGTGGTATGATCACAGCTCACTGCAGCCTTGACTTTTTGAGCTCAAGTGATCCTCCTGCATCAGCCTCCTGAATAGTTGGGATTATAGGCACCCACCACCACACTGGCCTAATTATTATTTTTTGAGACAGGGTCTTGCTTTGTCACCCAGGTTGGAGTGCAGTGGTGTGATCACGGCTCACTGCAGCTTCAACCTCCCAGGCTCAAGCCAGTCCTCCCACCTTGGCCTCCCAAGTAACTTGGACTACAGGCATGTGCCACAACACCTAGCTAATTAAACAATTTTTTTTTTTTTTGTAGAGATGGGGTCTCAACTTTGTTGTGCAGGCTGATCTTGAACTCCTGGGCTCAAGTGATCCTCCTGCTTCTGCCTTGCAAAATGTTGAGATTACAGGCATGAGCCACCATGCCCAGACTATATTAACTCCTTAAAGGTGGGCTATGGAAATAATGTTGATACTAGCCCTTCAGTGATGGTGTCAGTACGGGAAGAGAAAATTTATATACTTGAGTACATTTTGAGGGTAGCTTCATGAGGCACTGTGAGCAAAGGCTTCTGGTAATGAGAATACTCTACCTGGTCATAGACACACCTTAACTTGATTCCCAATTGTGCATGGAATTGGCATTATAAAAGACCATCCCTAGAAAATGGGTTATTTGATCACAACTAGAAGTCATTCTCTATATTTTAGAACCATAAATTTATGACTTTTATTAAAAAATTGACTCATGTCAGCATTACATGCTGAGAATAAGCAGACTTCTGAGTGTCTGCCCCACTGTGTTGCAGATTGAAATGTAGACTATGAGTGGTCATTATGGTTAATGACCAAGAGAGTCCTCTAATGATAAGGCATGCTGGAGAGCTGCCCCAGGAGTCTGTTAGAAAGGCTGATCCACATTTTCCAGAGGGGAAGTCGGCCAGGGAGTCCTAATATCCTTTACGCTGGACAGCTCAGATACTAGTTTTTACGTAGCTGATTTTTGCAACCTCACTTATTTCATGGAGAGAAAAATATAGAAGATGATTTGCAGGAATTAAAAGTTGTTTCATTCGGAAATAATAAGGATTGGCCGGGTGCAGTGGCTCACGCCTCTAATCCCAGCACTTTGGGAGGCCGAGGCGGGTGGATCACGAAGTCAGGAGTTCAAGACCAGCCTGGCCAAGATGGTGAAACCCTGTCTCTACTAAAATTACAAAAAATTAGCCGGGTGTGGTAGTGGGTGCCTGTAATTCCAGCAGAGAATTGCTTGAACCCGGGAGGTGGAGGTTGCAGTGAGCTGAGATTGCACCACTGTGCTCCAGCCTGGGTGACAGTGTAAGACTCTGTCTCGATTAAAAAAAAAAAAATTAAGGATTATTGTGGACAGTATTGGCAGAGAGAAGAGTGTTCAACACCAGGAAAAAGAGGTTGGTGTTTTGTTGTTTCGTAGACATTTTCTGCGTATACTACCTTTGAATGTTTCTTATTGTGTGGTGTATGTGAGCTAGCAAAATATTCAATATTTGATGTCTTCTGTTATTTTGGATTCATTTATAAGAACTTTTCCTTCAGGGCATGTTTGTTTATGAGTGGCGTTTGGTGTATTTCTTGTGTTAACTTTGATTCTTTTTTAGTTGTGTTCGTGTGGTATTTGCATGCTCCATGAATCGTAAGAATTTCAGATAATCATAAGCACTAGAGAGAAAGTGAAACAGAGGGATTCCACAGAGAGTGATGGAGCCGGGGTAACACGTGACAGGGGACATTTTAAGTTGAGACGCAAGTATGAGGCCAAGTCAGGCAAATGGATACTGGGAACAAGAATGTTTCCTAAAAAGCCAGTGACAAACACCAAGACTCTGAGGCAGGAACAAGCCTGAAAAGACCATCAGATGCTTGAGAAGGTAGTTGGGGTGGAGAAGGAATAGCCTCAGGCTCACAGGAGGTTACTGTGAAGTCACCTAGAGGGAGCTATGGCAACTCTGAATGAGAATTCAGAACTGGGCATCTGAAAACACCAGATCCACTGAAGACTTCAACCTGAAAAAGGTAAAGTCTTTTGGTCATTTCCAGAAGGCAGTGGATTCCTAGATTTTTAACCAATCTGTGCTTTTGCTTTTAATGTGCCCGTTTTACTTCCAACGTTGCTTATATTTCCATAGCCAAAGCTTTACTGGCTGAGTTGTTGTAAGTTCCAGGGAAGGCGGGTGTGGGGGGATAAGTACTTTGCATGTGGTGACTTTCAAAGGATTTGACAGCAGAGACCTGGGTTTAAGTCTTGGTTTTGTCACTGACAAGCTGTAGGACTTTGAGCAAATAACTCAGCCTTACCAGGTCTCAGCCTGTGAAAAGGATAATCTCATCCACCCACTAGAGTTATCTCAAGGATCCATGGGAATAACATATATGTTAATAAAATGTTTATTTTCAATAATACTATGCATCATGCTATATTTGAAACCAAAGGGAGTTAAGCAGTAATATTTTTAGCAATTTGAAAAATCTAATTAAGGGCTCTCCTTAGGCAGTAGAGTAGAATTCATGTTAATTTTGTCATCGAGCCATTTCTTTTTACAAATCCTTAGTCTTCACCAAGTGGAGTGTTTTTTTTTTTTTGTAAACAAGAGGCAAGATTTTTCTCACTGAATTTGTGGATCAATGCTAGAGACAAAAGGGAAATCTCATTTCTCTACCACTGTTCAGGTCCAGAAGTACATTGTCAAGTTCTTTTTCTTTTTTTTTTGCCAAAATTTACTAGGATGTCTGTAGATTTTTTTTTTTTTTTTAAGACAGAGTCTTGCTCTGTTGCCCAGGCTGTAGTGCAATGGCGTGATCTTGGCTCACTGCAACCTCCACCTCCTGGGTTCAAGCAATTCTCTTACCTCAGCCTCCCTAGTAGCTGGGATTATAGGTGCCCACCACCACGCCCACTTAATTTTTGTATTTTTAGTAGAGATGGGGTTTCACCATGTTGGTCAGGCTGGTCTCTAACTCCTGACCTCAAATGATCTGCCCACCTCAGCCTCCCAAAATGCTGGGATTCCAGGCATGAGCCACCACACCCAGCTAAGATGGCTGTATATTTTGATTTTGATTATTGAAACTTTTCTTTGTCTTTGGCATTTCCCTTGAGAGTTTAATGAAAACATTGACTTTTGTGGATACTTTTGTGGAGGGCAGGAATGGGCCTGGAAGAAAGGTGGGGGTGATATCCCCTGGGAAAAGAAGCCCACCCATTGCATCTTCCCCTTGCTGTGGTTCAGCCCTGTATTAAACTGACCAGTGGACATGCTGCCCTTTCAGACTGGGCTGAAATTCCTTCCCTGCTCCCATCTGCCTGCCTCATCCTAACCTCTCTTTAAGCACCCAGCCCTGGTGCTTCCTTCTTCATGGAGCTTTTACGTGCTATTCCAACCCACATTGATGTCTCCCATCCTTGAATTCACTTCAGACCATCAGTCTCCCTTTCCTAGTTTAGTCCTATTTCGAGTAATATATTCTTTTTATTATTAGATGCTACCATTTTCAAGATGTGCCTTCATAGTAACAGTATATTTTCAGGGAGAAGAATGACACACTTCTGCATTATTAGCTAATGGAAAACACATGCTCAAATATAGTGATGTTAAAGAAACCAAGTGAGCAAAAGCAAGGTTATGTTTTTAATAAGAGAATGCCTTAATTGTGGATAAACCATCCCAGAAACTCTTTTATTTCGGTATTTTAAAAACACTTGGAGAACTCTTTCTTATATCCGGAAAGCACCACAAAAATCTGTCAGATGAAAAGTCTGTTCTGATCTGTGTGGTGCATTCCTGCCTAGATATGTAGTCATTTACTACTGTGTAGTATAATTTGAGTAGAGTGCAGTCCTCAACTAAGTTGTTAGACTACATTTTGTCCTTTTTCTGTAACTTCTGAGTAGTGTACTCTAAATTTGCTCTGTAGACCTGAGCTGAGGTGCAAAGTCTGTTTTTGTTAACCTGTGCACAATGGTATAAATATAGAAATTGAGACTTAGAATTTAGAAATGTAATAGTAATTGGCTGAGTGTGTAATCCTAGCTCCTTGGGAGACTGAGGTGGGAGGATCATTTGAGCCCAGGAGTTCAAGACTGATGTGGGCGACAGAGTGAGACCCTGTCTCTAAAAAAATAAGAAAAAGAATTTTTTTTTTTTTTTAAGGCAAGGTCTTACTCTGTCACCCAGGGTGTGTACACCACAATGCCCAGCTAATTAGAAAAAAAAAATATTTCATAGAGATGAGGTCTCACTAGGTTGCCCAGGCTAAGAAAAAGAAATGTAATTGCACAAGACAGTTGTCTATCTGTTGAGTTTAATAATTAAAAGTTGGGTCTTGTATTTTGTAGGGTGTGCTTGTGTTTTTTCTGGTCATTAATTTTTATTATCTTTTGATACTTTGGGAAATAAGAAACAGCTGGTCCTTTCTCACAACTAGTTTGAGAAGCAGTGCTCTAAAACAGTAGTTCTCAACCCTAGCTGAATATCATATCATTTAAATCACATAAACCAGATTTAATATCAATTAAATCAGAATCTTGGGGATATAGCATAGGCATCAGTATTAGTGTTATTCTTATTTTTAGTATAATTTTTAAGCTCCCCTGTGTATTGTAATGTGGGGTTCTGGTTAAGATCCCCTATACGGAGTACCTAATTTTGTTGAATCATATTGATTTCCATTGCAGAGAAAGTTCCAGGATGAGGCGTTTTCTTGTCCTGTTACCTGCTTAAGCTTTGTCTCCAAATGCTGTCCAAAGAGGGGATGGGCAGCCTCAAGAGGCAGTCACCACCTTATGTGCCTGGTCACCCTCCCCATGTGGCAGGTGCTGCATCCACATAATGACCAGCATATGGCCCTGACCTCCTGGAGCTTCCAGTCTAGTGAGGAGAGGGAGGCAGGCTGTAAACAATTAAACTCTTCACTATTTTGTCAATGATACTTGTGAACTGAATGGTGGGTAGGTGATCTGTCTTAGCCAGGGTGGTCTAAGACCTGGAGAATGAGAAAGCCAGAGATAGGATTGATGGAGAAAGGGCATTCTGGGCTGAGGGATGGTGGAAGCTACATCCTAGAAGTGGGCAGAGCTTGGAGTGTTGGATGAGGGTAGGTCTGGGGTAGAACAGTGGGAGCTGGGTTGGGAAGGGCAGCAGAGGCCGGGCCGCAGGGCCCTGAAGGCCGTGGTCAGGGTTTTGGATTTTGTTCTAAGGGCAGTGGCCATTCACTGGAGGGGTTTTAGCAGGAACCAAGTTTCCTGTCACCCAGTTTGATATATCAGAGGGTGGATGTCTCTTTGAAGATGTGGTAGGTGAGAAGGGGCCTGAGATTGTGTGACCTTATCACCCTTCTAATCCTGAGAGTCAAGCAGGCAAAACAGAAACTGACATAGGGTTGGTCATTCCAGGCCATTCTTGCCCTCATGGGCTCTCCTTGCTGCATATTTTGTGAAATATCAGCCATCAGGGTAGTGGTGTCTCATTACTGTCTGGAATTAGTTGGAAAGTTGAGAACTGAATCAAAAAGTTATGGCACAATCTTGACAGCTTCCTCAAAGATTAAGTAGTCTGTGCTCCTTTCTAATTTGCTAGATTTACATGGTTTTGAGGAAATTAGAATGATTTTCTTTCTTTCTTTTTTTTTTTTGAGAAAGAGTCTTGCTCTGTCACCCAGGCTGGAATGCAGTGGCACGATCTCGGCTCACTGCAACCTCCACCTTCTGGGTTCAAGCGATTCTCCTGCATCAGCCTCCCAAGAAACTGGGACTACAGGTGTGCACCACCACACCTGGCTAATTTTTGTATTTTTAGTAGAGACAGGGTTTCACCACATTGGCCAGGCTGGTTTTGACCTCCAGACCTCAGGTGATCCTCCCACCTCGGCCTCCCAAAATGCTGGGATTACAGGTGTGAGCCACTGCGCCTGGCCTAGAATTATTTTCTGTGCCTGATTTTAGGCAAATCGAAATAAGCACTTAGGAAGTTTGAGTAAATCAAGCTGACTGGCAAGGATAAAAACAAAACCTTTCAGAAAGTACCTTCTTTTCCCTCTGTCTTAGGGAAACTGATCTCTGGAGAAGGTGTGTGTACGTGCAGGCATGCGTGTATGTGCGTATGTGTGTGTTGCATTACATTTGATAAGAACATTTCATGAGTGCTCTTTGTGTGTCAGAAATTTCATTCTTATGCTGCCCTAGGAAGTAGGCATTGCTGTTATCCTGGTTTTTTAAATGAGGAAACTGAACTCTAGAGAGAAGTTACTTGCCCACAGTCACACCTGAGTTAGAAACGGCATCCAGGATACATACCCAGGACTCCTAGTCCAAGCTTCCACTTGCCACTCCTGTACTAATATTAAGACTTCAAGCTGTGGTGGCTTATGCCTGTAATCCCACCACTTTGGGAGGCCAAGGTGGGAGGATCGTTTGAGCCCAGGAGTTCAGAACCAGCCTGGGCACCATAGAGACCCTGTCTATACAAAAAATAAACAACATTGGCTGGGAGTGTTGGTGTGTGCCAGTAGTCCTAGTCCCAGCTGCTTGGGAGGCTGAGGTGGGGGGATTGCTTTAGCCTGCGAGGTTGAGGCTGCAGTGAGCCGAGATTGCGCCAGTGTACTCTAACTTGGGTGACAGAGTTATACCTCTCCCCACCACTCCCCCCAAAAAAGACTTTGAGCTGAGAACCCCTGCTGATTTTTACTGGATTGACCTTGGTGTTCTCATTCTAGCCATTTAGTGACACCTATGACCCTTTCATTCTATTCCTTTTGATCCTTAATTTCTGATTTTGTTAAAGCTCCTTAAGGCAATTTTCATTTTCTCTCTGCTTTCCTGGTAATGTTGGCAGGGTGATGCTGCTGATCTGGTCTGATTCCCAAGCTGGAGGTAATGGCGTGTGTCCTGCCCTAGTGCTGCTCCCTGATGGGGAGCATGCTCAGTTTCCTGCATTCAGGTACGAGCAGAGACTTGGCAGGATCCGCCCCGTTCAGAGTTGCAGGAAGAGCCCTGGATGCCTGTCGCAAATTGGAATAAGTGGGAGGGAGCCACAGGCTGGTACAGGTAAGAGAGCTCAAGCTCTGTCTTTTCACAGCTAAAACTTAGCCCTTCTGCTGTGATTCTTAGGAGGGCCAGGGGTGCTTCCTGCAGGAATGAATGACTTGTAGGAGCTTACTTTACATACGCAAGGGGCTGGGCTGTGGCTGCCTTCTCAAGTTCTCAAGTCCGTGTCTAGGGGCTGCTATCTTCCTGAATTGCTGCGAATTTTACTGCTAAGGAACCATCTTGGCTGAGTTTGTTTTCATTCTACTATATGAGGTTGGGCTTGCATTCAGACTGGGAGCAGTCTGTGGCTTCCCTCCTTGTCAGATACTTTGGAGGTGGGAGCAGTGTTCAGGAACCTGATTCTCTAGGCAGACACAATTGCGATGTGAGAGTTTTCTCTCTCCTACAGCTTTGCTTGTTTGTCTCCCTCGTATTTGTAAAGCAGTAAAATACCAACCTGTAAGATTATTGTTTAGTAAACATAAGCAAATCCAGACATTTATTCCCTACTATTGCTATATTTAGAAATGATCATTAATCCATATCAGAGAACTCTCACAAATATATGTTATTTTTGCATTCCTTAGCGTTTAATAAATATCATGGGGAAACATTAAGAAGTATGTTATCCTTTTGAGGAGACCAGTCTTGGTAGTTCTTTTTGTGTAGTGAAAATGATGTATTAAAAAAAATAATGAATTTTAAAACCTCGTAAGTATTTTCTGCAGCAAAATAAGGATGTACTTGTAAAAGTGCTAATTATTGGAACCCTGTGGGATAGCAGGCATTTGTGAGTTTTTAGGCATTCTGGGATGTATACATGCAAAATTGTGGAGGGTGCTGAGGAAATGAGAACAGTAGAATTAGTCTATACAAAATTTGCCTTTTTCGCAGAATCTGGGGATTGGACCAGAGCCCCGATATAACTTGAACAGAAGTTATTTGTGTATGTAGATAAATGATTTTCACCGTTCTGAAGCTTAACAGAAATATTTTCAATAGGGAAAAAACCTTGCCGTTGCAGTTCTTTATTTTCCACAGCGATAGCAAGCCACAAGTGAGAGAATGTTTTTAATTGAAATCACATAACTTCATCTCAGCCAACTTCCAATTGCTTCCCCTTTGCAGCGTTTTGCCAGAGTTTCAAACAAGACTGTACAAGAAAGGAAAAGAATGTGGTATTCACAGATACTAAAACATTGTAAAAACAACGCTCATATCTCCAGCCAATTTCGTCACCACGTGACTCTCACCCTTCCACCGAGGATGAACAGAAATGTCATCCATACACTTTCTCTGAGCTCCCAGTCTCTGGTCTGGGCCTGCATGGTGGATTCCTCATCATTGGAAAGACCACCCTGGGCTATTTTGCTCTTCCTTTTGTGTGGCGTCATCTTTTATTTTTTCCTTGTCTCTGGATTGTTTTGGTTAGAGAGGAATAGTCTTTATGTTGGGCTCTGCGTTGCAAGTAGTATAAATGCTCTTGAGCAAAAATAAAAAGAGGATGTTTACTGTAAGGGTATCTGAAGCATACCCAAGGTAAGGGTTATCCAGTGTAGGCCAGTTTTGGAAACACCCCGGGACTAAGACTTTGAACCTTATCAGGTTTTTCTGTAGGTATTTTTCATTTCCTGCTGAATGCGCTCTTACTTCATTCTTCTGTTCTCTCAAAATAGACTGATCTGCTTCCCAGAGCCTGGCTGTCCACACTCCTAGCATATACTTCTTCCTCTCAAGGGTTCATCCAGACTGAAGCTGGAATCTCTTAGTTCTGATTGTAAATACCAGGGAGAAGGATTCTCAATGGTTCATAATAGGTCAGATGTCTGCACCTGTGGCCAGCGTAATGGCGTTCTATGCGAAAATGATGGCTGAAAGTATGTCTTTTGTAACCTATAGGGGTAAGAAAATGGCTAGAAGACTGGGGAGACAGGGTATTCATCTGGTAACCTGGTGGTGTTCACCACAGTTGCCTTTTTGTGTTTCTTTGTGGGGCCTCTTACTAACTCCCTCTTCACGCCAATTTCAAGTTCATCAAAACCTAGTCAAATGGTGAGTATTTATATGTGTGGTGTTGGACAGACAGATATGGCTAAGTAATTCTGTACTAGTATATTATGATTAAGTGAACATTTATTGAGTGCTTACCATATACTAAGCCCTTTTTCAAGTCTAACACTAGGCAAATAATACATGACTCTTTTAATTTTTGCTCACACCTTTATCACCTCTTCCCAATTATAACACTGTGTTTTCTGTCTACCTCTTACACATCATGTTCATTGTAGTGAGTGAGAAGTTATCTTGAAGGTTGGTTAGTGATGTTGTGACTTTTACCTTTTATGTCCTGGGTGATGGATGGGATTTTTAAGAGTTAATGAGTCCAAGGATGCCTGACATAGGAAAGACACGATGTTGCGTGTGTCCTTGCAATAACGTGCAAAGCAAGACGATGGGTGTATACTGCCTATCTCTTGTCCCCAAGACAAATCCATTAGTGTAGAAAGCTCGTTTTTTTTTTTGGGTCCAGGTAATTGTAATCATGGGACACATGATAATGTAAAAGCTAATCTGAAATTCTTTTGGAACTTTGATTACTCCCTTTGATCTAAGTATGTAAGTGATTAACTGCAAGATATGTGAAAAATGTTCCTTTCCCCTCATCTTTGGAAGCAAGATCTGTATTTCTGTGGGTGCAATGCCATCTTAGCACTCTCACTTTGGACTTGACCAAGACTTCTATGGTATCTGAAAAATTAGTGCATCAGGAAGGGTTTATTTTAATTTGGGTTCCTTAATCCAGTTTTAACTTTATCCCCCTTTGAAAGTCCCATTCAGAATGTAAGCAAGTTAGCAGAAGTATATATGAAACTGTATTAGATATATCTTTGGGGCTCCATATGTATGGAGAATTAACATTGGCACCAAGGCCCTTGCTGCAAATTCATTTTTCCAGCATAAAACATGAGAATAGGTCATAGTTGTTCTTTCTGTTTTCAGCTCTCTTAATTTTATTCCCCTGGTATTGTTGTCTGTAGGGATTTTTATCCCAGTTATGTCACAAAAGGATGGTAGTGTTTTGCCATGGTGGCATTTCCATTATCTGTCAGCACCTCTGAAATGATCTCAGTTTTTTCTGAGGTTGACATTTCCTCCCCTGCCTTCCTGTGATCTGTTTTCATTTCTTGATAAGTCTGATTTCTTCAGCGGAATGGTCATAATGGGACATGTTATTAGTAAGAATTGTAAAGAGAAAATGGACCTGAGTAGTTATGAACTTCCTTCCTCTGATGACTCTTTTCCTGGAGCTGAATCCTCACATTTTACTTTTTCCACTGTGAATGTATTTTCTGTTTTGAAAGATATCCATTTAGAATATATTACTTAAAACACCTTTAGGCTGGGCGTGGTGGGTCACACCTGTAATACCAGCACTTTGGGAGACTGAGGTAGGAGGGTTGCTTGAGCCCAGGAGTTCCAGACCAGCCTGGGCAACATGGCGAAACCCGTCTCTACAAAAAAATTAGCTGAGCGTGGTGGTGGTGTGTGCCTGTAGTCCCAGCTGCCCAGGAGGCTGAGGTGGGAGGATCACCCGAGCCTGGGAAGTTGAGGCTTCAGTGAGGCAAGATTGTGCCACTGCACTTCAGCCTGGGCTGCAGAGTGAGACCCAAGTCTCAAAAAAAAATTTTTTTAAATTTTCTTTAATTATTTAAAAATATATTTACTTAAATTGACAAATAATAATTGTACATATTCATGGGGTACATATGATATTTTGAAAACATATAATGTATAGTGATCAGATCAGGGTAATTAGCATATCCATCTTCTCAAACATTTATCATTTCTTTATGTTGGGAATGTTCAATATTTTCCTTCTAGCTAGTTGAAACTATACAATATATTATTATTAACTATTACTTTGCCTTTGGTTGCTGTCATTTTCATTTGCTTTTCTATGTCAGTATATTTTGAAGGACTTTGTATACTAAGTGTTTCAAAATAATAGGAACTTTTGTGAAATGAGACATAGCAAATGAAGGAGCCATGAACTTACTCCTATTTTCTATACCTGTCAACAATTTGAATTTCAGGGTTCTTTTGTTTTGTTTTGTTGTTTTTCTTTATTTGTGTATATAATTTTTTTACACGTACATATGTACACATACAAATGAACAAGCCTGTGTGCATTTAATTTTTACAAGTAAATGCCTACTTTTTATGATGCCACACTAAACTCTTCCATATTACTGCCTTTCCCTAGGGTTTTGTAAAATAGTGCTTTATCTCCAAGCTACTACCCAGCCGCCTTTTATTTAAAGTGTTCAGTGGACCATTATTTGGGATGAATAAAAATTCGATGTTATGCCACAGAAAGGTAGGATTTTGGGGAGAAACAAATACAGGAAACAGGTGGAAATAGATACATTGAGAAGAATCCTTTTGAGCAGGGATTTTTGTAGAAAACATTAAACCAAATCGTATATCAAACTCTCTGGCTGGTGGTCAGTCTAATCACAAGCATTTATTCTTAAGTGTCCTACAGAGAGAAAAAGCTGTTTATGGCTGTATCTTGAGTTAAATATTTGGATTTGGACTGCAAGTTAATTTTAGGGAGAAAACATCTGTCTTTCTGAAAACAGTATGCCTTTAAAAGTGATCCCTGTGGTAGAATGTTGTTGAAATGCTTAAATGCTTTCCATTAAGTTTTTTTTTTCCCCCCTTTTCCTTTCTTTCTTTTTTTATTTTTTTTGGACAGGATTTTACTCTGTTGCTCAGGCTGGAGTGCGGTGGTGCTATCATAGCTCACTTCGGCCTCAACCTCCTGGGCTTAAGTGATCCTCCCACTTCAGCCTCCCTAGTAGCTGGGACTGCAGGGGTACACCACCATGCCTGGCTGAATTTTAAAAAAAAATTTTGTGGAGACAGGTTCTTTTTTGTTGTTGTTGTTGTTGTTTTTTAATTATACTTTAAGTCCTAGGGTACATGTGCACAACATGCAGGTTTGTTACATAGGGGTACATGTGCACAACATGCAGGTTTGTTACATAGGTATACATGTGCCATGTTGGTTTGCTGCACCCATTAACTCGTCATTTACATTAGGTATTTCTCCTAATGCTATTCCGCCCCTGCCCCCCACCCCACAGCAGGCCCCAGGGTGTGATGTTCCCCACCCTGTGTCCAAGTGTTCTCGTTGTTGAATTCCCACCTGTGAGTGAGAACATGCGGTGTTTGGTTTTCTGGGAGACAGGTTCTTGCTGTGTTTCCTCAGCTGGTCTGGAACTCCTGGGCTTAAGCTATCCTCCTGCCTTGGCCCCTCAAAGTGTTGGAATTAAAGTCCATTAATTTTCTAATGCAAAAGAGTGTGGTACATGTTTATTACAGAACTATTAGGAAGAGCTAACCCAAAAACTCACCTGTTTTTCCACCTATCAAATATAACCAGTTTTATTCTTTAGTGATGTACTAAATATAGTACAAATAAAAAAACAGTATAACAACTATTTACATAACATTTGTATTGTATTAGGTATTATAAGTAATCTAGAGATGATTTAAACTATACAGGAGGATGTGCATAGGTTTTATGCAAGTACTGTACCATTTTATATCAGAGATGTGAGCATCTGTGGATTTTTGGTATCCAAGGGGATCCTGGGAACCAATTTTTCTCGGATATGGAGGGGCAATTGTATTATTCTAGTTGTATTATGTGTAGGTGTATAAAATCAAAATTTATATTGAACAGTATACATTTTGTTACTTGAATATTCATTTCCTGTGAAATCATGAACAGGTTGCCATGTCAAAGAAAAGCCTCACCTGCTTTTACACTATCATTTTAAAGTTTTACTTAGTATTTCATTGTATGGATGTATACTGTCCATATTATTGTTGGGTATTTAGGTTGTTTCCAGTTTGTTTGTTTGTTTGTTTGTTTGAGACGGGGTCTCTGATGCCCTGCCTGGAGTGCAGTGGCACAATCATAGTTCACTGTAACTTCAAACTTATGGGCTCCAGCGATCCTCCTGCCCCAGCCTCCTGCATAGCTGGGACTACAAGTGTGAACCACCGTGTCCAGCCAGTTTTTCATGTTTTAAACAACTCTTTGTTGAATGTCCTTGTAGCTAAATCTTTGTCCACATGATTCGTAGTTTTCTTGGACAAGCTCCACAGATGTGATATTCCTGAGTCCAAGGTTTTGATAATTTCAAGTCGTTTTTTCTTCTTCCTAAACCACATATAACTAAATTGTCCTCGATTGATAACCTTCCTGTCAGCCATGGGCATGGTTGTACTTTTTTTTTTTTGTCGTGATTACTGCTGTTAGTGATAATAATAAAAATACTTATTATATACGCTGGTGGGTTTCAGTTTTGACTGGGACTTCAGTTTTCTTCCTTGTCTGAGTCCTGTTACTTATGCCTGAATTTAAAGTGAGTGGGAACATTGGCCTTTTGTCTATTGCCTATAGGGAGAAAAATACCGCAGTGGGTGGAGATTTTGGTCTGGCTGGGGGCTTCCCCATGTCAGCCAGGCTGTTAGGTACTATTGAGCTGGTCCTTGCAGCATCACTTCTTGAGGTTTACAGAGATGCAATGGTAGTGGGTCAGCCTGTATTCCTCTCCAAGCTGGGGGCAGGGGCGCTGAGTGAGTGTTTCCAACAAAGAACAACCTGGGTATCTATCTGCTTGTAGGCAGCTAAGGAATGCTGAATAATTAATAGCTTTCCAGGGAAATATTACTTGCTATAGTTGAATATTCTTTTGGATTTAATGCCAGCTATAGTTTGATGATTGAAAAGTCCCTTTGAGGAAAAAGTGTTTAGAAGCAAATATATTGATGGTACTGATAAATACTGTTTTTCAATGTTAAAATGGAGGGTAACTGACGTAAGTTTGGATGGGGCTTCATCATCTCAATGACTTTGATTTTAGCCATTACTGTGCACTTGGCACATGAAACTATAATGAATTTAGGTTAAGTTATTCCCTTTGATACAGAAAGCTGCCGGATAGATAGATGGTCATTGATCATATAAAGAGTCTTTGTAGGGATTTGGAAAGAAAAAATTAGATTATTGTTTGAAGACAAAGGTAGTGTCTACCATGCCTTGCCTTCTCGAATGAATTGTAGTACTTTTGAGAATTCTGGTCTCTGACCCTGAGGGTGGCAGTTTAATTTCTGAAACCTGAAGGTGTCACACAAACTCAGACCAGCAAATTGCCTGTATATTTCACATGTTGTGTTCCTTAATGCCCATGGTTAAGACATTGAGTGGAGAGAATAGGGGCTGGAGAAGAGGTGCTGAAGTTTTGAATGGGGGACTCTGTGTGTTGTACTAGCTGTGAACCCGTCTAGGGAACAAGTGCTGACACTGCCCACTTAGAAGAAGACACATTTGTTAAAGAAGTACAGTTGCCTTTATGTCTGGCATTTTAGTTAACCAGTAGCAAAATAAAGGACTGATGGATTTATTATCAGATTATGCCCAACCATGCACATATTGCCAAGTCCTCCATGAACATCACAGATATCTAAAATAAAAGAGACGTTTTTATTTGTTTTAATAAATAACATTAGCTAGCACCTCCGTTTCCAACCATTCAGTCCTGTTTGGAAATGCCACAGTGATGGGTGTGTGTTATTTTGAACTCATGTGAAGGTTCCATGACAACGGTAAACATTCATATTGCACATTTTCATAAGGCAGTGAATCTGGATGAGGCAAGTGGCCTCAGCCGGCAATAAAGATGTGTTATGAAATTTCCCATGCCAGAAGAGACACTCATAGCTGGGATTGGCCTTTTCAAAAGCAGTTGATGGTGATGAGTGATAACTCCCCTTTTAGTTTTGGCATCAGATGGAGTTTGTAGCTCATTGGCTTCATTGTGTTGCCTGGGTATCTCCTATTTAGACTTAATTGGATGGTTTGCACCACTGTCCTAGGTGGTTGCTAGTCTTTTCAAGGACTATCCTTACTGAATACTCTTGGTATTGTATTTCTCTTTTCTTACACGAATCCTCAATTACAACAACAAAGAAAATGCTAACATTTGACATCACTGGTAAACTAAGAATGCTTTAGATTAGGATTTCCATTTGCTGCCTTTCCAAATTTGATAATTTATATTTGGATATCCTTTTAGCATATTTTTGGTGGAATGGTTCACTTTATTATTATTTTTAAAAGATGGATGTGTCCTAGCTTTCACCAAGGAACAACTCAGTTTAGATGGAATGTTTTATAAATATGATGTAATGGAAATTGAACAGGATTTGGAGTCACAAGGGCCTGTGTTGGCATCTTAGTGCCATTATTTATTGTGTGACCTTGGGCAATCACATAGCCTTTCTGAACTTCCATTTTCTCACTAGTAGGTAGGGATGATATTATTGATTGTTATTTAGGGGTTGTGGCAGAAATTATGCTGTTCTTACAACTTTGAGATTCTTTCCATAGGGAGGCGGGTAGTGATGTCTCGTTCCTTCTTTTTGTATGGAGGGGTGGCCATGTGATTATGGTGGAGCAGTGCTGTGAGACTTCCAAGATAGGGTCATAAAAGGTGGTATAGCTTCTACCTGGTTCTTTTGGGACACTTGACTTTGGAAACCAGCTAGGAGGCTGCAGGGGAGCTCAAGGAGCCAAATGGTGAGGCCACATCCAAGTGTTCCAGGGGAGGTGAAACACACCTGAGGTTTCAGATGATTCTAGCCCTGGGCCATTGAGTTGCCTGCAGTCTTCCCAGTGTAAGATTCAGACATCAGGAAGCAGAGACAAGCATTTCAGCTGTGCTTTGTACAAATTCCTGACTCACAGAAATTGTGAAAGATAATAAAATGATTGTTGTTAGTTTAAGCCGTTATATTTTGGGATGATTTATTACGCAGCAGTAGATAATTGTAATAAAGAAATCATGAATTCAAATAGTAGTTCTTCTTCTAATTTTGCATACTGTCTTTACCACTTAGTAACTGTGTAACCTGGGGCAAAATTTGTAATTTCTTTGTGTCTGTTTTCTTAATTGTAAATGGGACTCGCGTAATTCCCTCTGGACTTCTGATGAGAATTAGTGATTTAATACTTGATACGCTCAATAAATGTTGCTTGTCATTATTTTCTATTAAACTATATTGTTGGATTTTTGAGAATGCATGAAGAAACTTAACGTTAATTGTGTTTTGATTTTTAAAGGCGTTATGTAAATTTTGTTTTGTGCTTTTCTCCAGGCAAGAAACCGGTTTGAATGTAATTTTCATGAAATGAAAAAAAAAAAGAAAAATGAATAGTAAATCTGATGTTAGTATCTGCCATTTATTTCACATTTTTTTTTCTGAGGTTGTATATGTCTGGGAACCTTTGGCTTTGCTTGGTAGAAAGAGGACTAATGACTCCAATTAGAGGACATCAGTAGAGAAGAAGGGATGAAGGATGGGAGATAGGAAAGAAATCTTATTTTCAGTAACTTATGTGCCAGAAACTGCACTGTAGCCTTTTACCAGTGTAGCCTTCTTAGATACTCTGAGAGAGATAATAAGAGAAGAATGGATTGTTACTTAATTTTTATCGTCCCTGAAATTGAGGTTGTTAGTGTCCTTCTCTGGTGTGTTACCTGGGGAAAGGAACAATGATTGCAGTTTTACTTTCAGGCTAAAAGCTACAAATCTGAGCTCACATTTCTGTTTGTTTCTGCCTCTGACCCTGGGTGGCTTTGTGACCTCTCTAAGCCTCAGTTTCTTCAGTTGTCAAATGGGTCTAATAGTGTTTCCTATTTCCTGTCATTGTTAAAGAAGAGCCCATGAGAATCTGTTTCCTAACCTAGCTTGGTCATAAGAATGATTGTAATGCATTTTTTAAAATAATGGGACCCATCCCAGAGCTACAGAATTAGAATTTCCAGGGATTCTGTGATTAAGTGCCCCAGGTAAGTCTTACTGTTAGGCTGATTTGGGAGACATTAAAACAATGTGTAAAGTTGAACAGTTAACACCTAATACATAAATGTTAGCTGCTGTTATAATTATACTTAACATTAATTTAATGTTTTAGGTAAGTTCTTTTATATACGTTCTTTAGATTTGCTTTGGTAGGTTTTGATAATTTCTAAAAAATAAACACAAGAATGCCTTGTATGCCACTTAATAAAATGTTGGTATGCCACTTAATAAAATCTGATTCTGCTATTATTATCTTAAACAAAATCTGATTCTGCTATTATTTTATGTCCATCAAAAAGTTATGCAAAGTTTTCTCTTTTTCTTTCCTCTCTGAAATATAGACGATCATAACTAAGTTAATGAGTTTCCTCCCAACCTTTCCTCTTGAAGCTTAGGAGGACCATGGATTGAGACATCTTTTTCTGTAACATAATTAAAGAAAAATAGCTTCACAGTTAGGGTCACTGAACCTTGAGGGAATTTGCCCATTGGCTGCCCATCAGGCTGTGATCAGAAGTTTTCGTGTTATGTGTTACATAATTAAGGATGGGGAATAGCTATTTCAGAGACTCTAATTAAAGACTGTGTTCTCTATATAATGAGTATCTATAATGAGTTTTCTGTATAAAGTATCTATTTAGAACAATATGGGAGGGGGTGTATCTCATTGTCCAGCATAATCCTATAATAACTGGTTACTTGTCACAAATTTGAATTGGAGCAACACGGGTATATATATATATATATATATATATATATATATATATATATATATATATATATATATTATACTTTAAGTTCTAGGGTACATTTGCACAATGTGCAGGTTTGTTACGTATGTATACATGTGCCATGTTGGTGTGCTGCACCCATTAACTCATCATTTACATTAGGTATATCTCCTAAAGCTATCCCTCCCCCTCCCCCCACCCCACAACAGGCCCCAGACAACAGGGGTTTGTATCCCAGTCTTCCAACACCTTAGGGCTATTGTCATGCATGTTGCTTGTCAAGTATTTTGCTGAATACTTTGGAGTATGGTTGCTTTTGTCACCCTTGGTTATATTGTGTATCACGTTGACTCCTGCAAAATAGTGGGGAAAAGTAACCTTGGTAATGTATAATTAACTTATGAAGTAGAAAATACTTCTGTCCCTTAATCTAACATTTTAGTTTGTTGGGGCTTATTGTGCTAGCAGCCCAGGCTTCTCTTCCCGTTGTGCTTTAAGGGTTTTATTGATGGTGCTTACCTAAGTCCTAGTTCAGTGATTGGTCAGTGATGGGTGGTAGCGCCTGGCATATTACCAGATTTGTAATAGGTGCTCAGTAAATGACTTCTTACCATTACAGTTATCTGTCTCATTCTTTAAAGAGCAAGTAGTTGTCCATGTTACAAACCCATTAGAATAGTTTTTTTCTTCTTGTTATTGGTTTCTTTCTTTCCTTTTTTTTTTTTTGTGTGTGTTTTTCTGTGACAGGGGCTCACTCAGTCGCCCAGGCTGAAGTGTAATGGCGCACTGCATCCTCTGCCTCCTGAGCTCAAGCTATCCTCCCACCTCAGCCTCCCAAGTAGCTAGGACTACAGGTGCATGCCACCGTGCCTGGCTAATTTTTGTAATTTTTGTAGAGATGGGGTTTTGCCGTGTTGCCCAGACTGGTCTTGAACTCCTGGCCTCAAGCAATCCTCCTGCCTGTCAGCCTTCACAAAGTGCTAGGATTAGAGGTGTGAACCACTGCCCAGGCTGGAATAGGTTTTGTTGTCTAAACAAACGAGGCGATACATTTTATTTTTGTTTTTCTTTCCAAGTTAATGTTTTGTGCTGTTCCAGCTGTCTATTGACAAGTACAATAGGAGGAGTTCAATCAATGTAGCTTATTGGGATAGTTCTAAAATTGGAATCTGGGTTGCCATTCCAGCTGTATGACTGGCCTTGGGCAAGATCCTTCAACCATAGTGGTTCTCAACTTGTACCTCTTATAAATGGATGGGCTGATATTTTGTGACTTGTTCAACTCCTGAGTTTTTGGCTATGTGAATCTGCTCGTTCTTTTAAAGAAGTGTTTGCGTTGGATGTGGTGTTAAAGTTGGAATGTTCTTGCAAGTCCTTTGGGAAATTTTGGTCCTTGGATCTGTGCTGGGCCTTGTTCAGACATGAAATGAGAAAAATATTGTTGAATTTTATAAAGCTTAATGTTTTGAAGTTGGATGCACAAGAACATGTTTCTGACCTCCTCGGTGTGTGTGTGTGCCTGTGTGTGAGTTGGGAAGGCATATGATGAGTTTTTTTGTTTGTTTGTTTTTTGTTTTGAGACGGAGTCTCGCTCTGTCGCCCAGGCTGAAGTGCAGTGGCGCTATCTCTGCTCACTGCAAGCTCCGCCTCCTGGGTTGACGCCATTCTCCTGCCTCAGCCTCCCGAGTAGCTGGGACTGCAGGCGCCCGCCACCACGCCCGGCTAATTTTTTTGTATTTTTAGTAGAGACGGGGTTTCACTGTGTTAGCCAGGATGGTCTCGATCTCCTGACCTCGTGATCCGTCCACTCGGCCTCCCAAAGTGCCGGGATTACAGGCGTGAGCCACCGCGACTGGCCGGCATATCATGAGTTTTTAATGTCATCTGGAGCTAAAAACTGGTTGCCCACTTTTATTTTTTTCTGTGAACAGCATGAGGTAGACATTAAGATAACAATCTGTTGAAAGGCACAAAGCTTGCTTGTGTGCTTTGGCTTTTATAAGGAACACTGCAGTGACCATCTTCATACATGTGGCAGCATCCTCATGCTTCTCTGTTGTGAACACATACCAATACATTTCTGTATATACCAGTACATTCTGCTTATCTTTTTGGTGTTGGCTCAGGTGGCTCCCCCTCCAGGAAGCCTTACCTGACAACCCCCCATGCCCCCATACTATGAGTGTAAATTTTCTCAATATAGTAGCTCTCAATAGATGGTAACTGACATTATTATTTTCCTTATTAGTACAGATTCTTTCACTGTTGTGTTACTTACTGTTATGTTAAGGCCTCCCAAGTTAAACTCCTGTGTTGCACTGACTTTGGAATGCAGACTACTGTTTCTGGCAGCAGCTTTTAGGCGAGTATTTCTCCCCTGCCTCACAGATGTTCAAAAGTTGGTTGGCATGAGCTTAGAATTTTTTGAACGTCACCAGTGGTATTCAAGAATAGTCATTACTATGACTCATGATGTAGCTGAATAGAGGAGAGAACAGAGAATCATGACTCTGTACTGAAAATGTTGAGTGTGTCGCTAAGCCCAGAAGAGAAAAGTCTGTGCAGATACAAAATATGTAGCAGCAACTGGTCTTCTAAAAAGACAGAAACAGAAGGGGTTCTTGCCTTTTTAAAGTGATGGATCTTTCCCATCTCCTTGCCCACATTCTCTCCTACATATCAGATGATTACTTTCTTTGCTTATTTAATTCAGCCATCTCACTCTGACCCATGGACATTATATCAGCCAGGTCAACTGAAGGATCACTCTGGATTAGTGTGGTGGTTTCAGTCTTTTAGAGGCTATGCTTCAGAAAGTTTCACAGATGCTTACTTAATATTAGTTGTACTTTTAGCGTCTCTTGGTTTTGGAAAACTGCTATGAATCTGATAATGAATAGTACTAGCCTATAGAGGTCATTATACATTATATCTTTGTAATATTATATTTGTTACATATGTATACATACACACATATATAAATATATACATAAACATACACACATATATGGCATCTGTATATTATAGAAAATACTTTTACTCACATTTTTTTAGCGCACAGATAATTTCTGGTGTACCTGTAGAATCCCAAACCCCTTGGAATAACCATTTTCCATCTGTCAGATTTTGTGGTTCATAGTTTTTGGGAGCATTGAATTGGAAGGTCTTGGGCATCCTGGCCAGTCTTCTGGCTTTTTTCTTTTTTTTAGAAAGGAGAAATTAAAGCTTTTAGTTCTTTAAACTCAGTATTTCATTTTTGAGTGTTTAAAAAAAATCTTAAAGATTCTTAAATGTGTATGTACTTGTGTATATGTGTGTGTTTAAGACTTGTGAATCCAGTTGCTAGTTTTAATTCTAAATCTCCTTTCATTTCTAATGTCATTAAAAATTTTATCCCATTTACTACTTGTATAATTTTATTTTCTTAACATCTGCCAGTGGTAACTTGCAATGTATTCCAACATGTTTTTCTTCTTAACGTAGCCTCATAGGAATTCTTTTGGACATAAAGGTTTATAATGGGCCTCTTGAATACTTTGGTTGCCAATGCTAGACATATACTAATTCCCTGCTCAGTACTTCCCTTGGCTCTGACTCTGAAGATGAAAGACATAGTCTTCCTTTCTCAACCTCTCCTTGACTATTCTTGTGCTTTTGTAAAGTTATTGAGATGGGTTCTGATGCTTCATATGGCTTCTTAGATTTTAAGTCCTGTCACCATTAGGAAAAATCTGTTCTAGGAATGTTTGAAGTTCAGGGCCTTCACACACAATTATGTAGCAGCTTTCTTACCATCAGGTTGGATAGTGGGAATTGTTTTCACAGTAGAGAGAAGGTAATTTCGCTAATCAACTGGGCACCTTTTATAAAGATTGGGTTTTGCTGATCTCAAAAAATCTTAGTTTGGTGATAGGTTCTTTATGAAACACAGAATATACCATATTGAACTAATATCAACTTGAATGATACAGTCAGTTATTGAGAGTGTAATATACAGGTTCTAATAGTTGCTAACGATGAATATGATGTTAATGTTTGTTTTATGTGCATGATCATTTAGGATACTGTATCTATGCTGTTCTCTTGTGTGGAAATAAATTCAATGAATAATAGGTCACTCAGTAAGTGAGATAATGGGCAATGTACCATATCCTCATGTGGTCTTGAAAGCTTTAAGACATTGATCGAAGCTCAAAGATGAACTGACTTACTATCCAAATTGAAAACACTGTGCCTTAGATAATAGTGGTGTCCTATGATTGTGAGCTTATTAACGTCCTAACCAGACATAGAATTTTTATTTTTCTGTCTCTTTAGTTTTTCATGAGTTTTATGTTTACTGTCTCTGTCTAAGAGAAATTGTGGTATTTGGTAAAGGTAAGGAAGTTAAAGAAATAGATACAGGTTTTATGGTATGTTATAGTTTTTTTTAATGCACAGTAGAAGTTACAGGTTTATGAATTTACATCCCAGAATTCAGAAGGCTGTGGTTTTATTTGTAGATAGAAATCTTATTTCCCCCTCTTGCCCCTGCCCTTTTTTTTTTTTTTTTCTGGTATCAGTCTGCTGTACAGAGTTCTAATATGTGCTTTATTTTTGTAGTTTTTGTGTATTACTAAAGTAATACATGTTTGTGGCAAAAATTCAAATAAAACACAGGAATATAAAGTAGAAAACTAAATTTTTCCTGTTATCTCCTTCTGTTCTCAACCTAAAATTCTAATCCTCCAGAGGCAACCAGTTTGGGATATATTTTTTCAATTTTTCTATACAGATAAAAATATGCATATGATCTTTGGAATCTTTTTTTGAGATGGCATACATACTTATTTTACTCATGTCTGAGAATCTTGGTTTCAACTTAGACTATTCTTAATCAGTATTTTATATTTATTTTAAGTGCACCTTGTATTTTATGAGTTTGCACAGAAGCCTTTGACATTAACTAGGTACTTTATTTTCTTAAATTATTAAGAAATGACAGTGGTGTATACCCATTCTGAAATGTTTTTTGGAGAAGAGATGTGTAGGATCAGGTAGGAGAAATTAATAGTTTACTGGTTCAATACTGGTTATTTTGTTCAAGCTTTCTGTGTATCAGCCAACATATAGGTTTGGCTGCATTAGCAGTTACCTCAAATCACAGTGGCTTCAATATAGTAGAAGTTCATTTCTACCTTATGTAACGGTCTAGCCATGTAACAGTCCTACGCTACTGTGATTCTGCAAGGTTGGGGACTGAGATTCTGTCTCATATATTGCTCTGTCATTATAGAGATATTGTCCTCCTGTGCATTCTGGCTAGTGAGACGGAGACAAGAGGAGAGCAGGTCTCTTCTCTTCACAGACACGGCTTGGAAATGACACACTGTGCTTCTGCTCACATCTCATAAGCCAGACCTTGCTCGTGTGGCCATAACTAGCTGCAACAAAAGCCTTTAATGAGGGCAGCCATATGCTCAACTGAGAGTTTGGAGGAAGGGGAGAATGTATTTTTGGAGGTAACTCAGTCTTTGCTGAAGATCATGCCTTTATTATTTTTTTAAAAAGAGAATCTTGAGACACGCTTATTTGAGATTAAATGAAAAATCCCTTTGATGTACCAAATGAAAAAAAATTGCTATTTAGAATATTTTCTTGTCCTCATCCATTTATGCAGTTTGACTGTCAAAAAATACAACATATAATCTTGCTAATAATAGGACATTTACATATGAACTTTCTGTGCAGAATTGGTGTGAAACAGTATCTTATTAGGTAATAAAACTATGCAAAATAGGGAGATACGGAATATAAGAGCCTATTTCTCAATGGAATGAAAGGTTGGCCCATTACAGTTCTAAACTTAAGTATATAGCACATTATTCTTTGTAAGGTGATTTTTGCTTTCAGTTATACTTGTTTGCATAGTTAGATAATATAGATAAATAAAACTGTAACATCTCCGCTCAGAGATAACCACCATTCAATATTTGATTTTTAAATAGTATTATGTAGTATGAGTGTATATGTGTGTATGCATGTATACACATGCAGACAGATGCCACCTATAAGCACATGAGCATTTATTGTATAAATTATAACCATTTCGTACTGTGTTAGTTCGTTCTCACGCTGCTAGTACACACATACCTGAGACTGGGTAATTTATAAAGGAAAAAGGTTTAATGGACTTACAGTTCCACATGGGTGGGGAGGCCTCATAATCATGGTGGAAGGTGAAGGAGGAGCAAAGTCAAGTCTTACATGGTGGCAGGCAAGAGAGCGTGTGCAGGGGAACTGCCCTTTATAAAACCGTCAGATCTCATGATACTTATTCACTATCATGAGAATAGCATGGGTAAAACCCACCCCCATGATTAAGGTACCTCCCACTGGGTCCCTCCATGACATGTAAGGATTAAGGAAGCTACAATTCCAGATGTGATTTGAGTGGGGACACAGCCAAACCATATCACACACTCTGAGTTTTGTTTTTCCCCCTCATTATACTTGATAGGGAATAACGTTCACAATATATGTGAAAACTATTTTTTTTTTTTTTGAGACAGAGTTTTGCTCTTCTTGCCCAAGCTGGAGTGCAGTGGCACAATCTCAGCTCACTGCAACTTCTGCCTCCTGGGTTCAAGTGATTCTCCTGGCTTAGCCTCCCAAGTAGCTGGGATTACAGATGCGCACCACCACACCGGGCTAATTTGTGTTTTTGGTAGAAATGGGGTTTCACTGTGTTAGCCAGGCTGGTCTTGAACTCTTGACCTCAGGTGATCTGCCCACCTCGGCCTCCCAAATTGTTGGGATTACAGATGTGAGCTGCTGCGCCCGACCTGAAAACGTTTTTTCATCCAGGTATCTATTTTATGACTGTTTTGTAATTTATTTTATATGTGATTTTTTTGTTGAATATTTAGGTTGTTTCTGAAGTGCTTTCATAAACAATGATGTGATGAACAATTTTTGTGCATACAGCCTTATATATCTCTCTGAATATTTCCTTGAGACAAATATTACATGTGGAATTACTTGGTTTTAGATCTTTAGGTTTTGGTACATATCATGCTAATACAAATTTTCTTATACTCTCTCCAATCCTTAAATCTCTGTTCCTCTAACAGAAAACCAAATTCCATGTGCTCTCATTTATAAGTGGGAACTAACGTTGAACAGCAGACACTGGGCCTCCCAAAGTGGGGATGGAGAGATGGAGGAAGGGGTTGAAAAATGCCTGGTGGGATTGTGTTCATTACCTGGGTGACAGGATCATTGGAAGCCCAAACCCCAGCATCATGCAATATACCCATGTAACTAACCTGCACATGTACCCCCTGAATCTTAAAAAAAAAGAAAAAAGAAAAGAAAATCTTTGTTCATTTGATAGCAAAATTAGTTGTTTAATAGCTCAGTATTTTAGTAGTTAGAAAATGGATTCAAGTTGTCTTAAATGTATTCTTCCTTAATTTTATCTCACATTTTGATGCCATGCTTTTTGTATTTAAGGGAAGTACTTTTTGGCCATTGTTCACCTATCTTGTGTGTTTCTAGATGGGAGCTTGGTCAAGTTCTCCCTTCGTTCTTCCACCCCATGTGGTACAATTTTTCCTTGTGTATCAGTAATGAGTCTGCACTTGGATACCTCATGCACAGTATCGCTATGTGCTATATGCACAGTGTCACTAGTTCCTTGTTGTATCTAAGAAAAGGCAGCACATGGCAGGGTGGAGAGAGTTGGTAGGCTTTATTCGGACGTGTTTTTCTTTCTGTTACATTGTGAATTCAGGAATCTAATTAGTTGACCATCACCTTGAAATCCCTTTAATAAAACCTGTGGTTGGTTTCTTCTACTCTCTGTTTATCTTGCTCTTTTCATTCTTGTTCTTTTCCCTTTAAGATAAGTGTATTCTGTCTTGCTTTTCTGCTAGAGTCTCATTTCATTTTCCTTCTTTCTGATTTTTTTTAAAAGCCTTTTAGGGAATGATTCAGAAAGAATTCTTTTCTTTTTTCTTTTTGGTAGACTGGGGAATTAAGACTGAAAAGTTTATTTCTTTCGATGAACAGGAAATGTTCTGGCTCCAGTAGTTTATTCGGGGGAGTGACATTTTGCAAAACGCCCACAGGCAATTCATGTGTACACAAAACCTAAGATAAACAGTTGTTACTGCTGCAGCCATTGTTTCTCCCTCTGTCTGAGGGCAAGAGACAGGGAAAATCAGACTGAGGAGAGGGTTAGAACAGTGGGAAATGCAGTGGCAATTCAGGAAGGTGTCATTTGTCTCACAACTGGATAGTCTGATGCCAGTGTTTAAAGCAACACTTCTTTTTCATAGAATATCTTCTGAAACTTGTGAATATTAATAATTCAGTAAAGGACACATTCCATGTAAACTGGGTGGTCTTCCAGAAGTAGAATCTCATAGCAAATTGCCAGTTTCTGTACAATTCCAGAGCTAAGTCTTTGTTATAATTGTTGTGAAGAATTGTTTGTCTAGCAAGTATTAAATTCTTCCTTACTGTGACCCACCCTGTTTATAAAATATATATTCTTGTTTATTCTTGAGGGTTGCGTTTCAGAATTATTTGATTTTACTTCTTTTAGACTGGAATTTGCTAGTACAACTTCTGTGGAGGAGGGTTTTGTGAAATATTTTTTTCAACTTGTTTAGGTAACACAAAATCCAACTTCAATAACTGTTGTGTAGTAAAATGCCTGAATCCTTTTTTATGCCATTTGCTAATATTTTGGGCTCATTTCGAACATATGCTTTTAAACTGTACTCTTCACTTGAGTGGCTGTGGTATTGCCAGACCTGTGACGTTTTACTACAGCTTGAGCCACGAAATGACTGGAATGTTAAAAGAAACTGGGGAGATAAATGGGTGTATAAATTGTTGATGTAGGCCACTGGTTAGGGGCAGCTAAGATACCTGACTGCTTGTTTGTGAGGTCAACTTGTCCTTTCTCTTCCCTTTTCCCTTTTCTTTCCTTTCTTTTTTCCTTTTTTTTTTTTTTTTTGAGACAGGGTCTTGCTCTGTTGCCCAGGCTGAAATGCAGTTGCGTGATCATGGCTCACTGCAGCCTCAACCTCCTGGGCTCAAGTGATCCTCCCACCTCAGCCTCCCAAGTAGCTGAGACTACAGGTGCACACCACCATGCCTGGCTAATTTTTTCTGATATTCTGTAGAGATGGGGTTTCACCATGTTGCCCAGGCTGATCTTGATCACCTGAGCTCAAGCCATCTGCCTGCCTCAGCTTCCCAAAGTGCAGGGATTACAGATGTGAGCCACTGTGCCTGGTCAACTTGTGCATTTTTGGCGTGCACATTTTCTTTTCTGATTTATTCTCTTCTTTTTCCTTTCTTTCTCTCTCTTGCCTCCTCCTTTTTTCCCCCCAGTTGAGGAATGTCTCCCTTAGTCTTAATGGGATGGTCAACCGAGGTTCCCTGCCATCCTGTAGATGGGAAAACATGTAACTTAAGCTCTGTCAATCAGACATACTCTTCCTGAATTTGAGTATGGAACTGAGTGATATAAAAACTATTCACCCAGAGGTGAACAGAAGAGATTGCTAGTTCCTGCCTCCTAGGTCTTTAGAGTTATTTTGATTTCCTACCTTCCTAAGGCGATTTCTTCAGCTTTGTCTTTTGTGTCCATGTAGTAAACAGCTTTTTCTTCTTTAAGTTAGGCAGAGTTGGTTTCTGTTACTAACTGAAGAAGCCTGTCTGAAAGGTACATCTTAGAGTGATCCCAAGGAGCCTCACAAAGGGTGTTTCCCAAGAAACTCACATCAACCCACCTCACAGAGAATGATACAGAGATCAAAATGACTGCTTATGAATTTACAGAAAGAAAACCAACTTTCTTTGGATAGAATGTTTATTGTTGCATTTTAATGCATTTCTCCCTGTTGGCAAACCTCAGAGGGGAAGTCAGGAGTTTCCTAAACTGAAGGTTGCTTGGGGAATAGGAAGTGTTGTCATTTGATCTGTGATAGAACTTGATCTCCTCTTGACAGGCCTTGGATGGGCACTGCCTAGCTAGGGCCGTTTCCTCTACTGGCTTTCCAGAGGCTCTTATGCCTTTTTGACCACAACCTACTTAGATGAAGAAAGGAATTTAAGGGCTTCCTCTCCTATTCAGCCCAGTTGCTAAAAAAAAGTGCTTGGATGAACACTAGGAGCTGAATCCCCCTCCCATAGACTTGAGAACACATTCCTGTACACCTAGACGTTCTTAAGACAAAATAAAAATCATTTGATGAGCTTACAAATGTGTGATGAGCTTATTATACTCATATGGAAGTCCTAACTTTTTTTTTTTTTGAGGAAGGGGTCTGGCTCTGTCACCCAAGCTGGAGTAGAGTGGTGAGATCATGGCTCACTACAGCCTCCAACGCCTGGGCACAAGTGATGCCCCTGCCTCAGCCTCCTGAGTATCTGGGACTATAGGCACACACCACCATGCCCAGCTAATTACAAAAAATTTTTTAGAGATGGGGTCTTGCCACCCTGCCCAGCCTAGTCTTGGACTCCTGGCCTCGAGTGATCCTCCTGCCTTGGCCCCCCAAAGTGCTGGGATTACAGGTGTGAGCCACTGCACTTGGCTTTGTCAAGAGATTTAGATCCATCATTTATGCATTGATCAGATATTTATTATCTGTTTCCTAATACCAGGTACTCTCTTATCTAAGAGTATTGGGTGTTTAGCAGTGAACAAGTCCCAGTGCTTGCCTTTCTTAATCTCAGGGTGCAGAAGAGTTAAAATCAGATGCCAGAGTGGCTCATTTCTGTAATCCCAGCACTTTGGGAGGCTGAGGCAGGTGGATCGCTTGAGCTCAGGAGTTCAAGACCAGCCTAGGCAACATGGAGAAACCCTGTATCTACAAAAAATACTAAAATTAGGTAGCCCCAGCTAGTTGGGAGTCTGAGGCGGGAAGATCGCTTGAGCCCGGGAGGCAGAGGTGGCAGCATGCCACTGCACTCCAGCCTGGGTGACAGAGGGAGACCCTGTTACATACACACACACACACACACACACACACGCCAGAGATATTTTATTTCCCATGAAAATGCGGAAGAGGACGAAAGTGATGAGATATTGCTGAGATGTGTCCCAGGCCAACAGTAGTATCTTTCTCTTTTCTTTAATTCAGGAGGTTACAACTAGTTTTTTGGATTTTACTCTCAGTGCAGTGGAACTAAGTGAATAAAACTTAAAAGTGTTTCTTCCCTGCCTTTGCTGCTGTGATGGGCTAGTGAGGATGTTCTCCCGGTGGAATCTAGTTGTCAGCCGTTTATTATCTCCTCAAGTTTGAAGCGTGGAATGCTACTTTTATGACATGGCCATTTCATATGCTGATTCTCCCACCTCATCTGTCATAAAGATATTTGTTTTGGGACCAGTCAGCAGTATTTCTTGTTCATAATTGTCCTGCCAACATATAGCTCTCCTTTGGTGATACCATTTCCAAATCCCTGATGTTTTGGCTGAATTGTGACACATGGAGTCCTTCCTGACAGGGGATATGAGATGTTGTATATATACCATTTAGCCCACAGTGACATGCGCTAAGGGTCACTGATTTTGGCTACTACTGTGATGATGACAGCAGCCATCACTGCCAGCACTACTGTTACTACTGTTATCATTACTACTGTGTGGGTTTTTACAGGAATTTTCTTCCAAGGCTATTTTTTTTTTTCTTTCTTGAGACAGGGTCTTGCTCTGTCACCCAGGTTGGAGTGCAGTGGTGCAATCTCAGCTTAATGCAACTTCTACCTCTGAGGCTCAAGCAGTCCTCCTGCCTTAGCCTTCTGAGTAGCTGGGACTACAGGTGTGTGCCACCATACCCAGCTAATTTTTATATTTTTAGTAGAGACTGGGTTTCATCATGTTGCCCAGGCTGGTCTTGAACTCCTGCTTCGGCCTCCCAAAGTGCTGGGATTACAGGCGTGAGCCACTGAGCCCAACTTTTTAATCACACAGATTCTAGTAGCTGATGCCATGTGTCTGTTAGGGATGACAAGGGCAGGAACTACAAGGGGAGAGGAGAGACTGTAATAGGTAATTAGAGAATGGGCTTCAGAGTTCATCAGACAGACCCAGTTCAGCCCACTTATCAGCTGTGTGACTTGAGACAAATTTGTGATTCTTTCTAAGGTTGGTTTCCTAGTCTGTAAAGTGGGAATAATAATAATAACCATCATGAAATGATAATGCTACCATTTTGCTCCTTTCTATGTACCAGGTATTGTACCTAGACTATCAACTTCAAACCTTATAACTCTAAATTGAGTTGTAGAACTCATGATTATTCCCAGTTTACAGATGATTCTGAGCACAGAGAGGTTAAGAACTTTGCCTGAGAACACACAGCCAGCACATAGTAGAGCTGGGATTATGTCACAGGTGGTCAGGTTGCCCAAGGTTGTTATAATATGTGAAGCTTTAAGCATGATGTCTCCTAGGTAACATTTATTCCAAGTGTAATAACATGATCATAAGGTAGGCTTTAATTGTTAAAGAGACCTGTTTCTTCCCTTAATCGCCTGACTTCTCTCTGCTTGGAACCTTTACTCCCATATTCAGATTCTGCCTACTGTGGTGGATTGGGGCCAGGTCTTCCACTGTCCTTAGCAATGCAAAATGATTGCCGAAAACAGGGGGCTTAATGGTGGACCCTGGGACTCCCAGCGAACTTAAATGCTTCTCTTTGCTCTCCGCTTCCACCTTAATGTCTAGCTTTGTATCAACAAGTTGAGAAATTTTCGGCCGAGTCTGGTGCATTGATGAGCTGAGTCACTCCCAATTAGGCTGTGGGCCTGCCTGGTGGGGATACTCTTGTTTACCAATGAGCACAAGTCTTTTTGGTGGTTGTTTTTCAAACGTGGATTGATGGTATGGAAGCCATTCTAAAGTGAGGCTTGTATTGACTTTGATCACTGCAACCCCCAGCAGGAGCTCAGGCAGCAGGGGCAGGTGAAAGGAAGTCAGGCGGGCTGAATGATGTGGAGGAAGGCCTTGGAGAAGGAAACTGCCCACTGCAGAAAACCATACTCACCTCTGCTCTTTCCCCTACCTATACCTGTTTCGTAGATAAATTGGAGGCAGCTTCTGGTTGGAGATGGTCGTTAAATCAGTCCAGGCAGCCTTCCTTTGAGCTGTGATCAGGAGCAGGGCCCTGGGCTATTTGTAACCAGCAGACAGCATTGAAGCAAAGTGTAATATTTAAACTGCCACAAACGAAATATGCATTCATGGTGGGAAACATATCCATTTTGTCACTGGTGTGCTTTATCTTTTACTTTTATTTCTTCCTTCTAATATTGGGGTATAATAAACACTTATTCGAGGATGGTAGAGAATAATAATTTATTTTTTCTTTATTTTGGCAAATAAAAAAATAAGTCTGCGTTCTTTTTTTTTTTTTTTTTTGAGACTGAGTCTCGCTCTGTTGTCCAGGCTGGAGTGCAATAGCGCAATCTTGGCTCACTGCAACCTCTGCTTCCCAGGTTCAAGCAATTCGCCTACTTCAGCCTCCCAAGTAGCTGGGATTACAGGCACCCACCACCATGCCTGGCTAATTTTTGTATTTCTGTCGAGACGAGGTTTCACCATATTGGCCAGGCTGGTCTTGAACACCTGATATCAGGTGATCTGCCCGCCTTGGCCTCCCAAAGTGATGGGATTACAGGCGTGAGCCACCGTGCCCGGCCAAGTCTGCATTCTTATATCCAACTTTTGACTTGAAGCCTGGAAACCGTGTTAGGTGAGGTTTTGCCAAAGCCCAGTGTGGTTTTGTGATGTCCGTGTTCCTGTGTTTTTTTTCCTTTTTTTTTTGAGACAGAACCTCACTCTGTCACGTAGGCTGGAGTGCAGTGGTGTGATGATGACTTACTGCAGTTTCCAACTCCTCGGCACAGGTGATCCTCCTGCCTAAGCCTCCTGAGAAGCTGGTGTCACAGGTGTGCGCCACTGTGCCTGACTAATTTTTTAAAACACTTTTTGTAGAGACAGTGTCTCACCATATTGCCCAGGCTGGTCTCAAAGTCCTGGGCTCAAGCAGTCCTCCTACCTTGACTTCCCAAAGTGCTGGAATTACAGACATGAGCCACATGCCTGGCCCCATGTTCCTGTTTTGTTATGGGGTGTTCTGTTCTCATAGATGATCAGGTTCTTTTCCAGTGATCAGAAAGCTTTTGAGTTTGTCTCTACAAAAATACAAAAATTAGCCAGGCATGATGGTGGGTGTCTGTAATCCCAGCCACTTGGGAGGCTTAGGCAGGAGAATTGCTTGAACCTGGGAATCAGTTAAACTAAAATACAGGTGACTGTTTTGGTAGGAAAATATTTTCCCACCTTCTTCTTACCTTACTGATTTCATGTCTGAGAGCTAAGACACTTTCTCCAAGTGTCTTAGAGGCATGCTGTCTTCTTCTGGATTCAAATTGAGGTCATCTCTGGGGAACCTCTCTACGTGGATACAAGTGGAGAAAAACACATTAAAATATCTGTGGGTGTTTGAGAGCTGCTCACATTTTCAGGGAGGCTGCCAACATTTATGTTTGTGCCCTAAGTATTGTATAAGTCCATGCCCTGAGATGTTACTCATCCCAGTTTCGTGTTTGTTGGTAAAGAGGGAGTTGTACCTTGTAGAGTTTCATTTCTTCTCTCCCATACATTGACTCATATTGGTGATTATGTCAAAAACTACTTAATTTGTATAAAGGCATCTCCAACAGCAGTTTATATAAATCCCATATGGGAAAAGGTCCCATAAGTTGGACCACAGAGTATGTTGATCACAGCCTGGAATTTGGACTCACACTTGCATTTGAGTCCCAGCTTAAACTTGGATAAGGTTTTTGTTTTGTGTTAATTTAATTTTTACTTAAAAATTAGAGCATAGGCCAGGCGCAGTGGCTCATGCCTGTAATCCCAGCACTTTGGGAGGCCGAGGCGGGCGGATCATGAGGTCAGGAGATTGAGACCATCCTGGCTAACATGGTGAAACCCCGTCTCTACTAAAAATACAAAAAATTAGCTGGGCGTGGTGGCAGGTGCCTGTAGTCCCAGCTAATCGGGAGGCTGAGGCAGGAGAATGGCATGAACCTGGGAAGCGGAGCTTGCAGTGAGCTGAGATTGGGCCACTGCACTCCATCCTGGGCGACAGAGCAAGACTCTGTCTCAAAAAAAAAAAAAAAAGCATGATACATGCAGATAATCTTAAGAAATTCAAAAGTACTTTAAGATTTATCACAAAAACATTAATCTTTAATATCACTGCTGCCCATTCTTCAGTGTGACATCACAGAGGGCACCACCTTTAACTCTGTAAGCTGTTCCTTCTGGCATTTCCCTCTATATTTAGAAATGATATGTTCATATTTATATTTATTGTGATTTCAATTTTAGGTATTATCTATTGTTATTTTCTGTTATCCCTGGTAAAGAAGTTGAGGATTTAATTTTGTTTTACTCCGTAAAACCCACACTTTTTTCCCGTCTACCTTATTCCTAACTACATAGTAGTATCAGTACATCAGCATTTCTCAGCTGAGCCACATAGGACACTATAATTATATTGCCTTTTTTGGGGGGGGTGGTGAGTGGGTTAGGAGATGGATTCTTACCATATTGCCCAGGCTGGAGTGCAGTGGCTGTTCACAGGCGTGATCGTAGCACACTGTAGCATTGAACTCCTGGGCCCAAGTGATCCTCTTGCATCAGCCTCCTGAGTAGCTGGGACCACAGACATGTGCCACTGTACCCAGCTGTATTGCTTTTTTATGACGTGAATAAAATGCTTTGCTTTTTTTTTTTTTGCTTAATTTTCTTCATCCTCATCTCTAATTCTTCCCTAAACTCTCCAGCAAAACTGAAAAACCCTCACAGCAGAACTGAAAAACCCTCACAGCATAGCTAAACCTATTAAAGAATCCATCAGTCCCTTAAAAAACGAATGCTTGGTTTCCTCCCTCTTACTGTTTTCTGTCCACTTGCTTTAATGTGGACTGGTTGGTTTCTATGTTGATTCCACAACTCTCATCCCCTCTCAGCCACAGTTCCTCATCTGTGCAATGAGGATAACAGCGGTCTCAGGGAGGTGTTGTGAAAATTTAACGAGCTGAGACAGGAACAGCAGTGGCGTGAAGTAAGAGCTCAGTCAGTACTAGCTGTTATTATTCCTTTATCTTCTTCTTCATTATTATGTTAGGCTGTGGTCACTAAACTGTAATGCATCTTTAAGAATGAGGATATAGTAGGGCTGGAAGGGAACTACAGTATGACCTATTGTAGTCCTTCATTTTCAGAGAGGCCTGGAGGAGATAAGTGTCTTTACCAAGGTCATGGGGCTGATCGATATGGAGAGGCAGAGCTACAAATAGATCTGTGCACCTCTGACATTGGTCATAGTCATGTGTTTTTTCCATTTCCTCATGCAACCTCAGTAGCCTTAAGGGTTTTGTAAAAAACATTTTGTAAATTTCGTAGTCATTTATTCTCCTTTTTCCTGATTCCTTTCTTTTCTGAAATACATAACAGCTTTATTAAGATATAATTCAAATACCATACAAATCACTCATTTAAAGTTTACAACTAAATACTTTAAATATATTCAGAGAATTGTGCAGCCATCTCTGAAGTCTAACTTAACATTTTCATCATCTCAACAACAAACCCTTTACCTTTTCTGTATCACTCCCCTACCCCCAAGTTCTAGGCAGCTACAAATCTGTTTTCTGTCTTTTTGGATTTGGCTATTTATATTTCATATAAATGTGAACTGCTGTGTGAGGTCTTTTGTGACTGGCTTCTTAGCATAGTATTTTCAGTATTATTTACATAGTAGCATGTGTCAATTCTTTATTCCATTGTTTGTTTATTTGTTTTTTGTAGAGACAAGGTATTGCTGTGTTGTCCAGGCTGGTCACAGACTCCTGGCTGCAAGTGATCCTCCTGCCTCAGCCTCCTAGAGTGCTGGGATTACAGACGTGAGCTACCACACCTGGCTTTTCATTCCTTTTAATGGCTAAATAATGTTCCATTCTATAGATACATATTTTTTTCCCCATTCATCAGTTGAAGGACATTTGGGTTGTTCCTAGTTTTTGGCTATGGTGAGTAATACTGCTATGGATATTCATGTACAGGTTTTTGTGTGAACATATGTTTTCATTTCTCTTGGGTACATACCTGGGAATGGAATTGCTGGTTCAAATGGAAACTCTTTAAGTTTTTAGTAACTGCCAGACTGCTTCCTAAAGCAGCTGCACCATTTTACATTCACACCAGCAGTGTATGAAGGATCCAGTTTCTTCACGTCGTCACCAGCACTTGCCTGTCTTTGTACACCAATCAAAGGTGTATGAAGTCGATCTCATTGTGTTTTTCATTTGTATATCCCTGATGGCTAATGATGTTGCCCATCTCTTAATGTGTTTATTTGGTCTTTTGTACATCATCTTGTGGAAAAATGTCTGTTAAGATGGTTTGCCCATTTAAAAATAGTGTTATATGTCTTTTATTATTGAGTAACAGTTCTTTATATGTTGTGGATACAAGTCCTTTATCAGATGTGTGATTTTAAGTATGTTCTCTCATTCTGTGGGTCATCTACACGTTCTTAAAAAATTTTTTGAGACAGAGGCTTTTTAAACAAATTTTTTTGAGACAGAGTTTACCTCCCAAGCTGGAGTCCAGTGGTGAGATTTCGGCTCACTACAACCACCACCTCCTGGGTCCAAATGATCTTCCCACCCCAGCCTTCTGAGTAGTTTGGACTACAGGTACATGCCACCACACCTGGCTAATTTTTGTATTTTTTGTAGAGATGGGGTCTTGCTGTGTTGCCCAGGCTAATATCGAATGCTTGGGCTCAAGCTATCTGTCTGCCTTGGGTTCCCAAAGTACTGGGACTACAGGCGTGAGCTGCTACACCTAGCCTGCATCTTCACTTTCTTGATGGTATCATTTGCAGCACAAAACTTTTATCTATTTTTTTTCTTTTGTTTGTGGTTTTGGTTTATATTTAAATAGGCTTCACCTGACCCAGGGTTTTGAAGATTTACTTTTATATCTTCTAAGAGTTTCATAGTTTTAGGTTTTACATTTAGGTATATGGTCCATTTTTTTTGTGTATTGCATAGGAAAGGGTCCCAACTTCATTCTTTTGCATGTGGATGTGAAGTTTTCCCAGCACCATTTGTTGAAAAGGCGATTCTTTTTCTGTTAAATTTTCTTGGCACCTGTGTTGAAATCAAATATGCAGAGGTCTTGACACACTGTTACTGTCCAGTCTCTACACATGCTGTCCTTCTCTCCCACAAAGTGTAATAATGTAATAATGCAATAACGTGCCTGATAACCAAATGAGTGGATTTCAGCAGTCCCCCTTTGTCTGAAACCTTTGTGATCAGAGGGAATAAACATCTTAGAGGCATGAAGCCCTTGCTCAGATAAGGAGAAGATAGAGAACCAAAGTGCCATAATGTACCAAGTAAAAAGCATCAGATGTGCCAGAAAATAAGCAGTAGGAATTAACTTTGAGGGTTATCACAGGAACACTATGTAGAGTAAGCACAAGCAGCTCAGCTGTGGACGAGCTTTGCTGTAGATTTTGCTGCAAACCTCTGCAGGCCTGAGAGCTTGCCGTGGGTCCAGAGAGCAGCAGATGTACTTGGCTGTGACGTCACTGGATGTGTCCTGATCTACTCCTTCTCCTTCTCATACATGAGGTTATCTGAGGTCTCAGCCAAGAGACAAATCAGCACTTTACCCACGGACAGCACCAAAGCTCGCCATCTTGGCCGCTGCCCCAGAACCTTGGAAACTTCTGCAGTGAAATGGATTCTGATTATTTTTATTACCTTTGTTCTTTTTTTAGAATTGAAGTCTGGAATACATAAAGTGTGTTAATATTAAGTGCAACTTCGTGACCTTTTAATTGAGGTATTACTGTGTAACCATCACCAGATTAATATATGGAACATCATAAGTACCCTGGGAGACTCCTTGTGCTATTTCCCACTCAGTGCTCTCCTCTTAAAGAGGTCAGCACTGTTCCGGTTCTTCTATTACCATATATTTGTTTTGCCTGCTCATGAACTTCAAATAAATAAAAACTATGGTATGTACTCTTTTATGTCTGGCTTAATTTGTCCAGTATGTTTGGGAGACATGACCCTTGTGTTGTGTGTGTCAGTAGTTCATTTTTATTGGTTGTATAATATTCACTTGCATGTACATACAATAAAATATTTATTTTTCTATTCATATGCATCTGGGTAGCTTGTAGTTTGGGGCTATTTTCAATAAAGCTGCTCTATTTATTGTCTGAGTGTTTTGGTAGACATAAACACTCCTTTCTTTCATTTGTTTGGCTTTAGAAGACACTGCCAATAGGTTCTGATTTGTATCCTCTTCTGTTTTAATCTCACACTCAGCTTTATGCTTAGAGTGTGTGTTTGTGGCCTCCAGTGTGTGCAGGTTAGGGACAGGAAAGAGAAAGAGAAATTGATGAAGGTAGAATGGAGAAGGGGACAGGCTAATATGTATTAAAGAAAGGGAAGACAGTGGAGAGGAAGAGTTGGAGACAAAATAATTATTAGTTGGGTACATAAATTTTTAATATGGATTCAAATTCTAGCTCTGCCATTTACTAGCTACTTAATGTTAGAAAACTTAAGTCAACTCTAACAAGCACCTATATTATAGGGACTGTGAGCAGTATATGAAGCATTGCCTAAAAGTAACAGCTCACATTTACCAAGGGCTTTCCATTGCTAGTCATTGTGCTAATGTAATTATTTAATTTGATCTTTACAACAACCCCATGAGCTATGTTCTGTTAATTTTCCCAGTTTTCCCAGTTAGGAATTTGGAAGTCTGAGAGGGTCAGTCCCCAGGTTACACAACTGGTTAGTAGAGCGAGAACTCTGATAAGTTGACACCAGTGTATTGACTGCAGAAGACTGGGAGGCAGACAAAGAGAATGTCTTTGCTTATAGACAGGAACAGGTGGAGAACTGTTACCGACCCAGGCAGAATAGAATAGCAGCCAGTGATTCATCCAGGGCTTTCTGGGCTGCTCCAATAAGGGACAATGACTGCGTGGGGTTAGGGAGAAAGGAAAGTTGGAAATTTTCTTTTTGTAATATTTAGCCTTATCTGAAGGGCAAGGTTTTGAGTTTCTGTCCCAGCATTCAGTAGAAAACTTTGCACAGAGGTAAACCTAAGTAGTTATGATTCCTGCTCACCTTACTTTAAGTCCCCCAGCCTGATTTTTCCTAAGCCGGATCCCTGAGCCTGCGTGTTCCTTCCCTCCACCTCACTCCACCTGCTGTGTTTCCAGCTGTACTGGCCTCATGCCAGCTCTTGACTGCTGACTGCTTTGGCCTCTAAGCTGTAATACTGGCCTCCTGGGAAGCACCCAGAATTCCACAGTTATTTTCCTCTCTTTCCCCTTCAGCAATTCCCAAATTTGCTTTTCTCAGTGTTGTGCTTTCAGCTGGCTGGCTGTGCTGCAGTCACGCTGTCCCAATCCTGGAGCAAGTCAAACATTAATTACACAGGTGCATGAAGAAAGAGTGCATGCATTCTTCTCTCCCACAACCCCCAACCCCAGTTTCAACTCTCCCTCACTCCCACCTTGAGGCATTCAGTGTTACCTGGTTGAATATATATATTTTTTGTTTTAAAAATATAACTATTAGGCTGGGCATGGGGGCTCATGTCTGTAATCCCAGCACTTTGGGAGGTGGAGGAGGGTGGTTTGCTTGAGTCCAGGGTTCAAGACCAGTTTGGGCAACATAGTGAGACACCATCTCTAGAAAAAATACAAAATTAGCTGGGCGTGGTGGTGTGTGCCTGTAGTTCCAGCTTCTCAGGAGGCTGAGGTGGAAGGATCAATTGAATCCGGGAGGCAGAGGTTGCAGTGAACTGTGATCGCACTACTACACTCTGCCCTAGATGACGGAGTGAGACTGTGTCTCAAAAAAAAATTTTGTACTTATATTTATATGTGTATGAGATGGAGTCTCATCTCAATTTATTGCCCAGGGTGGACTTGAACTCCTGGGCTCAAGTGATCCTCCCACCTTGGCCTCCCAAAGTGCTGGGATTACAGGCATGAGCCACCATGCCCGGCCTGAATATCTTTTCACACTTGTAGGAACATATAAAAGTCTTAGTCTTTCTTCATTTCCTTTTCATTCTTTCTTTTTTTTTTTTTTCACTAAAATGGTAAAATCCCACTATGAACAGTCCTAGTTTTCCTTCTTCTCTACCCTCTTTCCTACCCCCCCCACCCTGCCTCTCTCCTGTCTTTCTCTGTCTTCCTTCCCTTCTCCTCTCCCTCCCTCCTTCTCTACTTGATTTGACTCTCTTACTGTCTTCCTTTCTGCCTCCCTGTCTTCTTCCCCTCCTTCCCTGCTCTCTTTCTCATTTTAGTGAGTCACTGCCTTGGTCCATTCATGGAGCCGGGGCCAGGGGATAGATAGAAAGATGCATTAAGACACACCCTTGCCCTCTAGGTCCTAGAGAAGAGATCAGGGTGCATGGGGAGATCAGAATGTGAATAGCTCATTGCTACACAGGCTTTCCCTATCATTTGGACAGTCTTTCTCTTTCACTTAATGAATGAAACTGAAGGGTTGTTGGAGGCCCAGGCTTCCAGTATTGAATTGACGTTGGATCCTGGGAATTAAAAAAAAAAAAAGTATCTCAGTGCTCAGGCAGCCTATTAAATTAAGTTCAGTCCCTGCCCTTCCTGTGTTTGTTTACTGATCATTACGCACATTTGTCAACATTATAGGCTCCTGTCTATGATAGAAATAAATGCTCAGCATCCGTGTAGAACAAATCGCTCTTTCTAAGAGGAAATGCATTTAATGAAGAATGGCTCTCCCAGATTCAGAAACAACTTGAGGGTAGTAATCAATGGCCTGAGCTATGAAGCCAGGTACAGAATGCAATGCAGATTTCGATTTCTAGGGTAAAGAATAGGAGAGATGCACTGAACGCTTACTGCGTGCCAGCACTGGGCCACGTGCTGCACATGTGTCTCTTGCCTTCTCATTCTCATGAAATAAGCAGCACTACAACCGCTTAATTGCAGGTGAGGAATGTGAGACACCAAGCGGCCAGGATCCTCATTTCATTTCAGTTGGATTAGAAATATTTATGGAGTACCTACTATGTGCCATGCTCTGTTGTAGGCCCTTGGAATACATCAGTTAAAAAACAGTCTTGGCTGGGCGCGGTGGCTCACTCCTGTAATTCCAGCACTTTGGGAGGCCGAGGTGGGCGGATCACAAAGTCAGGAGATCGAGACCATCCTGGCTAACACAGTGAAACCCTGTCTCTACTAAAAATACAAAAAATTAGCCGGGTGTGGTGGCGGGTGCCTGTAGTCCCAGCTACTCGGGAGGCTGAGGCAGGAGAATGGTGTGAACCTGGGGGGTGGAGCTTGCAGTGAGTGGAGATCACGCCACTGCACTCCAACCTGGGTGAGAGAGCAAGACTCTGTCTCAAACAACAACAACAACAACAACAACAACAACAACAACAACAACAACAACAAAAAACCAGTCTTGCCTTTGGGATCTGTACATTCTAGTGGGGATGGCAGGTAGGGTAGGATAGATGACACATTATAAACATAATCAATTAGTTGTTGTTTTTTTTTTTTTTTTGAGACGGAGTCTCGCTCTGTCACCCAGGCTGGAGTGCAGTGGCGCGATCTCGGCTCACTGCAAGCTCCGCCTCCTGGGTTCACGCCATTCTCCTGCCTCTGCCTCTCCGAGTAGCTGGGACTACAGGCGCCTGCCACCACGCCCTGCTAATTTTTTGTATTTTTAGTAGAGACAGGGTTTCGCCGTGGTCTCGATCTCCTGACCTCGTGATCCGCCCGCCTCGGCCTCCCAAAGTGCTGGGATTACAAGCGTGAGCCACCGCGCCCGGCAGTAATTATGAGGTATGTTAGAAGTTGATAGGGGCTATGGGCAAAGGAAAAAGTAGGGCAGGGTCAGAGGGTTGAAAATGTCCAGGCAGGTAGCAGGTGGTAGTATTACATGGGGTGATCAGGGTGGACTTTGTCGAGAAGTCAAGAATTCAGAAAAATATGCAAAGTATTGAAAAAAGCTAGTTTGTCTTAGAATCTAGCTACAATTGTTTAAGAACTCATTTAACAAGTCTTTGCTGAGCTGGGTCATGTAGGAATGGTTCTTGTCACCCTTGCCCTGTAATGGCCTGTGGTTTTTTGAGGGAGATTAGTTAGCTCCCAACATATAATTAGGTGCTCAAGGGAATAATGCCGACAGATTTCCATTGGCATTAAGAGCAGGAAAGACTGGATGTGGGTAAGCATTCTCCCAAAGATATATGCTGAGTGCATTTGTGATACCCCATAACTGATACAATGAGACACTAAGGCATTTTTCCAGGGTGCAGGGAGTCTGTCTAGAAGGTTATGTGGTGAATTCATGACAGGCCCTCTGTTCAGAGTCAAACAGCATTTTGAATCTGCGCTCTACCCGTCAACATTTGGTGTGTTGTGTCACGTCTTTGAGATTTGTTTTCCTCCTCTGTGAAATGGGAATATTCATACTTAGCCCAAAGGTTGATGTAAGGATTGCTGAGAGCATTTAGTTTGGGGTCTCACACATGTTGAGTATTTACTGTGCAGTGGTGATCACTGTCATCCATCCTCAGTTTGCAGGATCATTTGAGGTTTTGCCTCAAGGTAAACCTCACTGGCAAGGTGGCTGTGATAACAGTTAGTTTCTTAAAGGTAACTGGAACCTAGGCCAGAGGAGAGGCTGTGGTAGGAAAGCACTGGAGCGTCTTTCTTTCTCTACCTGAAACAGGGCCAACTTTCCAGAACAGCATATGGACCCTAAGAATTCATGGGGATTTTTCTCAGCAGGCAGACTTGTAAGCAAATGACAGGGCAGGGAGGAGCAGCTTATGGATTCCTGATAGATCAGTGGTTACAAGGAGGCACTTTTGGGACTGCCATCTGTTCCCATCCTCCTCAGACCTGACGCCTCCTCAGACTCCTGGACCCTGAGTCTCCAGTGCAGAGTGGAATTCAGAAAGCACAGTAAATGGCAGGGCTTCTTGGGGGCTAGGGTGTGGAGCTGTCTTACTGTGCTTGTTGTACAGCCCACTCATACCCCCACTCCCACCCCTTTTTTGATTCAGGGTCTCGCTCTGTTGCTAAGGCTGGAGTGCAGTGGTGAGATCATGGCTCACTGCAGCCTTGCACTTCTAGGCTCATGTAATTCTCCCACCTCAGCACCACCACCTCCTCTCGCCCCCACAGTAACTGGGACTTTAGGCGTGGGCCACTATACCTGGCTAATTTTTAATTATTTGGTAGAATCAGGGTCTCCATATGTTGCCTAGGCTAGTCTCGAACTCCTAGGTTCAAGCAGTCTTTTCACTTCGGCCGCCCACAGTGCTAGGATTACAGGCGTGAGCCACCATGCCTGGCCTCCCACTCACACCCTTTGAAGTTAGGGGAACTGGGTTGATGATGCCAGAAAAGCGTTGTGGAGCTTAACTTTTTAGGAATTGTTCTACAGTTGATTGATGTGTTCAGAAAATGCTGCTGCCAACAGCGTGCCAGGAATTGGACAAATGACGATAGCATATCTTCGTCCCTCAGGGACCCCCTGGCCCTCAGGTAGTAGCAGCCCAGGGGTTGCAAACTGGTGGCCAGTGGATGCTGGTGGTTGGAAGATGATGAGTGCCAAATGCTTACTCTGGGCCTGGTAACTTTCTAGGTATTCTGGATAGATTAACTCATTGAAACTTCACAACAACCTTGTGAGAGACATGTTCTTAATGGTCTCCAATTTCCAGATCAGGAAACTAAGCAACTCACCCCAAGGGCATGCTCATGGACCCTTGAAAAATAGAGAGATTTCCCAGACATCTAGGTCTTCAGCTTCTCTTTAAAAAGATCTGAAGCTAGGTGGATGTTGCTGAGTTCACATCCTGTCCGGGACAGCCAGCAGCAGTCCAGCTGATTGACCACAGTCTCCACCATCCACTCTTGTGTGATGCCTCCCTTCTTCCCTGTTTACACCGAGTAGCTGACTTCTTTTGCTCTTGGTAAGGGACCACAAGTTATGTTTGTTTGTTTGTTCTTTTTTCCTAGCTGATTTGATGAACATGGCAGTGCCTTAGGAAACAATCAAACTTAGAAGACAGAAGTTTAGACCTCTGGGATGAGGGGAGGTGACAGAGAATGTAAGAAAGGTTTAGTAGGCAGTACCCACAGTGGAATTCATATGTCAGCCCTATGTATATATATAAATGAGATGCTGCATCTCTTTAGTTCTTTTGTTCCAAAGTTCAGGTTATACAGGTTAGTCTGTCATTGCCTGGTCTTTCTGTGCTGGTGGGAGCAGGTAGCGGTTGGGTGGGAGGGATTATGAATAGTCGTTCAAGGCCTACTGAGATCTTAGATCAACCTGCTTTTCTGAATCCCAGCCTAGGATTTTCTTTTCCTTTTTCTTTTAGTGTTTCCTTTTTCTGTTACTGCTTTTTTTCCCCTCTTAAATGCACATTGCATTAAAAAAAAAAAAAAAGAAGTAGGCACTCAGGAGGTTGAGGTGGGAGGACCGCTTGAGCCCAGGAGGTTGAGGATGCAGTGAGCCATGATCACACCACTGTACTCCAACTGGAGCAACAAAACAAGACTCTGTCTGTTAAAAAAAAAAGAAAAAAATTGAAAACAGCAAATACCAACAATTCCCCCAGCCACAGTTATTCTTTATACGTAGTATATATTTTATATAATTTACATGTTTTATATTTATATATTTAATGTATTTATATATTGCATGTTTACTTAATAATTGTAAATTATATGTTTACATTACAAAAATTGAATCAAAACAGTGCATAATGTTTTGAAACCTATTTTTCTCTCAGTCATATGTTATGAACATCATTCCATGTCAGCTGCTGCCATTGTGGTTTTAAAAGCTTGCAAAGTATGGCCTGGCATGGTGGCTCATGCCTGTAATCCCAGCACTTTGGGAGGCTGAGGTGGGTGGATCACCTGAGGTCAGGAGTTCGAGACCAGCCTGGCCAACATGGTGAAACCGTGTCTCTACTAAAAATACAGAATTAGCTGGGTGTAGTGGCGAATGCCGGTGATCCCAGGTACTCTGGAGGCTGAGGCAGGAGAATCGTTTGAACCTGGGAGGTGGAGGTTGCAGTGAGCCGAGATTGCGCCATTGCACTCCAGCCTGGGCAACAAGAGTGAAACTCCATCGCAAACAAAACAAAACAAAACAAAAAAACACTTGCAAAGTGCTTATTTTTTATTTTTATTTTTTGAGACAGGATCTCACTCTGTCACCCAGGCCTGGATTGCAGTGGTGTGATCTTGGCTCAGTGCAACCTCTGCCTCCAGGCTCAAGTGATCCTCCCATCTCAGTCTCCCAAGTAGCTGGGAGTACAGGTGTGTGCCACCACGCCTGGCTAATTTTTGTATTGTTTGTAGAGATGATGTCTCACCATGTTGCCTAGGCAGGTCTTGATCTCTTCAGCTCAAGCGATTGCCTCGTCCTCCCTAAGTGCTGGGATTACAGGTGTGAGCCACTGCACGTGGTCAGTGCTTTTTTTTTGAAGTTTAACAGGTGCCGTTTAGGATTTTTCTGATTTTTTATATTGGCTCACATCCTAGACTATTTATTTGGTAAAAATCTAGGAGAAAATTATACCATCAAAGGGCAGAGAATGTGAGTTTATGCTGACTTGGTTTCCTTCTGGTTTTTTAGTAAACATTATCGTATGTTATATAGACCCTCTCTGTAGGTGTGTCTATGTAGTTGTGTGTATGGCATAGTTACAGATGTACATATCTACAATATTGAAGAGGAGTGCTGCTTAGTGTCTATCCGAGTGTTATATCAACCCTCTCTGTATGTACGTAGGTGTGTGGATGGCATAATTACAGGTGTGTATATCTACAGTATTGAAGAGGAGTGCTGCTTAGTGTCTTATCATTTTGATAATGATGACCATTTGCATATCTTTCTTTATCCCTGCCAGCCTTTAAAAATATTGATTTTCCCAATATTTGTAGCCTCAGTAGAATCTTCATTTTGTGACTGTAGTTTAGATTTGGACAGTGGCAGGTTGAGTAGGCAGGACTTCCATATTAGTCTAATATTTCTGTCGAATGGCCATGAAGAGCCACCTGGTGTTCCTCCCACAGCCTGGAGGCAGGTGGCAGAGTTACGGAGGCAGAGTCTTGTTCCCCACTCCATTCTTCACCTTCTCCTCTCTGTAGTAACCTGGTTCAATCTGGGAAACCAGAATGAAAAGTACTGTTTTTCCTGATTCTGCTATGCAGCTGTGCAGGGCTGGATGTGGCCAGTGTAGCTGTGTGGCACGTGACATGGAGTCTGCCGTCTCGCTGACGGGTGGCCTTGACAGTCCAGGCTTCCCCATCACAGCTGCCATTTTTGTAGTTGGTGAGCAAAGCAAGAAAGCAGGCCACTTCCTCCACATGTTTAGGAAAGCTATTTCATCCATCACTTAGTAGGAAATTAACCCTGGCCTGTACCAGGGAGAAAGAAGAGCCTGAATGAGGTCATGATCACTCCACATAGATCCTTTCAACCTTGGCTAGAAAAATCCAGTGTTGAGCTTTTGGTGAAGAATCTTCCAAAATTTAGGTTATACAGGTTATTTATTTATACGTTTCTCTATGTCTGTGTGTGTCTGTGTATGTATTTAGGTTGACAGATGGGTATAACCTTTTTACAAAATAGGATCATGCTATACATGCTATTATATAACCTTATTTTTTTTGGTTTACGTTTTTTTCATTTTGTTTCATATTCTGTTGAATGTTTATTCATTCACTCACCCTATTTACAAATAAAAAAGAGAAATATTCTTTCCACTCTCATTTATTTAGTAGTAGTTAGAGAGCAAGACAATAATCAATTAATTATACCAAATCAATGTGAAGGAGCTCTGAGGGAAAGTTACTCTGGGAGTGCCTAACAGAGGGGACCAGTTTCTAAGGAAATGACACTTCAGCTAGAATCTGAAGACTAGCATGTGGAGGTAGAATTGGGGTAGGAAAAGAGGGGACTATGTCGATTTTTATAGATGTATAATATTTAATTTATGGATATGCCATAATTTATGTATCAAGTCATTTTGGGTTGCGTTTAGATTATTGCTGATTTTTCATCTATTTTATCCATTTTGATGGATGGATTAGAGGCTTTGAACTCTTAGTCTAGCAGTAGAGTGGATCTGTCTGAATTTGCCAACGTTCTCATTTGTCTTTCTTATGTCCAGTGACCCACATTTGTATATCTCAACCAGGGCTGTCAACAAAGGTAATTGACCTGCAAAGAACTTACATCAAGGAAGTGGTCTCACTTTTATGATATTTGAGGCCAAGTAGTCATTTCTGGGCATACTACTTAATGATACGTGGAATGTGCCCTTATTTCTTTATGATTTTAAATTTACCCTATACAACATACCAAGTTCCTACTCATTCCAGCTAGTGTGTTAAGGATTAAGAATATGAAATTGAAAGGCTCTTAGCCTCTCTCTCCAGAAGTCCTCAGTAGTGTGAAAACACAGAGAGACACTTGGCTATATATCATAAGTAATAGTCTTGTAGTAAAGGAGTGAGCATAGTCTGTTCTGTCTATTCTGGTAGCCAGAAGACATGGTAACCAGTATCACATGAGCTCCTCAGAGGAGATGGTATTTGAACTGTTCCTTGAAGATTGATCCGAATTTTGTCAACTATTAAGGAATTTGGTCCTTTCTGATAGAAGGAACTCTGAGAGCAAAGATTTTGAGGATTGGGAAGGTTTATTAATGCCTGGTACTTATGGAAAGTACTAGGTACATTACTGGCTTCATGGTGAGAAAGGGGCTTGGAGAGTAGCTGGGCCTGGATTAGGGGAGACCTTGAATGCCATGCTAGGGAGGTCAGGTTTCATTCTGTAGATAGTGGGAACATACCAAATGTTTAAGAATGGAGAAAGGTAATGTTAGCTGCCATAACAGAGAAACTCCAGAACCTCTGTGACTTAATCTGTGAGAAATCTATACTTTCTTCACAAAATTTCCAAAAGAGGTGTTTCTAATTAGCAGGTGACTCTCTTCTAAGTGGTGATTCAGGGCTCTAGGCTCTGCATTTTGTGGCTCTGCCATCTGCAGCATGTGGTTTCCATGCCACTATGCACACTTGTGATGAGCTGGTGGAAGAGGAGAGAACATGGACTGTCATGAAGTTTTTTATAAGCCAAGCCTGAAATGGTCTCATGTCACTTGAGTTCACATTTCTGTTAGCTATAGAACCCAGTTACATGGTCCCACCACGTTACATGTGAGGCTGTGGAATAGAAACTAGGTGTGTGATGCAGGGTGAAGAGGAACAGAGTGGTAGATCCTGCTGTGCTGCTGTTTATGGCAAATTAATTGTGATGATGCTGGTGTTGAGAATGATCTAGAGGAGAGAAACACAGAGACAGAAAGGGAAGAGGGCTCATGGGGAAGGCATGAGTAATTAGATTAATGAAGTCTAACATTTATTGAGTATGAACTCTGTGGCAGGTGCTGTTAAATACTTAATACACATCAACCATATGAGAATAGGTACTGCTCTTTCCCCATTTTATAGAAGAAAAAACTGAGCTTATGGGGTAGCTTGCTGAGAGAAGAACCAGGATTTTCAGACCCTGGCTAGTCTTAGTCCAGCGCGTGAGCTCTTAACCTCTAATGAATGCCTCTTGCTAGGCAATGTTACCTTTCTGGGTATTCATAAAGAAGAGAAGGTAAACAAAAGAACCATGTCTTACATGAGGTGGACAGAGCCTCATTAGACATAGTGCAAAGAGAAGAATTGAAGATAAATAAGATGTCAGTTCTGGGAGCCTGGTGGTGCCAATTAGAGAGACAGGGCATGGTCTTTGTGACTTTTTGTGCAAGAGGTCTTACCGGTTGTTCCAGATCTGCCATCTTATGATGCGTGACGTGATTTAGCACTGTGGACTGCACATGCCTGCTAATATCTCAACAAGTTGCTTTATAAGGGTTTTTGTTGGCTGCTCTGTGTTGGTTTTTCAAGAAAAGTTAGATCCACATTTTAGACGGGACAATGAAGGCCCAGTCCCTGTGATTCAGCCATTGAGTCACTCTGCTCTTCATTGTACGAGTGTCTTTTTTTTCACGGCGCCCCTTCCCTCTGCAAGCTCCCACTCACCATTATGACTGAGGTCAAGTGGCTCCTCACTCTGAAACTTTTCATTGCCTCCTTGGACAGAGATGGATTTCCCTCTTCTCTGTTCATGCTGCACTGTTACCCATCTTTATTTATAATAATCTCTTCTGGAGTCTATTTTCCCTATTACAGTACTAACATACCCAGTTTCAGTGGTTTATATACAAGAGGTGTTAGTAAGAGGGGTAATACTTTTTCTGCAGATAAGGGGTTTAGTTCTTTTCTCCCCATGACTATATAAAACAGGGATTGCAAACTCCAAGTCTTTAGAGTCAAGAGGGTAACTCAAGAGTGACACTGGCCTGGCTGAGAGGGTCAGAAACTTTGGGTGGGGTGGTGACTGGACCAGAGAGTACTCACCTGGTATAAGAAATTCAAAACTTAATTAAAAATCAAACAAACATTTTGTTGGCACGTCAAATATTTGCAACAGCCTTCTTCAGCCTCCACGTTTCCACTTTGTGACTTCTGTTAAGGAATACGGCTCCTTGCCTCCCTGCAGCTGGAAAACTAGAGCGAGGGGGGCTTGCTTTCTGTCACTCATCCTTTTGAGTGTGTCCCTGGCCCCATGATCAAAGGCCGCGTTGTGGCTGTGCTTTGGCTGTCCCTCTCACATCCATGGAGATGCTGCTGAAAATAAGAACCTTCCTTAAAGAACAACCTATGCCCTTCTTATTTGAATTCTCTGTTACCCTAGAAGTAATGGGTAAAATAATGATTATTGTTTGTTACTTTGAAATGGTATTTGAATTTGAATTTGAATTCGAATTCTCTATGTTACCCTAGAAGTAATGGGTAAAATAATGATTATTGTTTGTTACTTTGAAATGGCTTGACAAATGTATTTGTCGTGTTGGACCTGGCTGAAATCTCTGAAGGACAATCTGCCTTCTCAGAGAAGCTGGGGAAATGGAAGAGGGAATATTCCTCACCGTGAACCTACCGCACGCATCCTGCCTTTCTCCCCCATGGAATCTGTTCAGCAGCACTGGCTGCCACGGGGAGGACAGACTCTTGACACCATCCTAGGGGACCTTTCTCTGGCACCTGGCTGAGCATGCCATTACCATGGCAGATCCCCATGGCTCCTGTTAGAGATCCCTGCAGCACACTCCGAGGACCTGTTCCTCTTTTTAATCGGTGCGGAGGGAGGGGAACGCGCGGGCTGCCCGGATCGGTGGCTTCTGACATGCCCCTGATCAACTCTGCCTCCGTGTCTCTATCTGTAAAGATGGCTCTGTCAATACCCTTGTCTGCAGTTCTGATATAAGGATTAAATACAATCACATATTTGTCAAAAGACAAAATTACAGTAAACTTAGTTATAGATCTAATTGGCTTTTATTTGCGATTCATAAATCTGAGCAGCCTCCTTCGAAATAGAATAAGGGCTCCCTCTGGGCAGTAGTAGAACAGTGAGTTTTGTTAGGTGGGAATGGGGAAATAGAAGAATAGAAAAAATACCTGATTAGGCTGGATGCGGTGGCTGACACCTGTAATCCCAACACTTTGGGAGGCCTAGGCAGGTGGATCACCTGAGGTGGGGAGTTCGACACCAGTCTGACCAACATGAAGAAACCCTGTCTCTACTAAAAAATACAAAATTAGCCAGGCATGGTGGTGCGTGCCTGTAATCCCAGCTACTCGGGAGGCTGAGGCAGGAGAATCGCTTGAACCCCGGAGGCAGAGGTTGCAGTGAGCCGAGATCGCGCCATTGCCCTGGGCAACAATAGCAAAATTGTGTCTCAAAAAAAAAAAAACAAAAACAAAAACAAACAAAAAAACACCTGATTGGTTAGCATAGGTTACTTTTTGGTAAGGGTTAAAGCAGAGGGGACCTACTTATTTTGCTGACTCAGGTAGACTGGAATCTCCTGTTTTCAAGAAAACCTGGTCTGTTTGGGGGATCTATCTGCTTCCTTAAAGTTTTTTTTTTTTGTTTTTTTGAGATGGAGTCTTGCTCTGTCACCCAGGCTGGCGTGCAGTGGCATGATCTCAGCTCACTGCAACCTCTGCCTCCCAGGTTCGAGTGATTCTCCTGCCTCAGCCTCCTGAGTAGTGCCACCTCACCTGGCTAATTTTTGTATTTTTTGTATTTTTAATAGAGGCGGGGTTTCACTGCATTGGCCAGGCTGGTCTCAAACTCCTGGCCTCAGGTGATCCACCCACCTCAGCTTCCTAAAGCGCTGGGATTACAGGCATGAGCCACCATGCCCAGCCCTGCTTCCTTAAAGTTTTAAGTTGCTTATGTGGCATTTAGCATGAGTGACTCCATGCTAAATGGAGTTTCAGTTTTTTCTGATTTGTAGGGGTCTAATGCAGGTGCTTAGCTAAAACAATGGCCTCCCATAAAGTTTAGCTCTTTTTTTTTTGTAGACGGAGTCTCACTTTGTCACCCAGGTACCTCCTGGGTTCAAGTGATTCTTCCACCTCAGCCACCTGAGTAGCTGGGATTACAGGCATGCGCCACCATGCCCAGCTAGTTTTTGTATTTTTAGTAGAGACAGGATTTCACCATGTTGGCCAAGCGGGTCTCGAACTCCTGACCGCAAGTGATCTGCACACCTCAGCCTCCCACAGTGCTGGGATTACAAGCGTAAGCCACCATGCCTAGCCAGTTTTAGCATTTTTAAAGCACATAGCACAATATCTGGCACACAGCAGGCCAACGTGTACATGATTCCTTCTTCTCATCCCTCCCTTTCTTGCTCTTTAAGTTTGACAGCTCCAATTATACTTATGGTGGATACAGAGAAACGTGGTGTTAGCTCATTCAGAAAGGAAGAGGAATTAACTGAAATAATAATACAAGCCAATCAGAAAATAGGATTTGATTTATTACTATTTTAATTTATATGCAGTTGGAGCAGATATATTTGCATAAAATGTTTCTTGAAAATTGCACTGTGGTTTCACCCCATGTCATCACAGATGAGTTTTTTGCAGAGATAATTAGACCAGGTCATTGGTGGTTTTAAAAAGCAAAGATTTCTGGTCACAAGGCTATCTTCCTCCTCCTTTCCTCTTCTCCAAAGATAGATATTCATAATTAGATCCTGTGATGAGATAAAGAGTACAACAGATTTAAAAGGAAAAGAATCTTCATTTCCTTCTGGGAAGAAGCAATTATTTAGTTATTCTTTATTTGAACTTTGAAAATCTTGGTTCTTATCTTTTACCAATTTATTAATAGCATTACCCAGCCAATCAGAGTCACAGATCTATAAGATGAAAAAATTAGTTGAATGCAGCAGAGACCCATTGATGTGTTGTCTCCACAACTGGCTTGTGTCATAGATGGTAGGCTGAGCTCCTTTTCCTAATCATTATGTTTATAAATCACAACATCACTTCGTATTATGTCAACATGGAGCAGTGAGTTCTTTGTCAACTTACCATATTATGTCAACATGGAGCAGAAGTCTTCTGGAAAGTTCTGCTGGTCATGAGTTTTGTTTGATGCTAAGGATGGCATTTATGCTTAGGCCATTATTAAAATATTATATTTGTTAACATCATTTTAGAATTAATATTATTTTTGTTTGTTTGTTTGTTTTTGAGACAATGTGTCTCTCTGTCACCCAGGCTGGAGTGCAGTGGCACAATGTTGGCTCACTGCAGCCTCAACCTCCTGGGCTCAAGCAATCCTCCCACCTCAGCCTCTGGAATAGCTGGGACTATAGGCACAAGCACCATACCAGGCTAGAATGAATACTATTTAAAACACTAGGTTTTCATGAATCCCTGCCTAATCACCTAAATGTTGTGTGATTAGACCCATTTGTTCCCCCCCTTCTTGCCTTCCTACCTCTTTTTAAATGTCTAAGGGATGTTTTCACTGTGTCCCCACGAAACGAATGTCACACAGGTAAAGCAGGCCCTTCTGTGTCTGTCCCATCTATGTGGGTGGCAGACTACAGCACCACCTGACTAGCTTCCTAGTACATAGCAGTTTTAAAAATTTCACCAAAGACAGCATCTAAAGTTTATAAACCTTTATAAGGTCTTCCAAGGGGCAATATACTTGGAAGAGCTAAAAATCACAGCTTTGCTGACCAGCTTTCTACGATATGGTATGGCAAATATCTCTACCAAGGCAGCCTGAGCGATTAGCTCTGGACCCTGAACCGTGTGACCCAGCAGGACCCTCTGCTCTTGTTTTCTTCTGTGTGATTTGGGGCTGATGATAGCTGCCCTGGCTGGAGTAATGCAAAGATTAGCAGTTGTAAATTAGAGAATAGCTAAGAAAGTCTTCTGATTTGCAAACAATCATAGGGTGATAATGAACAAAAGTTTATCAATTTTTAACTTCTTCAAATGTGAAGAATAGGACATCTCTGCAGCATTACTTGGTAGCATTTCTGTGTTTTGATGGTTCATAAAATCTGAACCAGTACTAGATTTTTGTGCTGTACTCTCTCATGTTTCTTTTCTCCAGGAAACTACTTGCCAGTCCTTGTAAAGATTAGCTCTGTTTCCTGTTCTAAATGCTTCTGACCATGACTCTGGCAACTGACCTTAAGAACAAAGGCCAACTGCTATTGAGAAAGAAGGGCTGCCTTTCTGCCAGGTGTAGCCTGTGCGTGTGCAGTGGCCATGAGCCCCAATAAGCCCCATTACCTCTGTTGGAGCTGGCCAACTCCTGTCAAGTAAACAGGGCCGTCAGGGTGTATTGGTTTTCATGTGATTCCTGTGTTTCTGGTAGGTTAGTTGACAGTTTCTAATATGTCACTGGATTAAGAGAAAAGGAAGTCTGGATCCATGGGCGATTTGAGTTCCCCTTCCGTTAGGCGTCTCATGAACTTGAGCATGCCCAGAAACTCCCATGGAGAGGCAAGGTCCTGTTAGTTTGTGCGGCTGGCTGGAGCCAAGAGACCGTTGTAGTTTTGCAGAGAGGGTTAAGACCATCAGCTCCCAACTTCAGTGTCCCAGGCATCAGTATGGAGGGGACACACTGACCTCTTGAAAAAGTGCCATTGACATTGAGGTGTAGCACGTGATGATGTCCTTACTTGTTCATCTGAGATATGTCAGAATGGAGGGGAGGAAAGCCTGGCGTGTTGTCTTAGAATCATTGTTTTCTATAGTCATGCAGCATCTGTGTCACCCGATGACCTTCTCCAGGCAGGGCTGTGAGGAAAGAACACAGCATTGGGCAGCATTGCAGTTTGGGTCAAATTGGATCAGATACCTGAGTTCATCGAGTCTTGCTCTGGTCACACTTTATTGAGTAGGACATTGAGTGTCACCATCTGCCATTCATTTTTAACTTCTGCCATCTGGGAGGGTATGTTACAGGGTTGTGGGAGGCAGGAATGGATAAGCTGTGCATTTGATTGGTATAGAGAAAGTTATGAGTATACAGGGAGGTAAAACCTGCATTCTACTCTTCTGGAGTCTTCTATTCCCTTTTGCTTTTTCTTCTCCCCAACCCGAGGGCGATGCCTGGACACCCTACCTAGACCTTTACTATCCACTATGGTAGCCATTAGCCATATGTGACTATTTAAATCGAAATATAAGTTAGTTAAAATTAAACATAATAAAATACTCCTCCCACCCAGTCCCTCAGTTGCCATAGTCATATTTCAAATGCTCAGTAGACACATGTAGCAATCATATAGGGCAAAGCAGATCTAAAATACATCCATCATCAAGAAAATTCTGCTGGTCAGTGCTGGACACAGTAAGCTCTGGAAGAGTCCTGTGTTGGTCTAACACCATGTCCTCAGGCCAGAGCCAGGGGTGCCTGGCATGCGAGAAGCTTCCAGTGACTAGCTGTTGCGTAAGTGAGGGAAAGAATGAGTGAGTGGATACACATGAATGAAGGGCTTCATTTCACATTTGCTTGAATTGGCATGGTGCTTTTCCCCACCAGAGCCAATGTATCTATGGGGGTTAATGGGCTATCCGGTGTTGGTTCTTACAAATCTACATGTGCTATCTCCTACTTTCTGATTTTATTTAATTATGTTTTCTTTTCTTTTCCTTTCTTTTCTCTTTTTTTCCTTTCTCTCTCTCTGTTTCTCCCTTCCCCTCCCCTCTCTCCTCCCCATCTCCCGTCTCCTCCAAGGTCTTACTCTGTTGCCCAGGCAGGGATGCAGTGGTCTCATCATTGCTCACTGCAGCCTATAACTCTGGGGCTTAAGTGATCCCCCCTGCCTCAGTCTCTGAGTAGTTAGGATTACTGGTGCAAGCCACTATGCTGGGCCATTTTATTTTATTTTATTTTTAAAGTTACTTTATTTTATTTGTAGAGATGGGGGTCTTAGCTTGCCCAGGCTGGTCTCAGACTCCTGGCCTCAATCAATTCTCCTGCCTTGTCTCCCAAAGTGTTGGGATTACAGGTGTGAGCCATCGCACCAAGCCCTTTCCTCCCATTTCTTTGGTACTGTTTATCTCTTTCTGCGGATCTCAAAGCAAACATTTCACAGGCCTTTTTTTCTCTTGTGGACTCACAAGGCTTCCTGCTTATAATGGCATCTTTTAATGAGCACATCCTGTCTGCTGGTTAGGGTGCTAAGTGCTTCAGGCTGTAAACTCACCCCCGCCCCCCACGGATTTGGGCAGGTTTTTATCAGCCCAGAGTTTAAATAATAATTTTTATGCTTCAGGTGTGGCACACCCTCTGCAGCTGCAGCCAGCACCATCCATCCCCTCTTGCATAATACCCAGCAGATGTTGTACGTAGTTATTTATATTACCTTCCTTGTCCCTGTAGACGTTTGACTTTGCAGCCCTTGATTAGGGGATGCTGTTTACGTTTCCAAGGTGTCATACTTCTCCCTTTGGTTGTGGACTTCTGTGGACTTCTCCCTTTGGTTGTGGTTGTAGGTATTCCCCTTTCAGTAGTGTGACCATCTGTCATGGCTTTGCACCCTGGGAGGTTTGCAGGAACTGCGAGTCATGGTGCTACCAGATGAGCCAGGCCACAGCAGCTCATTTAGGTGACAGAGACTAGCTGTGTTTTTAGGTTTGTGCCTCATTTGCAGAACCCTCTCGTGGGACATTTTATTCAAATTCTTCCAAACAAAACTTCCTTGAGTAGTATTTGTAAGAACAGCATTGAGCTTTTCCATGAACATATTGCAAAGTTATCCATTTTTCAGAAAAGGTGGCTGTTTATTTTAATCACATGGAAATGGTGGTTGTGAAGACGCTGGCATGGGAATTTCTGAGCTTTTGAGGAGAACTCAGGATTTTCATGGAGAGATGGAGGCACATTATTGCCTCATGCACCTATTCTTTCAAAGTTGTATGTACAAAGCACTGTCACATTTACTGGGACAGCAAAATCCTTGAGTGAAAAGGAGAAAGTGTATTGCATGTACTCATGTCTCCTTGTTTCTTTCTGCTACTTCTTTGTTGTGTTTTGTCTTAAATTTGAAACAGGGTCTCACTTTGTTGCCCAGACTCTTCTGAAACGCCTGGCCTCAAGGGATCCTCCCATCTCAGCCTCCTGAGTAGCCGATGCTTTTTTTTTTTTTTTTAAACCTTTAAATAAAAGATTAGAATTTTTACACAGCTAACCTGTTTTTGTCAGGGCAACTTTTTTTTTTGAGACAGAGTCTCGCTCTGTTGCCCAGGCTGGAGTGCAATGGCATGATCTTGGCTCACTGCAACCTCCACCTCCCTGGTTCAAGTGATTCTCCTGCTTCAGCCTGCTGAGTAGCTGGGGCTACAGGTGTGCACCACAACACCCGGCTAATTTTTTTTGTATTTTTAGTGGGGATGAAGTTTCACCATGTTGGCCAGGCTAGTCTCCAACTCCCAACCTCAGGTGATCCACCAGCCTTGGCCTCCCAAAGTGCTGGGATTATAGATGTGAGCCACCACACCTGGCCTGTCGGGGCACTTCTTGATTGAGATAACCACTTTCTCCCTGGAAGGCTTCCATATTGAGTATCAGCAGCAAAATGCATCAAACAGAGAGAAGCATTTTGAAATCATTTAATAAAATATGGTCTTGTGAGGATAGAGACTGCTTTTGTTTCCTTGCATTCAGCTGCCCTTTTTTGGATACGTCTCAGGTTTTACTTACTGATCCAGAAATTCATTGCTTGTCTCCCTAATATTAAGTTAATGGGGAGGTTAGTGTGGGCAGAACTGAGAAATGAATACGTTTTGATACATTCCAACTTCCCAGCAGCTGGTAAAAGCATGGTATGCATTTTAGACTTTTGATATTGAAACATTTGAGGGATGGAACTCGTGTTAAAAATTTCGTCAGCACAAAGTATGCATAGGTGAATGAATTAAGATCTTATCTTTGCCCTACTAGGAATTTACCTATCAATGCATTAAACATGTACTTATAGAACTATTTATATCACACAAGCAAGGTGATGTTTATGGTTTCAGTTGAGCTGTTTACCACATCATGTTGGGTTGGGCTATCATTAATCTGAAGACTTATTTTTAAATCTTGAGTTATGAATTAACAAAGATGCTGCTGATGTGTCCCAGAGTAGAAACCACAATTAATTTTTTTTTTTTTCTTGAGACGGAGTCTCGCTCTGTCGCCCTGGCTGGAGTGCAGTGGCACAAATCTCGGCTCAATGCACTTGGTTCCCGGAGGGAACCTCCACCTCCTGGGTTCAAGCGATTTCCCTGCCTCAGCCTCCCGAGTAGTTGGGACTACAGGCACGTGCCACCATGCCCGGCTAATTTTTTTTTTTTTTTTTTTTGTATTTTTAGTAGATACGGGGTTTCACCGTGTTAGCCAGGATGGTCTCGATCTCCTGACCTCATGATCTGCCCACCTCGGCTTCCGAAAGTGCTGGGATTACAGGTGTGAGCCATGGCGCCCAGCCAAAACCACAAATATTTTCTGATACTTTGCCGATTGCTTAAAATTTGTTGTTGGCCAGGTGCAGTGGCTCACGCCTGTAATCCAAGTACTTTGGGAGGCCTAGGCGGGCAGATCACCTGAGGTCGGGAGTTCGAGACCAGCCTGACCAATGTGGAGAAACCCTGTCTCTACTAAAAATACAAAATTAGCCAGGCGTGGTGGTGCATGGCTGCAATCCCAGCTACTTGGGAGGTTGAGGCAGGACAATCACTTGAACCCGGGAGGCAGAGGTTGCGGTGAGCTGAGATCATGCAGTTGTGCTCCAGCCTGGGCAATAAGAGTGAAACTCTGTCTCAAAAAAAAAAAAAAAAAATTGGTGTCAAGTGTGTCTTCAAACATTTTTATGGTAATGGAGGTGTGTGTATATACGCACGTCTGTCTAGTGTTTACCTACTGGGTAGAGTTTTACATGTTGTTCCACCATCTGAAACACAACGTGAGAGCAATAGTAACAAGCAAGATATGTTTGCTCACTACCCTCCTCTTCCTTTCTGGGGAGGCTCAAAACTGATGCTGGCCAGGTGCAGAGAGCCCATCCTAGACAGCAATGCTACTTCCATCGCCAGCTACCTTGTTACCTTGTGGAAGACACCAGCAGGATAACCTTGGCAAGGATTTCTTCCTTATGATAGGGCCACCAAGGAGGACAGATATAGGTAGTGATGATGCATGAACTTGCTTGGTATTTAGGCTGTTTACAGCCCTACCAGATATCTTCCTGGTTTGACAAGTTTGCCTTGGGCCCACAATTCCTTGAGCCTTCCCACTTCCAGCTCAATGTATTCGCTTTTATTCCTACTTAAAAACCTTCCCCATATGATTCAACTTTTGGCCTTTATCCACATTCCTCTCAAATTCTTCCCCCGTTCTTGCCTCTTTCGCAGATCAAAACTATGCAATATCTTCCTCCTTATGATGCATATGTTCTAAAACTTCTTTGATTAAACTTTTTTATATTACTGAACATAAACATTCGACTTCTGCCTGTATATTTTTGAAAATATTTCCAAACATATGTGGCCATCTTGTATGTGTATGTACATGTTAGCCTAACACATTTTTTTTTTGAGACAGAGACTTGCTCTGTTGCCCAGGCTGGAGTGCAGTGGCACCATCTCGGCTCACTGCAGCCTCTACCTCCTGGGTTCAAGCGATTCTCCTACCTCAGCCTCCTGAGTAGCTGGGATGACAGGTGTATGCCACCACGCCTGGCTAATTTTTGTATTTTTAGTAGAGATGAGGTTTTGCCATTTTAGCTGGGCTGGTCTGAAACTCCTGACCTCAAGTGATCCGCCCACCTCGGCCTCCCAAAGTGCTAGGATTAGAGGCGTGAGCCACCGCGCCTGGCAACCTAACAGATTTTTTTTTATTTAGTTTGCAAGCTTACACTCCATCACCAGTGCCCATCAAAATCCAAATAAGGCAACAATGTAATACTCATAAGTCATTGTGTGGGAGAAAATAAGGTAATCAAGAGATCTGCAAGATAATAGTCACTTTTGTACAGTTCTTGTTAATATGCAGAGCACTTTTATGTATATGATCTTCTTTGATAGCGTCAACAATCCTGATGTGGATATTAGTTTTATCCCTGGCTGAGAGATTTAATTACTCATTTAGTCAAACTCCAGGCATAGTTCTAGGTACCAGGCATACAGCAGTGAACAAAGCTAAGTCCCTGCCTTCTAATGAGGCATTTTTTTTTTCTCCAGATGAAGTCTCGCTCTTGTCCCCCAGCTGAAGTGCAGTGGCGTGATCTCGGCTCACTGCAACTTCTGCCTCCCCGGTTGAAGCAATTCTCCTGCTTCAGCCTCCTGAGTAGCTAGGATTACAGGCACCTGCCACCCTGCCTGGCTAATTTTTGTATTTTAAGTAGAGACAGGGTTTCACCATGTTGGCCAGGCTGGTCTCGAACTCCTGACCTCAGGTGATCCGCCCGCCTCGGCCTCCCAAAGTGCTGGAATTACAGGTGTGAGCCACCACGCCGTGCTTGAGGCATATTTTTAAAATAAAGGTAGCCTGACTGGGGCCTAGAGCAAGGTTAATGACTGTTCTCAGCCGTGGAGAAAGTAAGGGAGGGAGTGAACGTTGCATCCTGGTTGTTTCTGTGTCGGTGGCTTTTCTTCTAAAGCACTGCTTATTGGTCTTTTTCTCCAGTGTGCCCCTGTAAAAACAGAGGACAAAAAGCCCAACATTACTTTGACAGCTTGAGTTCTATTCTAAAAGTTCATCCAGAGTTTATATCGTATTCTATTATATATCTTTGTTTTAATGGAAAACTCTTTTAGATGATGTAATGTTCCTCCCTTGTATCTTTACATTCCAGGAAGAGGTGTCTTGCTTATCTTGACACTTCAAGGATATCTTTGCATTAGGATGACTAGCCATCCTGGTTTACCCTGGATTGAGAGTGTTCCTGGGATGCAAGACTTTCAGTTTTAAAACCCAGAAAGCGCCGGGCAAACTGGGATTAAGTTTGCATATGGTTTCCAGGTTTTTCCATACTAAAAGTGGTCAAGACTTAGGCAAATTGTGACAGTTGGTCATTCTAGTTTGTATACTGCAAAAGAAGGGGACTGCATTTACCATAATTTACAGCATGACACAAACACATGGGTTCAAACTCTTAGTATGTTCTGTAACATACATTTAAATTAGCACTATTTTTTTATATATATAAAGAAATAGGGTATTCAAACAAGTTTGGCTGGTAATGTTTTATTTCACTTCTAATATCAGTGATTTAGAAAAAAATATAGGGTATGACCCTAGATCATAATAGTATATAAATGATATAGTACATAATTGATAAATTAATTTCAGATACATATTCTTGCTTTGAACCAAATTAGTAAAGTGACTAATTTATCTGCATTTCAGAGAAATTGTGCAGTTTAAAGTTGAATCTAGAGAGGGAGAGCTGGTTTCTTTGGGGTTAAATTTCTGTAGATTCCCAAACACTGACATCAAATCTTTAGTGGAACCTGGAAAAAGGAAGGAGAAAGTATTTTAGCTCAGTTAATGTTCTTCCTTCGTTAGATGTGATGAAAAATACACAGTCTAACCATTGTGTAGAAGAAATACTTGTTTCTTAACAGCAGCAACAAAATGTCATTTATTAAGCACTTACAGACATCTTACCAGGCTTTATTCTTTATTTCATTTAGTTGTTACAACCAGCTTATGAAGTAGTTTATCAGTCAGTATTAGACATCTAACAATAACAGACCAGCAACCCTCAAATCCCAGTGAGATATATATATGTGTATATATGTATATTTGATGATATATATGTATATTTGATGATATATATATATGTATATTTGATGATATATATATATATATATGAAAGTTTACTTTTAGCTTAGGATACTTGTGCAGCAAATAGGTCAATGGTAGGGAGATGGACTGTGCTCATCACTGTCATTCAGACTGACAAAGAGGCTACCCAACATTGCTGGTGTTTGTGCAGAAGGGAAAAGAATGGTCTGGGTCAGGTGCAGTGACTCATGCTTGTAATCCTAGCACTTTGGGAGACTGAGGCGGGTGGATCACCTGAGGTCAGGAGTTCAAAACTAGCCTGGCCAACATGGCGAAACCCCGTCTCTACTAAAAATACAAAAACTTAGTCAGGCGTGGTGGCACATGCCTGTAATCCCAGCTACTCGGGAGGCTGAGGCAGGAGAGTCACTTGAACCCTGGGGATGGAGATTCCAGTGAGCCGAGATTGCGCCACTTCACTCCAGCTTGGGCAAAAAGAGCAAAACTCCATCTCAAAAAAAAAAAAAAAAAAAAAAAAAAAAAAAAAAAAAAAGAATGCTCTGAATAGTCTTGAGCTGCCAGTTAAGTGTTTGGAGTGCAAGTGATTTGCTTCATTTTGCATACAACTCACTGGCTAGAACCAATCACATGGCCCCACTCACTCACAAATCAGTAAGCCAGGAAGTGTCCACAGCAGCAGAGAGCTGGAAACATTTGGTGATCTGCTGTGGTGTGTACTATGGCAGGAAGTCTTCTCCACTTGAAGATGGGGGACCTGAGGCTAAGAGAGTTTAAATAACGATCAAGAACATTCAGCTTGCAGGTGACTGGGCTCAAACTCAGGCCTATCTGGGTCTAGGACCCAGGTGTTTAACTGCTAAGCTATAGGTTTTTCATCTCTTAATTAATTGTAAAATCAGTTTCTTCCCTTCAGTGAAAACTCTCAGCTTAGAAAGAAAATAAAAAAAAAAAAAAGAATACAACTTATGTTGGGTAACTTAAGAGAGCAGTTGTTTTCTTTGTGCAAACTGTGCCTCAAGTTATTTTCAGTGTATTTTAATTAAAGATTGCCTGTCAGCTCTTTGGAAGTGTCCCATTATTGCAAGTTGAACAATAATAGGTCCATGGGGCCAGGAGTAAGTGTACTTCAGTGCTGAAGTAGATTCTCAGGCCATCAGATATCGATGTCAGCTTCTTATTAAGCCTGCTCAGAACCAGCGTAGGATACGAAACATTCTAAGTTGCTTCGCTTTGCTTCACTTAGCTCGCCACTTTAATTCTTCCATATGTTTCTCATTTGGTTTTCTTTTATATGAAGTTTCATTTAGGATAACATGCAGTTCCCCATGTTCACCATTCTTCCAGTAAACCAAACAGAGACACGTGGTCTGACAAAGTGGAATGCTTCTGACTTCTTCTTTTTAATTCTGGCAATAAATTGGGGAAATGAATTTCCTGTCCTTTGGGTAACTCTTATTCTCTGGTTGTCTCCTTTGTTCTTCTATCGGGGAAGGGTATTGATCACTTCTGAGCTATCCAAGATCAACCAAAATGTTGAAGTCTCACTGTGTTGCCCAAACTGGACTCAAACTCCTGGACTCAAGGTATACCCCAACCCCAGTCTCTCAAGTTGCCGGGACTACAGGTGTGAGCCACCATGCTTGGTTCCAAAACTACATTTAAATCCCAGCTCTGCTATTTCTGTGACGTGAGACAAATTCCTTAGTTAGGCTGAGCTTCAGTGTCCTCACTTGTAAAATAGTGAAGAGCGTAGTACCCAGTGGAATTTCATCATCAAAAGCACATTTAACTTATACAAAATCATCTCTGCATCCTTAGCATAAAAGAATAAATAAACGATTGAGAGGATGAATGAATGATAGTTGAATGATGTGTTGGTTGTTCCCCATGATGTGTAAGCTCAAGAGTACTCTCGGGATTTTAAATTCATGTATTTTGATATTTATCATACACATTGATAAATATATTTAAGAAAATGCACTAGAGATGAGACTATCTCCATATGGATAAAAATAAAATTTGTTTAATATGTTAGTTAGAATTATATGAATATGAAATTAAAGATTTCTTCCGTGGATCACTTTGACAACAAGAATGCTGTCCAGATCTTAATTTTATGGCCTGTGTGGACTTAGATTTTAGAGGAAAAAAAACCACCAGGTGGTGCCGGCCAGAAAAGAAATAGAAACCTAGCTAGGGTATTTCCATCCAGGATACCCTTAACAATTTGGGAATTCTAAAGCATTGAGCCATCTGCCTCAGATTTTATGTTATTAAGTACATTGAAATTCTTGAGCTTTAAATCCTCATGTAGAAGACTCTGTCTCTGATTTGTGATTTGTCATGCTACATTCTTTTAGCTGATAGGATTTTTGTATTTATAAGAAAGAAAATTGCCTCTAGTGATCAGCTGTTGCTTTTTGCACAGTCATTTCATTATGTTGGCAGTGTTTTCATAAGTACCGAACTTCAGGGTAGTAAAAATTTGGTTTAGGAAATAATTGTCCTAAAATTGGTATAAACAAATGTGCTTAGGGTTTTTTTTTTTTTTTTTTTTGTAAGACATTGCTATTCTTTGTAATCTGAAAGGACAAGTCAATGTTTCTTTCCTTTGTTTGGGGGAGTAGGACCCCAGAGGATGAAAGCACCAGATAATTATATTTGTCAACCCATCCATCCTTTCAAATATGTATTTAATGCTTCCTCACAGAGGCAATGTGGTATAATGGCTAAGACCATAGGCCCTGGAATTAGACTGCCTGGATCTGAGTTCTAGCTGTACCATTTCCTACCTGCCTTGGGTAAGTTACTTTACCTCTCAGACCTTCAGTTAATGCCATCTGTGGTGGCAATAATAACAGAACCTGCTTCAGAACTGTTACAAGGCGAAAGCACATATTTTTACAGAGTGTGTGCTCAAAACATATTGGTGATCATGACTGCTGGTACTTTGAGGCAGTTGCTACTCAGACTTACTATAAGGACCTTTGTGGGGCCCTATTATGACTCTGGTGGCAGAGCATCATTTAACTATAACACTCTGGAAGATCTAGATCATGACCCCTGTTTTACAAATGAAGTGTGGTTAGAGTAGCTAAGTAACTTACTAAGGTCACTCAAAGGCCAAACCTGCATCCATTGTCTCAACTTTGCCCTTGATTTGCAATTTTGCAGAGTTTGGGGTGAAGTTTCCCTTTCCAGCTGCTATTCACTTGAGACCGCACTACATAAGGGCTTGCATCCTAGAATAAGACTAGTTTTCAGGCAGACTCTAGCCAACTTTAGGAGTCATTTTCATAGATTCTAGTGATGATCTTGAAAATAATACTTTCACATAGCCACTGCCTTCTGTTGGAGGGGCTGGTGGCTGCTGGATTTATAGCTGCCTGGTCCCTGTTCCTTTGCTCTGTGTATGTCTACCCACGCACAAAGTCAGTTTCGATGGCTTCTGACCTTGGCAAATGAAGTGTTGTTGCCAAGTAACAAGTGGCATTGTTACTACTGGTTTGAGGCTTTTATTCCCAAATTTTATAAAAGAAAGATTTAAGCTTTTTTAGCCCGGCTGTCTACCTGCTTTTCATCTTTGAACCAGAAAAGGACAAAAGAATCTGATAGGCTTTGCAGGTTAACTTGTCTGGCGGATCACAAGGCCAGCAAACTATTGGCTGGCATCCTGAATGATACTGGAAGCAAAACAGCAAAACTTACCTTTCGTAAAAGACTGTGAAACTTCTAAAATTCAGGTTGTCATTTGGAACCAGAGAAGGTCGAGACAGGTGTGGCTGGAACAGATGGGGAGGAAGAGCTAAGAGCTGCCACATGGGAGTGAACTTAACACATCAAGTTCTTCAGTCTGGCAGTGCAAAGGCATAGCAAAGACATGAAATTGGTGCAGTTGTGAGTGATGTGGTAGAAATATGTTGAGGTGTTTGGACCCGGCTGGAAACTAAAATTGGTTAATTTAAGATCTGATGCATTGGATGATGAAAAATGTAGCAATAGGTGGCATTTTTTGAGTGCCTACTCTGTTCCAGACACTGTGCCAAAGCTAAACGAGAATTATCTCATGCATTCCAGTGTGGTAGATATTATTATTATGCTCATTTTTGGATAAAGATGGTGAAACTTAGTGAGATTAGTTGACATGTATAGTAAGTGATGGTCAGATAGCAAGTTCAGCGTTACTCCAGGGGCCCATCATGTTAACCACGACACTCTATGTGCCCAAGGATTGCTTTCTTTTCTTTTCTTTTTTCTTCTCTTCTCTTCTCTTTTTTTTTTTGAGATGGAGTCTCCCTCTGTTGCCCAGGCTGGAAATGCAGTGGCACAATCTCAGCTCACTGCAACCGCCGCCTCCTGGGTTCAAGTGATTCTCCTGCCTCACCTTCCTGAATAGCTGGGACTACAGGCGTGCACCACCACACCCAGCTAAGTTTTGTATTTTTAATAGAGACGGGGTTTCACCATATTGGCCAGGCTTGTCTCGAACTCCTGACCTTTTGATGCTCCCACCTCGGCCTCCCAAAGTGCTGGGATTACAGTGTGAGCAACCGTGCCCCGCCTATGCCCAAGGATTTCAATGGGCAGAGGAAATACTCAGATGAAGGAAAGGGTTGAGCAAATTAATGCATGGCCACAAAGAGTGCTGATGTCTTCCTAAACTTTAAGAGTGGAGTTAGGGATCCCTGGGGTGTCCTTTAGTGGGTGATTGGTAGGTAATAGTCTGTATCATTTTTCGTAATTTAATTCTATGTGTTTAGATTGGATCCAATCTGCACTGGAAAATGCTCTAAAATAAGCCCTAGGTCTTGCATGAATTGGGTTTTCAGTTTCTTTTTAAGCTGCACTTTGAGAACTGCTTCTCTGGACCCCTGTTCCTGAAGTATGCCATTTAGGATTCTGGTTCAGTAAGATCTCAGTTGATCATGATGTGTGTGGAGGGTGTGTTTTGAAGTTAAGTGGAGTTCTTTGGCAAGATCAGAGCTTTCAATATGTTAAAACTTCAGGGCTCTCTGAGAAGAGGACATAGCTTGTAGTGTTCTCGAGACATTTAAAATTGTTTTACTTGGATTTATTTTATGCCAAATTTATTCTTGTGCCATACGTTTTTGTTTCTTCAGTTTCTTCTGGGATATCCTTTTCTTCTGAGTAACTTTCTGTTCTGCTTTAGGAACAATTTGTACCTTTTCAGTCAAGATCATCTAGATGTGGCAGGGAGAGCTCGTGTATCAGTTAATCTGACCGTGTGAGCTCTGCAAGTCCTGTAGCACATCTTAGGTGCTTTGTTCACCCGGATCTGCTCAATGACCAGAGAATCTATATCCAAACTCTTAAGTTCAGCATGACTCTCTGCATTTTTACACATGTGCAGCAAAAATTTAGCACTCTTTTTGGGCCACCGACCCAGTGTCCAGCCCCACTGTTTGGCCCAGACACACCTACCAACTCCACTGTTGTAGCTTTGGAATGGCACACATTGCTTCTGTCAAGTGACATCTTTTAGATACTTGGTGGCTTTCATATCTGCATACCCTCGATGGCCTGGGTGGTTCCACAGGTGTTCTTGCAGTGAAAATGAAAATTTTAACCTGTCAATTTGCATGCTTTTTGTGGGGGTTTCTGGGTCAAGAGAATGGTGAACCATTTTCACCTCAGGCCATTTAGGGGAAGAGCCCCAAACATTTTTGACCATAAAACTCTCTTCTCTCAGAGCTTTGCTGAGACTGGAGTTGAAACTGGACTAAAAGTTTAAACCTTGCTTTCTTTTAGTTCCATTCTGTTTTGGTTGCTTTGATGTCAAAACAAAACAAAACAGTCCATACTGTTTAAGTCATGGTGATGACTTATTTCCCTATACCAGGAACCTGATGAGGAGAGCGAAATGAAGAAGGGGTCCTCTAGAATCTGGGGGTCTTTGGAAATGAGTGAGTTAACTGGTGGGTAAATAAGTCTTAATCTTGGCTGTGGAAGTCTGTAGCTGGGAAGGTACATTAGTTATCTAGTGCTATGTAACAAACTGACGTTTATTTACTTTACTCCACAAGTTTTTAGCTTAAAACAACAAACATTGAGCATTTCCTTGTTTCTATGGGTCAGTAACTGAACACAGCTTAACTTGGGATCCTGAGCTTCAGGTTTCTTATGAAGATACAGTCAGACTGTCAGTTGGGCTGCAGTCTCATCTGAAAACTTGCCTGGGATGGTGGGGGAATCTCCTCCCAGGATCATTCTCCTGGTTGACAGTCCTTGCTCCCTTATTCCGTGGACCTCTTGACAGGGCTGCCACATAATATGGCATGTGGATCCTTCTAGGAAAAAGGATCCAGGAGATAATGAGAGATCACCTAAGACAGAAGACAATCTTTTTATAACATTATCTTAGAAGTGACATCCATCACTTTTGATCAATTCTTTTTATTAGAATTGAGTCAATAAGCCAGTACTACATTTATGGAGAGAAAAGTATTCAGGGTTATGAATACCAGGAGGTGGGGATCATTGAAGACCATTGTAGGAGCTACATATTATGGATGTGTAAGAAGGGACAGAGATTTTTTGGTAGGGGAGACATTTTTCAGTTTTCATTTTATTTATGGTGAGGAGACAGGGAAAAGTGTAAGAGAAAAGCCACTGTCTCCCATTGGAAGGATCATATTCCACAGTCTAAGAGTAAGTAGAGAAGATTAACATACATGTCAGACTGAATAAAGAGCAGTAGGTCACCATGACTTCACCTTCCAGGAGAAGCGCCCTGTTGGCTCTGAAGCTTGCTAGAAAAAAGAAAGGAAGGAACAAATTATAGAGAAGCATTTTACTATGGTCCAAATATTTGTTTCAGCCAGATTAAATTTTATGTTAGAAGTACACATTTATGGCTGGGCGCAGTGGCTCATGCTTGTAATCCAAGCACTTTGGGAGGCCGAGGTGGGTGGATCACCTGAGGTCGGTAGTTCAAGACCAGCCTGACCAACATGGAGAAACCCTGTCTCTACTAAAAATACAAAATTAGCCCAGCGTGGTGGCACATGCCTATAATCCCAGCTACTCGGGAAGGCTGAGGCAGCAGAGTCGCTTGAACCTGGGAGGCGGAGGTTGTGGTGAGTCGAGATTGCGCCATTGCACTCCAGCCTGGGCAACAAGAGCGAAACTCCGTGTCAAAAAAAAAAAAAAAGTACACATTTATAAAATTTCAGGGGATATGGAACATTGAAAAAGAAAGAGAAAACAGGTGTGAATTCCTTTACTTGATTAAATAATCTTTTACACCTCCTCCCTAACTGGATTGTAAATTTTAGTGTTACAAAAAGATGGTATTGTTTGTTATCTCTTAGACACCCAGGAGAGAAGATCAGTTTCTTCTTGCTCTCTAGGAAAGGGCTCCATAACTCAGAGCATTGACATCTGTTTTGACGTTTGAGAAATGGCAGTAAAAATTTGAGTCAATACTCTTCATATAGTGGAGGTCTGGAGCAGGAACTGGAAAGGTAGACTGAGAAAAATGCTCAAACTGATATTTATTTACTTATTATTTAGATATTTTGTTAGTAAGATTGAGTTCCTTCTTGTCTATAGTACCAAAATAGATAAGGATCCTGTTTTTTGAAATGAACCCCAGTTGCGCCTTAGGCATTGTGAGTTGGCTCATTTCAAACCAGTTGTAATATGGTTTTTTATTCTCTAAATTTCGGGACCTGATGCTAAGGAATGTGAATATACAGTTAGGTTCCTGTGAACCCTGTGTTGGTTCAAAAAGGCTGGTGGAGGGAAATTTATGACACTAAATGCTTATATTAGAAAAGAGGAAAATTGGCCGAGCACGGTGGCTCATGCCTGTAATCCCAGCATTTTGGGAGGCCGAGCCAGGTGGATCATGAGGTCAGGAGTTCAAGATCAGCCTAGCGAACATGGTGAAACCTCGTCTCTACTCAAAATACAAAAATTAGCTGGGTGTGGTGGCGGTCACCTGTAATCCCAGCTACTTGGGAGGCTGAGGCAGGAGAATGGCTTGAACCCGGGAGGCGGAGGTTGTGGTGAGCTAAGATCGCACCACTGTACTCCATCCTGCATCTCAAAAAAAAAACAAAAACAAAAACAAAAACAAAAAGCAAAACAAAACAAAACAAAAAAACAAAGAAAGAAAGAAAAGAGGAAAATTTCAAATAACAGTTTGGAGCCCCTACATCAAGAAACTAGAAGACGAGGAGCAAAATAAACCCAAGGCAAACAGAAGAAAGGAAATAAAGGTAACAGAAATCAATGAAATTAAAAACAGAAAACAATAGAGAAAATCAGTGAAACAAAAAGCTAGTTCTTTGAAAAGTTCAATAAAATAGACGGTTATCTGGCAAGACTAACAAATAGAAAAAAAGATACAAATTATTAATATAAAAAATAAAATGGAGGCTGTCACTGTTGATGTCACCATGCAGATACCAAAAACGTCTAGGGGAATAATACTCTGAACAACTCTGCGCATATCAATTTCATGACTGAGATGAGATGGACCAATTTTTTGAAAAGCACAAACTACCACAACTTACTATCAAATGGATAATTTGAATAGCTCTATTATTTTTAAGGAAATTGAATTTGTAATTTGGCTCTCCCCCATCTCTAGGCCCAAATGATTTCAATGAAGAATTGTAGCAAATGTCTAAAAAAGAATTAATAGCAACTGTATATAATTTCTTCCAGAAAATAGAAGAAGAGGAAATAATTCTAACTCACTTTATGAAGCTAGTTTTATCCCGATATCAAAACTAGACCAAGATAATACTAAAAACAAAAACAAAACAAACAGCTACAGAACAATATCCCTCATGAATCTAGGCCACCCCCCACCCACACCAAAATCCTTAACAGTATCTTACCAAATCAAAGCCAGCACTATTTGAAAGAATTCTACTACAACATGACCAAGAAGGGTGTATTGTAGGGATATAAAGCTGGTTCAGTATTTAGAAATCAATCAAGGTAATTCACCTTATTGACAGGCTAAGAAAGAAAAATCACATGATTATATCAATTGATGCAGAAAAATTATTTGATAAAATGTAATGCCTATCCATGATAAAATCTCTCAGGAAAGTATGAATAGAAGGAAACTTCTTTAAACTCAATATGGAGTATCTACATAAAACCTGGAGCTATCATTGTACTTAATGGTGCAAGACCGAATGCCTTCTGCCTAAGGCAGTGAACAAAGCATAGATGTCCGTTTTCTCCACTGCTATTCAATATAGTACTGGAATTTCTAGCTAGGGTAGTAAGGCAAGACAAGGAAATAAAAAACATACTCTGGAGATGAAGAAATAAACTACATCTTTGCAGGTGATATCTTTGTCTACAGAGAAAAGCCTAAGAAATCTACCAAAAAAAAAAAAAATCTTAGAACTAATAAAGGAGTTCAGCAAGGTCACAGGATACAAGATAAGCTTACAAAAATCAATGCTATTTCTATATACTGGCAATGACCACATGGATACTGAGTTTAAAATGTATACCACTTACAATTCCACAAAAAGGTATACTTAGGTATAACTCTAACAAAATATATACCAGATTTAGTATGGTGACAACTATAAAGTGCTAATTAAAGACAATAAATGAGACCTAAATGAATGGAGAGATACCTCATTGCATATATTGAAGACTCAACGTCGTAAAGATGCTTTACAACATGACTATATTTGTTTTGCAAGTAATGTCTCTCAGTTCATAACTTATTTTTTCATCTTCACAGGTCTTCTGTGTAGCAAAAGTCTTGAATTTTGATAAAGTCCAGTTTGTCAGTCTTTTCCTTTTATGGATCATGCTTTCAATGTCGTGTCTAAGAATTCTTCTCCACGCCCTATGTCCTGAAAGTATTCTCCTGTGTTTTAGCTAAACAGTTTTATAGTTTATATTTTACATTTACATCTCTGATCCATTTTGAGTTAATTTTTATTTAAAGATGAGCTTAGGCTCAGCTTATTTTGCCACTATTTGTTGAAGACTGTCCTTCCTCCATTGAATGTGTTTGCGCCTTTGTCACTCATGGAGCGGTCATTTCCTGTAACAATGTCCTCTTCTGGAATGCTTCCTGAAGGACCTGCTTGAGGCTGTTTTACAGTCAATTAAAAAAAAAAGTCGAAGGAATACATTATAAAATAATGATATAAAGTATAATATAATAAATACATTAACTGTAACATTTATCGTAATTATCAGGTATGCACTGTACATAATTGTGTGTGCTGTACTTTTCTATGTCTGGCAGCACAGTAGGTTTTTTTTACATCAGTATCACCACAAACACATGAATAGCTAGAATCTTATGATGGCTACAGTATCACTAGGCAATAGGAATTTTTCAGCTCCATTGTAATTTTATGGGACCACCATTGTATATGTGGTCTGTTGTTGACTGAAATGTTATGCAGTGCATGACTTAATAAAGGACTCATCTAGAATTTATAAAGATGTCTCAGAACTGAACATTAAAAACCAAGCAATTCAATTATAAAATGGGCAAAAGACAACACAGATGGCAAGTAAGCACTTAAAAAGATGTTCAACATTACTAACCATTAGGGAAATGCAAATTAAGACCATGATGTGTTATTACTACACAGAGAACAGCTGAAATAAAAGATAGTGGCAACACCAAATCCTGGTGAGGATGCAGAGAAGCTGAGTCTCTCATACATTGTTGGTGGGAATGTAAAATGGTACAAACACACTGGAAAATGATATGTCCATTTCTTAATTAATTAAATATACATTTACAACAGGACCCCAGTCATATTCCTAGGCATTCACCCTAGAGAAATGGAAACTTATGTCCACACAAAAACCTGTACATGATTGTCCATAGCAGCTTTGTTTATAATGTTCAACAACTAAAGTGTGCTACAACAGCTGAATGGTGAAGCAAACTGTGGTACATCCATGCCATGGAATACTGTTCAACAATAAAGAGGAACAAACTATTGATATACACAATAACTTGGATGGATCTCAAAGGCATTATGCTGAGTGACGAAAAAACAATCTCTAAAGGTCATATATTGTATGATTCTATTTATGTAATATTCTTGAAATGATCAAATTATAGAGATGAAAACATAATATTGCCAGGCATGTTGTGGAGAGGTGTGTATGCACTAAAGGAGTAGCACAAGGGAGATGTTTGTGGTGATGAAATATTTGTGTATCTTTTTTGTTTTTGTTTTGTTTTGTTTTGTTTTGAGTCTCACTCTGTCACCCAGGCTGGACTGCAGTGGCGGGATCTCGGCTCACTGCAACCTCCATCTCCTTGGTGCAAGTGATTCTCCTGCCTCAGCCTTCCTAGTAGTTGGGATGGCAGGCGTGCGCCACCACACCCAGCTAATTTTTTTGTATTTTTAGTAAAATACTGTGCCCAGCCAGTTGTGTATCTTGATTGGGGTGGTGGTTACACAAACCTTTATGTGATAAAATAACATAGAACTCATACACAAATATTGCAATGCCAGTTTTCCGGCTTTGAAGTTGTACTACGGTTATGTAAGATGGAACCTATGGGGGAATCTGGGTGAAGGGTATGCACAACTTCTCTGTTCCATCTTTACCACTTTCTGTAAACCTAAAATCTTTTCAAAATAAAAAGTTTAAAAATAAGACCTTCATGGGTTGGTCAAACTGAGTTTGAGAAACCCTGTATTAGACCTTTAAAGACGAATAAGGAAGTGTGAAATTTGAGGTTGTGCCTTTTAGGAACTAGCTAAAAATATCAAACAGGACACCAGAGATGAGCAAAACAGACCAACATAGATTTAAATGCTGACTGAAACCACTCCTGTGATTTTAAAAAGAAAAATGTAAAGAAAGAAAATGGCAAATTTGAGTTACTTCGCGCTTTGCATTCGTATTTAGTGTTTATACCTTAGAGAAGATGCTCACTGTTACCAAGCATCAGGACGTTGGCCCCCATGGTTGGGTAAGCAGCTGGGTGGGGTCGTGGCATATTTTATAGAAGCAGAGGACGAAGGCATCTACTGGTTATGGTTCCCTTGTGTGAGCTGGACAGATATAATGGTCATCTGACTTTCCAGGTGTGTGGGCAGTGGAGAATGTTGCTGGAAGAATTCCAGGAACTCTCCTATCTCTGGGAGGTCGTGGCATCAACCATCCCTATTTTCATATTGTGCTTTATCTTCCGTCAGCAGGTGTGGCAGCTGAAGTTGATACTCATCTGTGGGGTTGTTCAGACAGCTGCTGTAGAAATGACAGCCCTGATGGAGGTGGGCAGCGCCAGGCAGGCACACATCTGCCTTTTTGCCTGGAATTATTTCTAGCAGGAGGTGATTCCCATATTTTACCTGTGTCTTCTTGGAGCTGAGGTACCATAATACTTCGTGGAGAAGCAAGTTCTGTGTTTTTTATTTTTTTATTTTTTTTGCATTGAAGAAAACCTTCATTTTTTCTGTCTTGATGGTGTCAGTAGTTACTTCTTAGGAACCTCTTCCAAAAGGTGTCACATTTAGGACCTATCTGTGAGGAAAGGTCACAGGTATGTAAGATGGTGGCATTATTCTTGTTATTATAACACCTCCCATTTATATTACAATTTAACAGTTTCAAAGACAGTGAGCCAGGGCAGATGATTGCAGGTGTGGTGTTTTTGGCACCAGATATTTACAAAAGTGATGGCTCCACAAAAAGCACAGCTCGCTCTTTCTCTCTTTCTCTTTCTCTCTGTCTCTCTCTCTCTTTCTCTTTTTCTCTGATGGAGTCTTGCTCTGTCGCCCAGGCTGCAACCTCCGCCTCCTGGGTTCAAGCAGTTCTCTGCCTCAGCCACCCGAGTAGCTGGGATTATAGGCGCCCACCACCACGCCCAGCTAATTTTTGTAGTTTTAGTAGAGATGGGGTTTCACCATCCTGGCCAGGCTGGTCTTGAACTCCTGACCTCGTGATCCACCCGCCTCAGCCTCCCAAAGTGCTGAGATTACAGGCGTGAGCCACCGCGCCCGGCCTCTTTCCCTTTCTTTAGACAACCATCATCTTTCCTATTGGTCTCGTCATACCTATCTGGTCCTGTCTTTGTCCTGTGCTTCCTTATTTTTGTCCTTTATTCACGATCCTTATCACTAAGCCACTAGTCCTCAGCCATTTTATACTTTAGAGATTCTTTAAGAAACCAGAAAGGTGAATGAACATTATACTGTGCCTGCAGAGTTAGATTTATTTCTTTGTTACCATCCAACATATCACTGAGTAGAGTGGTTTATTCTTCTGACTCAGATCTTGCATGTGTTCATGGAGCAAATTATTCACATTTTGCAATGATGACATCATTTTTTCTTTGGCTTTGTAATGTTATGCACTGTACCTTTTACCCCTTACTTGGGAATGGTTGTACCTCCCTTCCATCTTTGGTCTGACAACCTGCTCAATGCAATGTCTGGTTGGTAGATGACAGCACAGCAGTGTGCCCCTTGGGAAATGTGGATGAGATGCCACAAGCCACCAAACTTGTGCCTTGACATTGGGTCCTCAGTTGAGCAGGTAACCCCCAGCTTGCTTGCCTGCAGTGATGTGGACTTCAGTTCTGCTCTCATCTCTTATCTACCATACCAATTTTTATAATTAAAACAGGAATAAACAAGGTGCTTAATGTAATCTGCAAGGGAGAAACAGGGCGATTGAACAGAAGGGCTGCATTCTGGTTTCAAGCACAGGGCGGGAGAGTCTATATATGGTGCAGAGGGTGCTAAAATTGTAAATATAAATTCTTAAATCTGCCAAATAATGGTCTGTAAATAGTGTAAAATAAGAATGTTCTCATTTACATTTAAATAGTTTAGATTTCTTGTTTTTCACTACAAAAATATAATATTAGTGCAAATATTATCTGGCAATGAAAGTAAATACACCAGACAGAGTCGTTGATTTCTTGTATATAGTCATCTGTTTTCAAACACTGGCTTATCACGAATGGCCTTTATCATACTCATGAGTTCTATTTGTTAAAGTGGCAAGAATCAGAAACTCAGGAAATGCAAATGCATGGGATTAGGAAATTCATTGGCTTTGGGTTGAAAGTGAATATTTTCTCTACTTGCTTGATACAAGTTAACTTGCTGGTACATTTGTCATTGCTATTAAGTGGCCCCTTTAACACTATTTTCTCTTCCTGCCAGACAAGTCTGAAATAATGAATTTTTTAACGTCCTTATCATATAACTGTAGTTTCTTGTTTCCTTGATGTGAATAAGGTAGTTACATAGTACTTAGTCCCTGACAGTAAAATAAATATTATACCAGAGGGGCACTTAAAAATATTGTAGAAAAACCAAAATAGAGCTTTTAAAAAAGTTTAGGCAACCCAGAACAACGTAGAAAAAGTAAATTGGAGAAAAGAGAAACAGAGAAGAAACAGAAAACAAAAAATAGAATAAAAACCTTAAGACCTAACACATTAACAATTTTATTAAAAGCAAATGCTCTAAGAACATCAGTCGAAAGACAAGAGATTGGCAGCGTGGACTAAAACATGACCCAGCTATATGCTGTCTTCAAGAAACTCACTTCAAATGAAACAATATAGGCAGGTTCAAAGTAAAAGGATGGAAAAAGGTGTGTAATGCAAACACCAATCAAAAGAAAGCAGTAATGGCTGTATTAATGTCAGATAAAGTAGACTTCATAGCAAGTAAAATTACCAGAGACAGAGAGGGACATTTTATAATGATAAATAAAAGGGTCATTCCACCATGTCGACATAGCAATTCTAAATGCCTATGCAACAAACAAAAGACCTGCAAAATATGTGAAGCAAAAACTGCTAGAGATGAAAGAAGAAATAGATACATCCACAATTATAGTTGTAGACATCAAAACCCCTCTCTCAATAATTGATAGAACAACTAGAGAGAAAAATCAGCAAAAATGTGGAAGAACTCAACACCATCAGCTAACTGAATCTAATTGGCATTTATAGACCTTCCACCCAACAAAAGTAGAATAGATATTATTTTCAAGCACCTACAGATCGTATACCAAGAAAAACCATATCGTGAGCAGTAACACAAAGCATGAAATTTAAGAACTGAAATCATACAGAGTATATTCTCCAACCATAGTGGAATCAAAGTAGAAATCAATAAGAGAAAGATAGCTCCAGCTACTTGGACTTCCTGAGCTATTTCCTGAACATGTTAAGCTCATTCACACTGTTTGAGGTTTCTGTGTGGAATGCTCTTCCCTCAGATTTTTCTCCTGGATGATTCATTCTGAGCTTTAAATTCAATGCCATTTCAGAAACTTCTGTAATTACCCAATCTAAAGTAGCCTTTACAGAACCTCCTTTAGCTAATATCTTCATGTTCCTACCTCCTCTTACTTTCATACCGTCCTGTTATTTTCTTCTTAGCACTTATTATCTGAAGTTACCTTTGTTGTTTATCTATCAGCTGGTGTTAGGCATAAGAATTTCAGCTGCAGAAAAGTGGGAATTACATGTGTTGTGTTCACCACAGGATCCCCAGTGTCTAGGGAAGTAGGTGCTGAGTAAGAATTTGCAAATGGACTGTAGATTTCTGTTACATAGCTAGTCATGTGTACTAGTAATCTAAAGATATTTTCACTGCTACAGAAAGCCACTGGGGAGCTTGTGAAAGTTCATAAACTTTTTCCTGCATGCAAATGAAACTAAGAGATCTAGCCCCTCTCTCTTCAGCCAACTTTTGGCTTCATGTAATTGTTTACTCAATTAAGGAAACTTTTCTGGGAGCTCAGATTGTAGTAGGTTGAATATGCTCAAAAGCATGCTGAAGCCTGCCACCTAACTTGTGGAAAAAAGCTGGCACTTGCTTCAAGTTGGTTGTAATAACACAACAAAAATCTCATAAAGCCTGGAATTTAAAAATGAATATTCTCTATTTTATATGACATAGTAAAGACTTACAAATAGGTAAGTCGTCGATGATTACACTAGTAAATAGATATTTGAACATATACTTGCACATTCAGTGAAAGTTCATCTTCAGTCTTTCTGTTTTGAATTGGAGTTGTAACTATGCTGTTGGTCTCTGATGCTACTGGGGAAGCCGGAGAGATTGTATTGTATGGGTGTTAGAAGTTCAGTAGACCTAGGCCAGGCGTGGTGGCTCAAACCTGTAATCCCAGCACTTTGGGAGGCTGAGGCGGGCGGATCACTTGAGGTCAGGAGTTTGAAACCAGCCTGGCCAATATGGTGAAACCCCCTCTCTACTAAAACTACAAAAATTAGCTGAGCGTAGTGGTGCACGCCTGTGATCCCAGCTACTCGGGAGGTTTAGGTAGGAGAATCTCTTGAAGCCGGGAGACGGAGGTTGCAGTGACCCCAAGATCACATCAGTGCACTCCAGCCTGGGTGACAGAGTGAGATTCTGTCTCCCAAAAAAAAAAAGTTCAGTAGACCTCCATTCCAGTCCTAGCCCACTATTACTGATTGACCTGTTTGGAGATGTTGGAAAAGTCATTTATTTACCTTCCCAAGCTCCATTCATTCACTTCATCCATACAAATGGGAATATAATTGCACCATTGTAGAATTCTTGTGAGAATTTTAGTGAAATGTAGTAAGAATGCATATTTAATCTGCTTCCTTGATACAGTCATATACTGGGTGAAAGCAGTGAGTAGGATTCAAGCTCCCCCACATTGAGTAATAATAACCAGACTTGAAAACAAAATAGTATCCATAATGGTTTGCTATTTTCATCAAAGTGGATAGAGACCATGATGGTTAGATTGAAGGCAGATGCTTTGCCTGATGGGTAGTCATTTCAGTAAACATTAAATATCTCTTGTATGCCTGGAGCTGCCCTAGGATGTGGAGGTATAGAAATAAGAGGCTCAAGTCTTCTGAGAGAGATGGTCAGAAAAATGAATGGCTCCAAAACACATGGTAATTGTTGGAAGAGAAGCTTTGGGCTGAGTGCTTTTGTGGCACAGAGAAGGGAGCATCTAGCTTCATCCAGGAGTCTTGAAAGATGAATGAACAGAAGTTACTTGCCAAGCAGATAGGCATGGAAGACCATGTCGTATTCAGAGACATGCTAGCAGTTTGGTTATGAGGAATTGCTGTAAGCCTTTTATTCTTTTGTGATTCTCCATCCCTAGGAGTTTTCTTTTCAGTGTGTTCAGTTTCATTACATGTGCTAAAACCACACTGGAAGTCTTTATTGTTTTGAAGAATCTCTCTTAGCCCCTCCCTTGGCATCATTTGTAAAGGGCTTAACCAAATTATAAGGCACAAAGACTGCACAGAACCAGCTGCATTTGCAGGCACTGATTGGGAGACATCATTTCTGCCAGTTAAATGTGGTGCCTAGTGGATCTGCACTGTGATTTATGCTGATGGCTGTGCAGTTGTTGCCTTTCCAGCTGCAATTAAACATTAATCTTTGGGCAGTCAAGAGAAAGGTGCTCTGAAAAAGAGGGCTGGTTGGAAACATCAGAGACCAAAAGGCACTCTTGAATGATGACAGCAAAACGTTAAAGACCTCCTGATAAATGGTAATGTAAGGTCTCTCGAGATTATTGGCGCAATATGAAAGGCAAGGCCCCCACAATTATTACTCAACATTCAGTAAGTCCAGGAATGGGTAAAGTATGTGAATTGCAACTTTGGCAAGCTGTAACCTTGTGGCCCACATATGTGGTGACACATTTCAGATTTGCCTTTTTAAATTTCAAATCTGTAGTAAAGACTGCCACCTTTTATTTTCTCTTTAAAGCAAATGTATTTCAGAGAGGCATTTTATCTAAAACTTCCATTCACACAAGTAAATTCTCTCCAGTAGGTGCTTTTTAAATATTTGCAAAAATCTATGTGGAATTTTTTTGTTTTGGCCTCATGAGTTTCCTGCCTGAATCGTAAGACCAGGAGTCATTTAGGTCTTTGCTTTTTAGTTCAAAAACGGCATTTTTATAGTGGTAGCATGCCAACTTTCAAGAGTTAGAGGCCAGTCTTCAAATCTCCTTTATGGATTAAGTGTGCTGTTTTGTGTACTTTGGAAGAGTGGTTAAGTTCAACCGTGTATGTGGTTATACAATAAGATGCTTTATCTCTATACTTCTGCTCTTCACATGCTCCATCCTTAAAAGCATGGAGGAATTTGAACTCACTAGCTTTGGGTTTCAGCCTGTACTTGTTTTAGTTTTTGATGCAAAACATCCAGGTAACGCTACTTGTATTCTGTAAAAAATTTTTGCCAGGTGGCCCTGTTCATCTTCCTCAGAATTAGCGGAGGAGGCTCTTAGCGAAGGAGAAACTGAAGCTTGTTGGGGAAGTGACACTTGCTTGAAGTTGTCCATTAAGTCAGTGGCAAGTTGCAGAGTAATGTGCTGGTTTCTAGCTTGAAGTTAGAAGTGAGGAACAGGACAAAAAGGTCATTGTTAGGGACACTGCCAATTCACTTAGCATTCATGAATTTAGAATGCAGAATCAAATGCAGACCAGTCTCCTCATTTCACAAATAAAGGGGAATATCATTTAGCAATTGGAGCTCAGAGAGGTCCAATTGCTAAAAGTACATATAGCTGATTACTGGCAGAGTCTAAATGAGTTTACATTTTAAAGATACTGTGTAACCTTTCTAAAACCACCCAATGTCACCCTCTCCATAGTTTTGCATGCTTGTTTGCTTCAGTTTAATACTATAAATCTTTTCATTTGTATTAGCAGATGTCACAAGTGGGACTCCTGGTAAACAATGGAGGTCCCATTGTTTCTTTATATTTACCTTACTGAAAACATGGAGGGTATTACAACCTTGGTAAAGTTTGGGCAAGCAGTCCCATGTTTCATCACTTGGACACATCTGATTATTAAAATCTGTCTAACAGATTGCATAATATAATACTGTGAATCATAAATCAATGGAAAATTGTTAGCAAATATAAGTCAGTCTTGTTTAAGGCACCTCTATTGATAAGGAGTCTGATACAGAATCTGGCTATGGAAATCTGGTGTGAAATAGTGTCCACTGAGAGAAGTTGTGTTGTGGCAGCCCATTAACTTAGCATTGATTTAAACATATTTTGTGTTTTGCATGAGAGCTGTTACTGGAGCCGTGGTTGAACCAATCATTGGTTGGTTGGTGATAAACTAAATTATGCCAGCTATAGCTACCCCATGTCTTTATTTGGAAGTGAACTTTATATGTTTTCTTTCTCTCTCTCTGTGTTTTTTTTTTTCTCTCTCTCCTTTTATAAGATTTTCCCCAGGTGTGGTTTTAGCATTACACAAAAAGCCTCAGGAAGATTTGATTCCAAAATCAGACTTATCCTTAAGGTGGAAATTAGAACAACTGCGATGCCTCAAACAGATGTTTCCTCTGACACAGTATGTGCCAAGACCTTAATGGTAGTTTTCAATCCACGACACTGGCTTTCATATTAAAGATCTGGGCAGTGCTGGTGGTCAGAACTCAGAAAGATCTTTGCCTCTGTATGTGTACCAGGCTTCATCTGCATAAATAATGATCTCACGTGTGTCTGGAATGTCATTTTTCACGTGTATGTAGATACCGTTGTGACTAATAAAACAGTTTATTTGTAAGCATTGCTGAATCCAAAGTAGAATTGGAGGGAGAGTCAGTCAACACCTACTGAAAGCACAACTGTTTATGTAGGGATCCATGCCATAGTTTTGCCATTATACAAACATATTACACTGGAAAAAAACTTGAGATTCCTGATCAAGCTTAATTATCTTTGGCTTTCAGAATAGTCTGGAATGATTTAATATCTTTGAGAGTAATGGCTCAGAGACTTTCCCCAACACCTACAGCTGTCTTTGGCATTGCAGATGTTGCAAATGGGGTTTTGTACAACTCTCATGCTTATTAAAAAACATTTGTAAGCAATATACCATGTGTCTTAGTGTATTAGGGCTGCTATAACAAAATACCTTAGACTGGGTAATTTACAAGCATGAGAAATTTATTGCTCACACTTCTGGGAGCTGGGAAGTCCAAGATCAAGGCACCAGCAGATATGATGTCTGGGGAGGTCTTCTTCGTCATAGATTGTGCCTTCCTGACATGCCAGAAGGGGTAGAAGAAAGCAACCTTGAGCCTCTTTAGAAGAGCACTAATCATATTCGTGAGAGCGGAGCCCTGATGACCTCATCTCTTCCCAGAGGCCCCACTTCTTGATACTATCACACTGGGTATTAGGTTCCAACATAGGAATTTTGGGAGGACACTGACATTCAGACCATAGCACTATGCAGTTGGTTCCTTTTGATTTTAAAGACCAAGAGGCTAAGAAGGTGTTCAGAAATGCTCTTCATTTTGCCTGAGCCTATATATTAATTTTCTGTTGCTGCTATAGTGAATTACCACAAACAGAATGGCTAAAACAACACAATTTATTATTTTATATTTGTGAAGGTCAGAAGGCTGACGTGGATGTCACTGGGCTAAAATCAAGGTGTTGAAAGGGCTGTGTTCCTTTTTAAAAGTTCTGGGGTAAAGATCGTTTTCCTTGGTTTTTTGGGTTGTTGGCAAAATCAGCTCATTGTGGTTGTGGTACCAAGATCCCCTTTTTCTTGCTGGCTGTCAGCGGAGGGCCATTCCCAGCCTCTAGCGGCCACCCACATTCCATGACTCATGGCCCTCTGCCTCTGCTTTTAGAGCCAGCCACAGCAGGGTTGAGCTCCTTTTCCTTTTGGAATCTTTTCTCTTTCTGTCCCATCTCTCTGATAGAACAGGAAAAGTTCTCAGTTTTTAATAACTCATGTGATTAGATCCGCCCGACTAGGTAATCCAGAGTAATCCCCGTATCTCAAGGTCCATACCCTTTATCATAAATTGCAAAATCCTTTTGTAATGTAAGGTAACACATTTGCAGTTGTGCAGATGAGAACGTGGACATCATTAGGGGGCCATTATTCAGCCTGTTACTTGACTTTAAAACTTGAAACTGTGTTAATTTGCTTAGATTTCTGCCCTTGGGGTTTGGAAAGTACAGCATTATCATTAACCACTTAGTGACATCAATAGGGCTCATTCCTTTTCTTTCAGTCTCCCATCTTACTGCTAACTGAAAAAAGGGGCTGTTTAAAGAATACATAGATGTGAGATATACTACCCTGGAGAACTACAACAGTGCAGAGACTGGATTTAGCCATAAAAAAGTGTTTGAGTTTGGGGGGTGAGAAATCTTATTGTGGGATAGACCTTCTCCTTCCTCCTATAAAAGTTCAGCTCCACAGTTAGCCTGTGATGTTGGTGCTTGATGTTCACCAGGTTTGGACAGAACCTGATGGTCCTCCTCTGGCCAGTTGAAGAAGTCTGATGAGATATGCTGAGTTAACAGTGAAAAGTAGAACTAGATAAGAACTAGTTGCAGATGGAAATCATTCCAGACTCAAGCCTCCCTTAAGCTGATTTGAAGTCCATCACTTCTCCAATGCCAAGAAAGCAGATGGGCTCTTGTCACTGCAGAATGAAGCTATGTTAATTAATATCTTATAAAATCAACTCTAGTTGAACATGTATTTTGTGTGAGTGAGTGAGTGGTTCCTGGTTCATCTGGAAGGAAATGTTCAGGGAATCTTTTTGGATGGATTTCAGCCTGACTGTTTTCATGATAGACATAAAGATGCTATTAATTTTACATATAACATTAAAAAATTTTTTGCTGCAGGCAATTAGAATAATATAATGGGAAAATAACTTAAATGTTATATAAATGTGAATATAAATATACTTCTGAGTACTGACAAGAGACAAGAGAAAAAATATCCCTCTCTGTAATAATTATCACAATAACATTATGCAGCTTCTTCCATGCCAAAAGTTTGTAGCTTGGGACTTTATTGTAGGAGAATGTAGTTGAGTAGACCTTGAAGTAAGGGTGCGTCTGACCCATCTGTGTTTGACCCTTTTGATTCAGCCATCCTAGGTCCAAGGCGTTTCAAAGTTTAGACCCTGGACTGCGTGGAGGGAGCAGAGTATAGAGCTTAAGGCAGTGGGCTTCGGAGCAAGAGCAGTTTGGCTGTGTTGTTAACTAGCTGTGTGTGACTTTGGCATTATGTCATTTTGCTAAGTTCCAAGTGATAATATTGCCTCTTGAAGAGGTTTATGAACATAAAGAGACTTTAAAATGTTTTTTTTTGTAATATTCTTTGTGCTGTGCCTAGCATAGTGTAAAGTGATTAATAAATGGAAGTAGTTGTTTTTGTCTCCTACGTCTTCCCCACTTACTGTCTTACTTCCCAATTTGGCATCAACTTTCGACATTCTGAAAGTCTCTTAGGCTCTTGGTCATGAATGTTGCTGTTTTGTTCCTGTATCAGGGAGAAGCACAGAATATAGGAAAGAAAAAAAAGGAGAGCTACCCAGATAGTTGTGAAAGTTTAGATTTATAACCAGCCCCTGGTTCCTTGGGACTGGATAAAGCAAATCCTTACTTTAAAAACCTTTAATCAGGTGATTACTTTGGATTATAGAAAGTGAACCCCAAGGTTGATGCTGAACTTCTTTGAGAAATAAGGAAACATTGTTGGAGCAGCAGACCGGGGGATGGTGGCACAAATTCATATTAGAGCAGGTCAGGTAATATGAGGAGAAACTGAAGAACATTGCTGAGAGCAGTGCTATTAGAATGGATGAATTTCCTTTTATTTATTTTTAAAGGCTTCCTTATTCCTCTCAGTAATGTTATTGATAATGTGTTTAAAAATTGTTAGAAAGAGAACTATTTGAAATCTAAAGTTAGTCGTGTTTTCCATCTTTAAAACCCACTACAAAGGGTTTATGGAGGATCTGAGATGGTTAGCATATCCTAATTGCAAAAGCGTTGATGTCTCAATACAGTGCCCTTAATGTAATTAGAGACAATTTTTTAAAATCCATGCTGATAAATGTCAGGCTGGTCTGGTCTTGTGAGTTGGGCACAAAATGTACCAATTGTTGAATGATGAAGGCCAGCATATGTAATAATAACTAAGGTCAGTAAGAAAAATATTCTTCTCAATTGTATATGTTTTGTTTTCAAAGTTTCATCAGACTGAGTAGCCATACTTAATTAGCCCAGAGGCAGATGAAAGCTCATTTAGGCACAAGTAACAGGTAAGAATTTGCACAGAATGCTGATATCCAGTCTCTTTCAACACATGTTTAAAAATAATATTCCCTTCTACTTCTTATCCCAAATATAAGTAGCTCATAATACTGGCATTGAAATGCATATGCTTATGCCAGTATAATAATATTGATTTCTTTTTATTTAAGTTTTAGTATGATCTCCTACCTGTTATGAAATAATAGCTGTTCATTCTAAAAACTTTGCAAAATTCAGAAAAGTAAAATTAAGCAAACAGAATTCAGTCATAATCCTTCCAGTCATTGATAATGTGTTTTTACCATTTGGTGTATTTTTTTCCATGCATGTATATGTGTATACCATGCATGTATATATGTGCACATACACATCTACACATATATACAACTACTAAAGTGGTATACCTATAAAATACATATGCATATATATATATAAAATTCAAAAATTTTATTATTATTATTTTTTGAGTCAGAATCTTGCTCTGTCGCCCAGGCTGGAGTGCGTGGCACGATCTTGGCTCACTGCAACCTCTGCCTCCCGGGTTCAAGCAATTCTCCTGCCTCAGCCTCCCGAGTAGCTGGGACTACAGGCATGCACCACCACGCCTGGCTAATTTTTATATTTTTAGTGGAGACGGGGTTTCACCATACTGGCCAGGCTGGTCCCGAATTCTTGACGTCGTGATCTGCCTGCCTTGGCCTCCCAAAGTGCTGGGATTACAGGCATGAGCCACTGCGCCTGGCTGAAAATTATCTATATTTTTAACTTAAAAATACTGTTGACACCTTTCCTCATTGATGAATATATAGTTTTATGTTACCTTTTAGGTGTTTTAGAAGTCCATTGCATAACTGTGCCATAATTTATTTAACATTTCCCTTTTGATGGGCATTTTAGCCTCACTAGTAGCTAGGAAGTATTTAACTACTGACTCTCTAGGGAAGAAAGAGCTCTGATTTATAGCACTTGCCGATTTCCATGGTGTCAATGTATCCACCATGGTTGATTTCAGACTACCAATATGAAGTCACTGAATGCGAAGTTGGGGAGAAGTGCTACTTTTGTGAGCCAATACAAGCCAGCTTCAGCACAACCACTGCTTAGGTTAAAGTATTTAAATAATTGATTTTAAGGATAGTTCTTTAAAAGAAGTATTGTTCAAATGGGAGATAGATTCTAAAGATGAGAAGAGTCCCTGCCTGTTAGTGGAAAAAAAGAATGTGCCATGGGCCAAAATGTTTAATTGATAAGCTATAAGCTCTCTTCTTTTCATGCTTAAATTAGTTTTCCCAAAAGTAACCTCAGGCTTAGATTTTCAAAGATAAACTTTTAAAACATCTCAGACCAATATGCTTTCTAAGAGCGCTTCATACATTTTCTGTGTCTGCGCTTTTGAAGATAAGTTACTCTTCCCTCTTCTTTACTTTATGGGTGTTTTACCGTAAGCCATTTGTGTGTGTGTTTGCTCATTGGGGGCAGGGAGTACAGACATGCTTCTTTCAGGGAATAATTTTGAAGTATTTAGTATCCATGTACTCTTACAACATTTTAAAATATTCCCACAGATGCTTTGGTGTCTGGTAGCAAAAGAGGTTAAGACAGAAAAAAATATGACATTTTTCAGTAAAGAGATATTTCTTATAACTTACTAAGAGGTTAAATTATTGGTAGGCAAGAAAATAGCCATGACTTGTAGTAACATGGCCTTTCTGGGTAAAACCCCCAAGCTCTGAATGCTGCATTAGATGTAGAAGGTATTTAGGCAGACAACTTAAGGAGGGAATGGAGGGCTACTGTGTCTCTTTGTTCAATTCATGAATTCATTAATGTTGGAAAGAGATTGGGTCAGCTGATAGCAGAGGACAGATTTATTTTTGAAGATAAAGACACACAAATTCTTTCTACAACTTAGTTGGCTTGTATATGCAGCTTTCTTAAGGTCTCCAGCACCGTTCACATGTTTTCTAACAGCTGTAGTTTGGGAATTCACCTGGGGCCTCTATACCTGCTGGGCCCCTCGTTTTTCTCCCACTCATGTAATGGTATATGTTCATTGAAGACATGTTGCTTTGGACTTGTGAATCACTCTTGGCCACCTAGGAATTGGAAAGCAGGCCAGATGTGATGTGAAAGCAAGCCCTACTATTTGCACATCTGCAGCTCTGGCCATTATTTACATCCGTCCTCCAAGATCCCACATGGGCTTAGGGAAAAGGCAGAGCAGGGATTCCTGAAATTATGTCAAGTTCCAAATTCACAGGGACGTAGGCTAGGCATGGGTGACGTGGCAAAATAACTTTTATTCCTTTTTTAATGAAAACAATTCTTAAAATTTTCCTAAGGAAAAAAATTGTGTGGTAAAAATAATCAGTAACCTGATTGATTGTTTTGTACTTGGCATTGTGGTAGGAACTCTAGGAAATAGATTTTAAAAGATTCTTCATTTTATCAGTGAGGACACAGAGGCACAGTTTAAATAATTCACCCAATGTCCTACCATCTGGTAAGTGGCAGAACCAAGATTCATACCCAGTTTCTTAAATTCTGGAGTCCAGTGTGCACTATGACCTCTCATATGGTGAAACTGGGGAAGGAGGTGTGTGTCCATCGTTAAAAATGGAAGGTTCACGAAGCATCCTCAGTGCTTATACGAAGCATCCTCAGTGCTTATAGGTCAGCTCTGGCACATTGTACAGGCTCAATAAATATTTTTTATTTTTTAAAAGTAGATTGCTTTGGGTAGGATTTTTCTCAGTTTTATTGCCTTCTCATAAAAATAGAGATTAGGTATAAAAGCTGTCAGTACTGCAGGAGAAGCCACCTGGAGGTGTAACAGTAATGACAGTGAGAAAGAGAATAAAGATAGGTTGTTGACAACAGTGTATGCAATGTGTGTGTCAGGAGAAGCAGGCTGTGGAAGGCTTTATATAGCTTTATATGGCATACCACATTGCTCCCATGAGCCTTGGACTAGTGGAATGAATAAGAAATGTTCTCTCTTTCATTTAACAAATATTTATTGAGCTCCTACTATGTATTAGGAACTGTGCTGGGCACTGGAAATAGAACAGAACAAGATAGCTAACATCCCTGCTTTTGAGGAAGTTTTTTTCCTTTTCCTCTAGAAAATATAATGGACCATAGAAAGAGTAGACAGAATAACATAAGACACCCCATTGTACCGTCATCCACTTTTGCAAACTCTGCTTAATTCTGTCCAGGCCCACTAGCTTCATCCTTCCTATTTTATTATGAAATAATTTTTAGATGTCAAATCACTTTATATGATATATATTTCAATATTTACATCTAAGAGGGGTATTTTAAATATATGTGATTAAAACAGTTAAAGTTAAAAAATTTAGCTGTAATACCTTAGTTGTCAAATATCCAGTATTCAAATTACTAATTGCCAAATGTTGCAAAATATTTTTTCTCTTTGTTTGAATAAGGATCTAAGTGAGGTGCACACATTGTATTTGGTTGGTGATATGGTTTGGATCTGTGTCCCCACCAAATCTCATGTCAAATTGTAATCCCCAGTGTTGGAGTTTGGGCCTTGTGGGAGTGATTGGATCATGCAGGTTCAGCAATGGTTCACAAATGGTTCAGCACCATCCCACTAGGTCCTGTCCTCTCAATAGTGAGTTCTCGCAAGCTCTGATTGTTTAAAAGTGAGTATCACCTCTACCCTCACACTCTATCTTCCTCATACTCCTGCCATTGTAAGATGTACCTGCTCTCCCTTCACCTTCTACCATGATTGTAAACTTCCTGAGGCCTCCCCAGAAGCCCAGCAGATGCCAGCATCATGCTTCCTGTACACCCTGTGGAACTGTGAGCCAGTTAAACGCCTTTTCTTTATAAATTACCCAGCCTCAGGTATTTCTTTTTATTTATTTATTATTTATTTTTTACTTTTTTGAGACAGAGTCTCGCTCTGTTGCCCAGGCTGGAGTGCAGTGGTGCCATCTCAACTCACTGCGACCTCCGCCTCCTGGGTTCAAGTGATTTTTCTGGCTCAGCCTCCGGAGTAGCTGGGATTACAGGCATGCACCACCGCACTCGGCTAATTTTTGTATTTTTAGTAGAGACGGGGTTGCACCATGTTGGCCAGGCTGGTCTCAAACTTCTGACCTCAAGTCATCTGCCTGCCTTGGATTTAGGTATTTCTTTATAGCAATATACAAAACTGAATATACAGTCTAATACAATTGGTCTTTTATGTTTCTTTTTATCTATTAAATTCCTTTTTCATTTCTCCCCTCCTTCCTGACCTTCCTCATCTCTCTTTCTTCCTGGAATTTATATTTGAAGAAACTGGGTTGTTTGCCCTGTAGTTTCCCATAGTGTGGATTACCTGATCCCATCCCTGTGGTGTTAGTTTACATGTTCCTCTGCTCTTTGTATTTCCTTTAGGTTGGTAGGTGTTATAGGCACTTGATGCTTTCCATCTTTGTATGAATGAATAAAAGGAGTGATCTGGTCAGGTTGAAATGGTCATCTTGAAATGTGGAAAAGAACTTCTGAAAAATCATATTTGTCTCAGGGTTTATTAGTGTGTCTAAGCCATCATGCCTTGTTAGGGTTTGAGTTGCCTTATCATCACTGACATCTCACTCTCTGCCCTCTGGTATCTTAGCTGCTTGTCTTAAATTTTGCCCACATCTGAATATGTGAAGTCCTAGGGGAACCAAGCATCCCCTTTGCCCAGGTAAATTGATGACTGTATTGTGATGATGATGTTGCTTCTTTTGGTTTGACATTGGCTGTAGGTTCGGAGTGATTTCTGTGCTTTGTCATAATAGCTGCTAGAGCCATGCTGGTGGGTAAGAATCCAATGTCTTTACTTTTGTAACATCTTAGACCTCTGAGAAGATTGGATTGACAAAGTCTTTAGTGGTTCACTTGGTAAGAAAGCATTTGCAGATAAAGATCCAAGGAAATATCCAGGTGTTATGGCTGTATTTTAATGTATTCAGTTTCTCATCCAGGAGACACTGTTGACTTCCAGGAAGCATGCCAGGCATGCAGCAGACATGGCAGACGTGGACGTTAATTATATGGAGCTTGTAGTCATGGGGAGGATACCAGTCACATAAACATATATGCTATGACCAAACTCTGGCAGACCTCGGGGCCTGAAACAGGGCAGGGGAATGATTCAATCTTGGGGAGTCCAGAGAAGGTCTCAGGACCTCCAGGACCCCAGGTTCATACTTTGAGAGTTGCTGGTTAAGATCACTTTGTTTCCTTGAGTTCTACAATCCTGTGATACTAAGATTCCAATGCAAAGGTTTAGTCTACTTAAATTCAGTCTGTAGATTGGGAGTTTGTAACTAGCACCCATGCACCTGTCTTCCCCCAAGAGCCTCCTAGATTTACTTTAACTACCACCACCCTTTCCTTTGCAGATTTGACCCCCGGCTCCTGGGGTCAGCATGTGGCCCAAGATTGGGCAAATAGAGAATAACATCGTTTTGCCTACAGTGATTGATTCAGGGACAAGCATGTGACCCAGTCAGAAAAATTAGAATTATTACTGTGAGTTTTGTTGGTGTGTCAGGAGAAGGGTACCACCTTCTTTCCTGTGGCCTTGAATCTGGGATGATATTGACCTGGAACAGTTAGTTGCTATGGTACTAACACAGGGTTCCTAAAAATAAAGCCCCAAGTGAAGAGAGCCTTGATGATGCAGACTACTCAAAATGTGCCTGAAGCACATTATTTACTTAAGACAACAGAGTCCTGGGGGTTAGGGAACTTGAGTTAGTTTGATTTAGATTTCCTTTTTCTTGTGACCTGAAGAATCCTAGGTAATCCACCTACATTGAGGGGTGCATGAATAGACTTAAGAAATTGCTTTCAATATTTTGTGATTCTAGGGAGTTGTGACACCATAGGCTCATGACCCCGAAAGATTAAGGACGCCTAATGTGTATGTTTCTAAAGTAGGGTGGACGCAGTACTCCTCGACTTAAAAGAGATCCCTATGCCATAACTACCCCTTGTATCCATCAGCCCCTTGACATGGAGGATCACACTGCCCATGTGACTGGAGATGAGATGTGATCACCACAGATAGGCTGTAAACAGCAAGAAATCCTGGATAAATCTCAGAGGATAATGAATGAACAAGCTTCTAAAACTGTAGCAGAAAAGCACCAGGGTCTCCTCTCTGAGGATCTCCCTGATAATGGTAAATTCTATGCAGTGCAAGCTGAAAGGCTGAAAAAAATTGCCACAGTAAATAACACTGCCTACAAGTGTGGCAGTTTTTTTTTCTCACTTTGAAACCTTGCTTGTGTGGAAGTAAAGATTTGTTTCTGTTTGGTTGCTGATTGTCAGGTATTCTAGTAAGTCTGTTCAAAGGTCAATCAACTGATTAATAAAATGCTGGGACAACATCCCAGTTGTCCAGTGGGATGATTCTTGAGTTATATACACATGCCAGTGCAGTATATTTGCTTAATATAAAGATACATAATTCTGCTTAGCAATTTCTGAATTGATAGTTTCTGTTGACCTAAGCAGCCTTTATTCCTCAACCTTCCTTTTTTTTTTTTTTTTTTTTTTGAGATGGAGTCTTGCTCTGTGGCTAGGCTGGAGTGCAGTGGTGTGATCTCGGCTCACTACAACCTCTGCCTCCTGGGTTCAAGCGATTCTCCTGCCTCAGCCTCCTGAGCAGCTGGGACTACAGACATGCACCACCACGCCCAGCTAATTTTTGTATTTTTAGTAAAGACTAGGTTTCACTATGTTGGTCAGGATGGTCTCGATCTCTTGACCTCATGATCCACCCGCCTTGGCCTCCCAAAGTGCTGGGAGTACAGGTGTGAGCAACTGTGCCCAGCCTCAACCTTACTTTTTTTTGCCTTAATGCTGGGGTGGATTTCAGCATTTAAGTTGATGTAATCAACTTTGTAAATAAATGAGTTAACTTGGTTTGAAGGAAGATCTCTCTAGCCCTAACTGTCCTGCTGTTATTCACTTGTATACATTGGTCACTAGGATGACCAATGTGAGGGTGGAGGGAAGGGGTACAGTGCATAAAATTTAGGTCAAGTGAATTAAGCAATGATAAAACAGTTAAAATCGCATATTCTGTTGCTGGGAGATCATATGCCTTGTTTATTTTGTTGTTGTTGTTTGTTTGTTTGTTTTTTGAGATGGAATTTCATTCACTCTTTTTGCCCAGGCTGTGCAGTGGCACGATCTTGGCTCACCGCAACCTCCGCCTCCCAGGTTCAAGTGATTCTCCTGCTTCAGCCTCCTGAGTAGCTGGGATTATAGGCATGCTCCAACACACCCCGCTAATTTTGTATTTTTAATAGAGATGGGGTTTCACCATGTAGGCCAAGCTGGTCTCGAACTCCTGACCTTGTAATCCGCCCTCCTCAGCCTCCCAAAGTGTTGGGATTACAAAGCATGAGCCACTGTTCCTGGACCATATGCCTTGTTAATAAAGCATGATAGAATTATAAATTTTTCTGAGGGTACAGTTAAATAGATATGTTTTCTAGTATGAATGGAATTCAATCAACGTTATTGATCTTTTGTTGAGCCGTGATAAACTACTTTCTGGGAGCTAGTGTTCTAGGAGTCTTCTGCATTCTGGCTTCCTGCACGCTCCAGTCTTCTCTGTGCAAGGCTGCTGTAACAATTGTCCTATAAAACTCAAATCTGGTGCCCTCGTGCTCTCAGAATAAAAGTTGAAACTCCTCAGTAAGATGTATGAGTTCTTCAGTGACTACTTCCTGCTTATTCTCTGGCCTCATCTTGAACTCCCTGCCTTCCCCTTGAGTTATTAAACGTTGGGTTCCTCCTTCATGCAGTGTTTTGTCCATTGCTGCGCTGTTGTACAAGGCATTTCTTGGGCCAGCAGTGCTCTCAACTCCTTACCCTCTGCCCCTCTGCATCTTCTGTGGCTAACGTGGATTCACTGTTTGGGCTGCATCTTCTGGGAAGTCTTTCCTTTCTCCCACGTCTGGGTTGGACCCCCCTATTTGTTCTGACTGCACGCTGTGCTTACTCTCTTTAACACTCAGCCCTTTATTCAGCTGTAAATCTAGATGCTGTTCCATCAGACCAGGAAACTTACCATGTTTATTATCAGGTCTCCAGCACCTGGTATGGTGCTTGGCAAATGGAGCCTCAGTAAGTATTTGTTGAATTAAATTGAGACAGACATAGAAACTAACCAAAATAGCACAGTGAATGCTTGGTAGAAAAATGTATGTGATAACTCATGGAGGACTAATTAATCAGTGTTTTCTGGACTGGGACAGTGTTTGAGTAACATAGAATATTGTGTGTGTATGTGTTTTAAGGACTGCAGATTTAAAAATAATTCTCTTTAACAAAGGAAAGTCAAAGAGAGAGACACACACACACACACACACACACACTCATAATTTTACTTAGTTGTTTTCTAACTGCAGTTAATGCATTATGTCTTTTGGCTTTCCCTGTGTAACTAGAATGGAACAATTAGTTACCATGGTCTCTTGCTTTGGAATTGACTGTTTTAAGCCATTATCGTAGTCCAAATTTCTTTTACGATTAGCTTTTCTTTTTTATTAGACCATTGTGTCTTGTTCTATTACATTTGCAATGTCATTAGCTTAAAAACACAGGCAAAGCCTCCTTTTTTGTTACTGTGATAAAAGTGGTGTTTACTGAGGCCACAGCAGTAGTTGTTACTTTGATGACATAGAGCAGAATAGGAATGGTCCAAAAGAGTTGTGTCCTCAAAGCAACTGATGAATTGAGCACATTTTACACATTTTCAGTGTCATTAATCACTCTCCCTCTTTCTTTTCTAACACTACTCAGTTGTTAACCTGGCTTCATCTTGGAAAAATGGGAGGAAATGCGAGTATATTATTGGACCAAGAAGTATATCAGTATGTTTTTAGCTTTTCCTCTCCAGGCAGTTTAATTTTTGAAGCTAAGCTCTTGTTTTCATGTAGATTGGTACCATGCCTGGGTTTTAGTATTACTGCGTATAAAGGCAAATGTAGAGCCATAAATGATGTCTTCTTTTTTGCAAGCTCCATTCAGAATATAATAAAATTATTTTTAACTATGGAGGGATTTATACGTACAATTAGCTAAGTATAATTTACTGCAGAGCATTTCTAAATTAAATTAAGTTCAGATATAATATATGTGAACATCTGATATACAAAATTCAAATAATCTGAGACCTTTAAAAAAGCATATAGTTCTATATCAAAATTTTGGGGAATATGCACATCTTCAGAATTAGTCCATTGACATATGTAGTCATGTAGTTCAAATTAAGGAATGTATAATAGCTCGGTACACAGGCATGTTATGCACCTAAGTAGGAAACAAATTTTTATTGAAATAAAAGTGAGACATATTGGTAATTTTTATGAATTGCAATTTATGTCCAAACCCTTTTATTCTGCATGTATGATTGACTACAATATGCAAGATAATGCATAAATGCTCCATTATTCCGCTATCATTAAATTATTTTTTAGTCCGTTGAATAGATATTTGAAGTACTGGAGTAGGTGCCAAAGATATGAAGATGAAAGAAGAGATTCTTTTGACCCACAGTAACAGCAGAAGTTGTTGACAAAACATTTTACATCCCTAAATTCTCTTCTTTCCTCTGCATTACGGTGATGATATTGGCATTTATACTGGCCATGGCTAGCAACTGGTTCTTGCATTATAGGGAGCAAATTAACACTGACCTGAAGAATTATGTCCTTAAAGAGTATTTAGCTAAATATATTTGACATATTTTCCATGGCATTGATCTTTTTTTTTTTTTTTCCCCTGTTAGCTACTCAGAGCATCTGACTTGTTAACAAAGCTCCATTTTGGACAATCGGTCATGTCAAATAATTGATATGGACAGTAGGAGCTCATGTACTTGCCACTTTGTTTACGGTCAACATCTCAGTTGACACATTTCATCAATAAAGCAGAGGCACATTGACAGATCTCTGCAGCTGTGCTGTCCAGTACAGTTCCCACTACCCCATGTGGCTATTTAAATATAAATTCATTGAAATGAAATGAAATGTAAAATTCATCTCCTTAGTCACAGTAGCCATTGTTGCCATTGGCGACCACATTGGACAGTGCAGATTATGGAAATTTTTCATCACTGAAAGTGTTTTTTTTTTGGATAGTCCTGTTCTAGAGATTTCTAAAACCTTGTTTGTTCACTAAGCGTCCTCTATGAACGTTTAAGTTCTACTCCAAATCCTTCTAGATGGTGATTTCCAACCATGACTCTACATTAAAATCACCTGGGGAGTGTTTGAAAATGCCAATTAGAATCAGAATTGGGAGGGGGAGGGGGCTCGGACCCAGGCACCACTATTTGAAAAAATGCCCTCAGTGATTCCAATCAGCTGCCAACTTTCACAACTACCATTGTAGACAATAATACTTTATTTTTTAATATACAAATCAGTGTCTCCTGAACTTAGTACCTTTCTTTTCCTTTGTCCTCCTTTGAATTCTGCTTAGAGAGAGGCAGTGGAGTATGTTAGATCTCTGCGTTGGGGAGTCAGTTCTGCCTCTTACTAGCTGAGTAGCTTTTGGTTAGTTATTTAGCCAGTCCAGGCTTTTGTTACTTCATGTGTAAAATGTGGACACTGGTACCTGCCTTGAAACAAGTGAGGATTAATTAAGATAAGGTATATGAATCACTGGTGACAGTCTCTGGCACATAAGCCCTTAATAAAAATATATTTTATGATATAATTTTAATATTTCAAATGTATATGACAAGTAATAAAATATATTTTAAAATATTACATGTTTAATAGTATAGAATATGCTATTTTAAAATAACATTCTTGCTAAGATAATACTATATGATTTGACTTCATGGATTTTGCTCTGCCTGTTAGGGAACTTTTAAATATTTTCTTTAATATATCCAATGACGAATTAAGGTGGGAATTTAGGCACTCCTTTCAAGTGAGCTGGGGGAGGGGTAGGTATTTTGGCGTAGGAAGGCATCTATAGAGTCTGCTCTTATCTACCAGAAGTTGCTTGCTCTGCTTTCTTGGTTAGATCCTTGAAACTGCTCAGTTGGAATGAATGAAAATGCCCTTAGCAGGTGTTTTCTCTTGAGAAACAGCTAAGGCTGGTAGTGCTTCGTTCTTTAAAGCAATCAACAACCGTGTGTTGGCCCCAGGCTGGATTAGGACAGATATTTCATTCCCAGATCATGGGCCCCAGAATTGTCAGACTTTTTGACGAAAGGAACTTCTATTCAGTCCCTTGAATCATTGAGATTTCCACTAGCTCAGCAGCACAGGTTGCAGGGAGAGAGCAGATACGAATGCTGCCGCCTCCCTCTAGAGAAGGGGCTCTCATGGCAGCAACTGGTGGGGAACTGTACGAGGCAGGACTTAGAAATACAGCTGCTGTGTTTCCCAAGTGGATGATCTTGCAGCTTTCCCAAATCAAAACTAAAATGCAGTTAAATTTTATGAGCTTCATTCATCCTTTTCCTCTCTGTAGATATTAGTATTTTCTTTCAAAAAGTATGTTTTCATAAGCTGCCTATTAAAATGCCAACACTCTTAGCAACTGGTTATATAAATGAACCATTTTATGTCTTTGTTTTAAAATGATCAAATCAAATCACTATAGAATTGAAATCTGAATTATTGTCATTTCTTAGAGACATAAAAAGATGACAGCCATATTTTTCTTTATAAAAGAGTTCTGTAAGATTCTGTGATGCTCTGAGCATTCTATGAGCAGTCCTGTGATTTTGAGGGAAAGATAGTCTGCTGGGGTTGTTAGTGCTGAGGTGCGGTTGCTTAAGAAATGAAGTGCTTGCTTTCTTAGCTGAAAAACAAAACAAAACAGAACAAAAAATCCAAATTATGTAGTTCAAAGACTGGAATCCTCTGGGCGAAAGAAATCATTTTTGACTTTTTAAAAGACTTGATTTCATGGATGCCTTCCATGAAAGTCAGGAGGTCTGAGCTGATGATGATTTCAAATGCTGTGTGAATGAGAGGTGAGGAATAAATACTGGTAAATGTGAAATTCTAAGCCTTAGATTGATATACATTAAAAGAACTTCTATGATGGAGTATTGTGTACCAGTCATTGAGGTAAACACCATTACATGCATCATCTCAACTAATTTTTACTACCACCTTAGAGAATGAATTTTATCATGACTGTTTTATGTAGATGAATATGAAAGAAGGATACCCACTATTAGGAGTTTATTAGTGATGAGACACCCTGTGTCTGGCAGAGTAATCTATATCTTTAGCAGCTACTAAAGACCCGATCTCCTCTGAAGCTTACTAGATACTGGGGTGCCACTTGTTCTTTTTAGTTTGTGTATATTTTTATGTAACATGATTTATAATGGCTGCATAATAGTCCTTAGCATCTAACCATTTTGTGTTTGCTGCTTAAGCAGTAGCATCATTTCCGTACCCATAATTTTATGAGGATGGCTAAGTCTGGGATGAATGGGAGCAAGACCTGTCTATTGGGATTCATTCATTACTCCTGCAAGGTACCTTTAGATATGTCCGAGAGACTCATTGAGCTTTTCAGAATAAAGTTTGAAGAACCCTGGACTTAATTATGTGTGTTATATTTCAGGGAACCACTCCATTAATATGGAACATTTAGATTGGCACCATTATCTCCCTATTATAAATACCATTTTATGACTTTAATTGTTCTAAACATCTGTGTACCCTAAGCATTCTGCGTATTTCTCATTATTTCTGTAGGATAAATTTCTAGAAGTGGAATGGCTGGGTCAAAGATGATACATATGTTAAAGAGATGTGCATTGCTAAAATTCCTCCCAGAAAGGTTGAAACAAGTTACTTACCCATAGTCAACTCTGAGACTGCTCTTTTTCTATATCCCCACCATTACTATGTAGTATATATTTTTTCTGAGTAGTTGCTAATTTCATAGGCCCTAAATAGAAGCTCATTTTGTCCATTTGATTTGTTTCTTAATGGTCATTTTTTTTCATAATTCGCATCTCCTTCCTATTTCCTTGTTTTCTTCCTTTTCCCCCAAATTGCCTTCCATTAGCTTTTGCTTAAGGATGGTTTTGCCATGCTGTAGGATTTCCTGGAGCAGCCAGTTGAGGAGTGAACAATAAAAGGAGCCTCAGTTGTTACAGGCCTCACCCAATCCATGCTAGATTCATGAACAAGCTGGGAGAAATGGGGGTGTGGCGCTTGGTGAGACAAAGAGGATAGCTTGGAAGTCAGTTCAGGTATATGTGCAAATGCCATGTTCACCTCTCACTCCTTTTGGATTCTTTCAGAAGAATGAAGATGGTTTCGTTTCCTTGAATGCTGTTGTGACTGTGTATTTTTATGTTGCTTCTCTTTAATAAAAAAGAAATTGACTTTTTTTTTTTTCTTTTAGAAAATGTGAACTAGGCTGGGCGCGGTGGCTCAAGCCTGTAATTCCAGCACTTTGCGAGGCTGAGGCGGTCGGATCACCTGAGGTCAGGAGTTTGAGACCAGCCTCACCAACATGGAGAAACCCCATCTCTGCTAAAAAATACAAAAATTAGCTGGGTGTGGTGGTGCATGCCTGTAGTCCCAGCTACTTGGAGGCTGAGGCAGGAGAATCGCTTCAACCCAGGAGGCGGAGGTTGCGGTGAGCTGAGATTGCACCATTGCACTCCAGCCTGGGCAACAAGAGCAAAACTCTGTCTCAAAAAAAAAAAAAAAAAAAAAAAAAAAAGTAAACTAACTTTAACCAGTCAGTTTATATCATTGATTTAATGTGGTCTAGCATTTCTTTGGAACATAGAATGTATCATTGCTAACTCTTATAATGATCCTATAATTTTATTCGGTCCTTGCTCAGTACTGGCTTGTAGTTCTGCCAAACTTGAAACCATAAGATACTTGGATAAATAAGTCCTGAAATAAAAGAAAATGATAGAGAAGTGTGTGTGTGTGTGTGTGTGTGAGAGAGAGAGAGAGAGAGAGAGAAAGAGAGAGAGAGATTTTATAAAATTATAAAATCCTGTAATTTTTTCAACCGTAATGTATTTAGGGTCACAGCAGTGTGTGCCCCCATCATGCTAGCCCTGCTGGGGAGCACTGGGCCAGGAACAGGTAAATAATAACAATAACAGCAACAATTAACATTTTTAGAATACCCGCTTTGTGCCAGCCTTTATGTTGCATCTGTACTGAGTCAGGAATGTGATAAGATTAGTCAGGTTGGTGGTATATTATTCTTTTCTTCCTACACTTAAAAAAAGTATTTATTATGTGTCTGGTGTCTGGGAAAAAGCATTTCCTGAGAGCTATTTAAATAGCTTGGCTTTGAGTTACGGAGAGACACAGATCAATTTCAGGCTGGCTTAATGCAGAGATCATGAGATTACCTCCTCTCCCGCCGAGTTTTTGTGGGAGTTTGCGCAAAAAGAAATAGTTTTGTGTTTATAGCTGCGAGTGCACGCTCTCTCTCTCACACACACACACACACACACACACACACACACGTAAACATACAAAAGATTTAAAAATTCTCAGGAAATTAGATTATACATGTTATTTATAATCAACTAGCTGGTAATGACTAGCTTAAGTAAAAGAACAAGGGGGGATTCTTTATAATAAAGCTACAGGGTTAGCTCATGCCACTTGGGCAAGAATGGACTGGTACTTAGGAATGGACCTGAAAGTTTATCAGTTTACCTCTCTGTCTTGGCTCTGCTTTTCTTGTTTTTTTTTTTGTTTGTGTATTTATTTATTTATTTTTGCTACATTATCTCTTTCTCTGCAGCCCAGCTTTCATGTGAAAGAAAACATGAATAACCCTTAGCTCGTTCTGCAGTTTCAGGAACCCACAGAGACTGACTAGCTGGCTCTCAGTCATAGCTCCACATTTCCTTAGAAAGAGACTCTGCTTTGCCAAGCATGAGTCAGGTGACTGCTCTTGGTCGATGAGTGGAGGTTGGATTCCCAGTCCAAATATGGCTGCCTGGGGGCTCCCCATGGAGATCTGGCAGGAAGCTTCCCAAGAAGAGGGTTGGCTTCTGGGCTTGGCTGAGAATCTAAAAATGTCTAATGGAATAAGAAAAAAAGCAACCCAACATTTAGACACTAGTCTCCTAGCCTCTTACCGGGGAATGTCAGTGAATATAGTCTTTCATTGTTTGTTCATGTCAGTAGAGGCTGGGTGATAAGACGTTGCTATCACAATAGGTGCTCTTCAAATGTTGAAGAGCCAAGATGCAAGGATTATCCTATGAAGTTGCCTGTAGGAAAATAATGAAGGCTGTGTGGCAGTTTTTGGCTTTTCTGTATACATACTTTGATACTGTATTTTCTATAGTTAGTTTTCAGAACCTAACATTCAATACTTGATTGAGAAGGCAAGTGTGCTTTCGTTTGTCCATGTGTGACCATTCATTCAATTGTTTATCAATCTTTTGTTTAGAAATCAGCAGATTAATTATCCCAACAAACATGTATTAAGTACCTACTATATGCCATGTACTTGCAAGGTAATGAAGGTACTGCCTGGAGCCCTCCTGAAATATGTAATCTCATGGAAGAGAAAGAGGAAAGAGCTAAATGTGTCCACAAATAACAAAACAAAGTCAATTACGAGGTGTGTGTGCACCATGAAGGGACCTAAATAGGTTGCTGGAGTTGAAAGTCAGTAGACCTGGGGAGGGATTCTACTCCTTGCATTTTGTGGAGTGCGGGCTTTCCCTCGCTGGCTGATTGCAGAAATGCAAGAGCTCCAAGGGAGAGCTGCCATCATCTTCCCCGGCGATAGACTCCCACCATTCCTGACAGAGATGAAACCTTTATTAGATCCTTGGAAATAAGAGAAGGAAAACACCCATCAGTTCATTCGATTCTCTCCAGGGAGCCACGCTGGAGTTCGTTTTCCATTTGTTGTTGTGGTTACGAGTTTCTTGTCTGGAGCAGTTTCTGACTTGTGTTCCTAATCAACACTGTAATGGAATTACTCATGTTTCATTTAACAGTCTGTCTTAAAATAACCTTTTGGAAGTACTGAATTACTTTTCTGGGTAGAGGCATTACTGCCACATTCATGAGCCGTTTGGGTGTATGGGATAGAGACTGGATAAAAGAGAGAGGCCTTCTGCTAGTTAGACTTCATAGGCAGCCTCTCTCTGTGGCATGAATTGAATGTCTTTGGGAGAAGGGTCCTCTTGGGCTTGCCCAATGTGCCAAAGTATCTAAAATTCCACCATTAGCATGCATTTCTTTGAGTTAAAATGGCTTTACCTAATATGTGAAATTATAGGTAAAGATTTTGATAGCACTTTTTGATGGATAAATTCATGTACTGGCTCATAGTTCTGTCATACTTGAAACCATGATACTTTGGTAAATAAGTCCTGAAATAAAAGAAAATGATAGAGAAGTGTGTGTCTGTGTGTGTGTGTGAGAGAGAGGGAGAGAGAGAGAGAGAGGATATATGTGAGGTTGTGTGTGTAGGAGCAGCAGTGGGAGAAGAGTTGGGGTGGGGAATTCAGAATGGGGGTGTATAGCAGGGCACTAGAGAGGAAAGGAGCCTAGGTGAATTTTGAAGACAGATTGTGAGCTCCTGTAGAAAGAGGAACTGGACAGGAGTCATTAATTTCTGTGCAAGACAAAACGGAATGGAATGTCCAGTGTATCTGTTTTGCCTGCATAATATCCATTTCCCTTCCTTTGGTAACTGGGCGCCACTTTTTATCTGGGCAACTGACCTTCTCCCTGGCCTCAGGGCTCCAGGGCTGGCCATGTCACTAGGCCAGTAAATGAGAGCGTCCCATCTTTAGTTTGAGTTGAGTTTTCCATCACAGCTGAAAGTTTTTTGATTGTTCAGGATTTCTGCAGGATGGTGGGACTGGGTAGAAGGTATTTCTGGAAGACCTGTAATTTAAATTGTTCTTTCCCACCCCATTCATTTCTCTTCTCTGTCACCTTTCTTGGCTCCAGTCCTCTGACTTGGGTAAGCAGTATTATTTCTATAGGAACTTGAAATGGATGACGTTGGAGAACTGAATTTCTGTCATCTTGATAAAGTTTTACATAAAGTTTTCTCACCTTCTTTTTCAGCTTCCCCTTGGAAATGGTGACAACTGTTACCATGTCCTAGTGGTCTTAAATTTTTCTTCTACACTTGACCTGCTGAAGTGTCCGGAAACAAGTTTAGGGTCCCACCGTGGGCAGTTATCCCAGTTATTAGAGCACATCGTCACTGTCTGTGCTGGGAATGCTGTGTGAAACCTTTTTACGCTGCTCTGCTGTCTGTGTGTAGCATAGTATTTCAGTGTAAATGCATTTCTTAATAACCTACCCATGGGCCCTGTGGACCATAATCATTGGCTGAGTTCTCCTTTGGAATTCCCAATATCCAAATATTTCTCTCAGATTAAATGTCTGTACTTTAGATTATTCACACTCTGAGTATTACTCTCATTTTCCCAGCGTAAATCTCCCCTTATTTCCTTTCCCTTTTAGATTACCCATGGAGACACATCATTGCTGTACCTCACATTTCCCAGCAGAGTTTTAGCTGAGAAGTTAATTAATGTTCTTGTAAGAGGAGAATGCACTTTAAAAAAATCTGCTTTTACTTAAAATGAGATATAAAAAGCTGAGACCCATGTAGGTCCTGTGTGCGGTGCAAGTCCTCTTGAGTGACGGAAGAGCAGAATGGTCCCCAATTTGTGAGGTGGGTGGAGAATGATGTTGGAGTTCTGTTGGTGTCGTGAAGGTCTCATCATGCAGTGGGTCCCACGGGTATGTAACTTGTGTCAGTTCCTGCTGAGAGCGTGCTGGCTGCTTACATTAATATTGTCCCTTGACCCATAAAATCATTGTGCTGGAAGTAAATGAGGCTCAGCAGTCAGACCAGTTTCATTTTATTTATTTACTTTTATTTTATTTATTTGTTTTTTTGAGACAGAGTCTTGCTCTGTCATCCAGGCTGGATTGCAGTGGCACGATTTGGGTGACTGTAACCTCTGCCTCCCAGCTTCAAGCTATTCTCCTGCCTCAGCCTCCTGAGTAGCTGGGATTACAGGAGTGTGCCACCATGCCTGCCTTTTTGTATTTTTTAATAGAGACAGGGTTTCACCATGTTGACAAGGGTGGTCAAGAAGTCCTGACCTCAGCTGGGCGCCATGTCTCATGCCTGTAATCCCAGCAATTTGGGAGGCCAAGGCGGGTGGATCACCTGAGGTTGGGAGTTTGAGACCAGCCTGACCAACAAGGAGAAACCGTGTCTCTACTAAAAATACAAAATTAGCTGGGCGTGGTGGCGAATGCCTGTAATCCCAGCTACTCGGGAGGCGGAGGCTGGAGAATTGCTTGAATCTGGGAGGCAGAGGTTGCAGTGAGCCAAGATCACTCCAGCCTGGGCAACAAGAGCCAAAAAAAAAAAAAAGTCCTGACCTCAAGTGATCCGCCGAACTTAGCCTCTCAAAGTGCTGGATTACAGGCGTGAGCCACCACACCTGGCTGGGTCTCATTTTAAATCTTGGCTCCATCAGAAAAAACAGCCCTGTGATCTTGGATAATTTACTCAATCGCTCTGTACTCAGTTTTCTCATCCGTAACATGGAGATACTGGTATCTATCTTGAGAGGTTGCTCTGAGGATTATCACGTTGTGTTTAAAGCACATGTTATTAATAGGGAAGATGAGCATTTGCAGTCTGGTGGCGGCCTACTTCACTCACTACCAGACATTATCTGTTGTATCTTTTGGGTACTGTGTTCTCCATTTACTTCTGTTTGGAATAGCCGGTTGCTGGGTTCCCAGAGCACTCTCATAATTCTCTGTGTGGTGGAGATGGCAATATATAGCATGTTAGTTAAAATTATGAACTTGTAAGTTAGGCTTGTTTGCGAACCCCTGGTCACCCTCTGCTATGGTGTGAAAGTGTCCCTCTCCTGCCCCGGAATCGTGTTGAAACTTAATTGCCAATGTGATAGTGTTAAGAGGTGTGGCCTTTAGGCTGTGATTAAGTCACGAGGGTGGAGCTCTCATGAGTGGAATTAGTGTCCTTATAAACAGAGGTTGAAGAGAAAGCCGGTCCCTTTTTGTCCTTCCTATATGTCAATGTACAGTAAGAAAGCTCTGTTTTGAAAGCAGAGATGAAGTCCTTGCCAGACACCACATCTGCTGGAATGTTGATCTTGATCTTCCCAGCCTCCAGAACTGGGAGAAGTGAATTTCTGTTATTTACAAATTACCCAGTCTAAGGCGTTCTGTTATAGCAACAGGAACAGATTAGGACAGCATCTTACTGTGTGACCTTAAATAGGGCATTTAACTTTCCTGAGCCTCAGTTTCTTTACTATAAAATGTGGAAAATTAGAATACCTGTCTCATAGGGTGGTCTTACAGAAGAAAGTGTATATAAAGTACTTGGCATAGCATCTGAGTAGAGTACTGAATAGGAGGAAATTGTTTTTATTATTTTATTGCTATGATGATGTTTCCATCGTTATCATCATCAACTATGTCATCAGTATAAATCAGTAGTTCTCAAATGATGGATGGTTATTGCACTGTCTCCTCCCTCCCCTCTTCAAGGGGGACATTTGGAATGTCTGGAACAGTTTTTATAGTCACAAACTATGGGGTGTGCTACTGGCATCTAGTGGACAGGGTCCAGGCATGGTATATTTAGATCAGTTTGATATAAACTAATTTTCAGATGACATCACTGATTGGTGTGCACAATTCATTTGTATCAGTAAATTGATATTGATAAAAACTCCAGCAGAATTAAATTTAAAGGAGTTTAACTGAGCAATGAATGATTGGGGAACTGGACAGCCATCTGAGCCAGAGAAGTTTCCGAGATTCCAACGCAGTTATGTGGTGGGAGACTTACGGGCAAAAAATGGAAAGTGACGTACAGAAAACGGAAGTGAGGTACAGTAACAGTTGAATTGGTTACAGCTCGGCGTTTGCCCTATTAAAACACAGTTCAAACAGTTGGCTACATTTTTTTTTTTTGAAATGGAGTTTCCCTCTGTTGCCAGTCTGGAGTGAAGTGGCATGATCTCAGCTCACTGCAACCTCTGCCTCCCATGTTCAAAGGATTCTCTTGCCTCAGCCTCCCGAGTAGCTGGGACCACAGGCGCACACTACCATGCCCGGCTAATTTTTGTATTTTTGGTAGAGATGGGGTTTCATCATGTTGGCCAGGATGGTCTTGATCTCCCGACCTTGTGATCCACCTGCCTCAGCCTCCCAAAGTGCTGGGATTACAGGCATGAGCCACCGTGCCTGGCCAGCTATATTTTTGAAAAAAATTTTTAATTTTTAAAAAATTTCTTTATATTTTATTTTAAGTTCCAGGATACATGTGTAGGATGTGCAGATTTGTTACCTAGGTAAACATTTGCTATGGTGGTTTGCTGCACTTATGAACCTATCACATAGGTATTAAGCCCTGCATCTATTAGCTATTTATCCTGATGCTCTCCTTTCCCCTGTCCCCCACCTGACAGGCCCCAGTGTGTGTTATTCCCCTCCCTGTGTCCATGTGTTCTCATTGTTCAGCTCCCAATTATGAGTGAGAACATGCGGTGTTTAGTTTTCTGTTCCTGTGTTACTTTGCTGAGGATGATGGCTTCCAGCTCCATCTATGTCCCTCCAAAGGACATGATCTTGTTCCTTTTTATGGCTGCATAGTATTCCACGGTGTATATGTGCCACATTTTCTTTATCCAGCCTATTGCTGATGGGCATTTAGGTTGATTCCATGTCTTTGCTATTGTGAATGTGCTTCAGTGAACATACACGTGCATGTACCTTTGTAATAGAATGATTTATATTCCTCTGGGTATATACCCAGTAATGGGATTGCCGGGTCAAATGGTATTTCTGGTTCTAGATCCTTGAGGAATCGCCACACTGTCTTCCACAATGGTTGAACTAATTTGTGTTCCCACCAACACTGTAAAAGCATTCCTGTTTCTCCACAGCCTCGCCAGCGTCTCTTGTTTCTTGACTTTTTAATAATTGCCATTCTGACTGGCATAAGATGGTATTTCATTGTGGTTTTGATTTGCATTTCTCTAATGATCAGTGATGTTGAGCTTTTTTTCATACGTTTGTTGGCTGCATAAATGACTTCTTTTGAGAAGTGTCTGTTCTTGTCTTTTGCCCACTTTTTAATGGGGTTGTTTGTTTTTTCTTGTAAATTTGTTTAAGTTCCTTATAGATTCTGGATATTAGACCTTTGTCAGATAGATAGATTTCAAAAATTTTCTCCCATTCCACAGGTTGTCTGTTTGCTCTGATGATAGTTTCTTTTGTTGTACATTAACTCTTTAGTTTAGTTAGGTCCCATTTGTCAATTTTTGGTTTTGTTCACAATTGTTTTTGATGTTTTTGTCATGAAATCTTTTCCCATGCCTATATCCTGAATCATATTGCCTAGATTTTCTTCTAGGGTTTTTATAGTTTTGGGTTTTACATTTAAGTCTTGAATCCATCTTGAGTTAATTTTTGTATAAGGTGTAAGGAAGGGTTCCAGTTTCAATTTTCTGCATATGGCTAGCCAGTTCTACCAGCACCATTTATTAAATAGGGAATCCATTCTCCATTGATTGTTTTTGTCCGGTTTGTCAAAGATCAGATGGTTGTAGATGTGTGGCCTTATTTCTGAGATCTCTATTCTGTTCCATTGGTCTTTGTGCCTGTTTTGGTACCAGTGCCATGCCGTTTTGATTACTGTACAGTTGGGTACATTTGATTGGGAAAAACTTGGTGATTGGCACAAGTGTAGGCTACGGTCCGTTTACATTGCCACTTGCTATAGTTCATGATGTGTACAGAAAAACCTTTAGACCAAATTTAAAATATGTAAAGAGGCAGCTTTAGGCTAAACTTGATTTAATAACGTAAATATCAATTTATATCAGTATATAACATGTATTAATATAATATCAATATAATTTATATCAGTATAACATATTGATATAAATATCAATGTAATTTATATCAATTCATATCAATATTTATATATATCAGTTTATACCAATAAATTTATATCAATTTATTGATATAAATACATTGCTTATACCAGTCAGTGATGTTATCTGAAAATCTCTCCCCTCTCTTAATGTTCTGATGTCACTGTGTGTGTTTTTTTTTTTTTTTACTAAGCCATCTGAGAAATGTTCTGTTTTGCAAAATGGTTAATTCTTTAGAATGTTCTTATTTGTGGCTTGTGCCACGCAGGGTCTCTGCCAGGCCATTGGAGGAGCTAATAGTGTGATGCTTTTCTGTTCTTCTACATCAGTAAGATGAATGTTTGTTTTTCGAATTTCTTCAGTGTTATAAAGGGGACTTGAATGTTCTTAGAGTTTTCTCTTGGAAAGATGCAGAGTGGAATTTAGGGATGCCTCAGTTTGTGCTAGGTTCTTGTTAATCTATCATGATTGTCTTAAAGGTTTAAGGAGTCTTCCTGAATCTTGGTTACAATTTTTGTTGAAGCACTCGTGTTATTGTTTCTGAGTTAGAGGAGGTGTGAGATCTTTTGTCATATGCAAAATTCATTTAAGAAATTATTTTTCAGTACTTGGTTTTCTCTTCTTGTATGAGTTTGCTAAGCATAATGGCCTCCAGCACCAATACTGCATGTTCTCACTTGTAAGTGGGAGCTAAATGATGAGAACACGTGGACACAGAGAGGGGAACAACAGACACTGGGGCCTACTGGAAGGTAGAGGGTGACAGGAGAGAGAGAATCTGGAAAAATAGCTGTTGGATACTAGGCTTAGTACCTGAGTGATGAAATAATCTGTTCAACAAACTCCCATGACACGAGTTTACCTATATAACAAACCTGCATATGTACCCCTGAACCTAAAATTAAAACAAAAAAGAAATTATTTTTCCTGCTGACATGCTCAAATGATGGATTGAACAAGATTTCACAGGGAATAATTTAAAGATGAGAATGTAGAGAGGTCATGTAATATCACATCTAAAATTTCCTTTTAGGAAATTTTAAGTCTATCTTTTATTTATAGTCAGTAAGCATGTAAAGGAAAATTATTTAAGCATTGAGCATTGAGGGAAAATGTATTAAAATTAGAAACCTTTGATATTTTTTCATATGTACAATCTCTATTACAGTAAATTTCACCTACAATATTTTAGTCCAAACAGTGTTAAATTGTCACCTGCTGTTATAATATCGCAGGATTCCTAATACTATTTTTAATTGACATCACTTTACTGGATTAGAGATGTTTGCTAACTCTAGTTAAAAAAAATCAGCTCATTTAGCTGTTATCTTATTCAAAGTGAAATACTTTGATTTTGCAAGTAGCAGAAAACAAAGAAACAAAAAAATGGGCAAGGATGTTATTAAAATAAGGCCATATTGAAGCAGTGTGGTGGGAGTACTGGTAATGTCCTCTCTCTCTCTTCATCTGCATGTTGGTTACATGGATGTCTTTATCAGTAGAAAATGTTGAGGTTATAGAGATGAAATTTGTGTTTTTCACCATAGATGAGTTAGATGCCAACAAAAGACACACACACACACACACACACACACACACACACACACACACAGATGAGATGATCTTTTGAGTGGAGTTTTGGAGAGTGTGTTGAAGTCACCATGGAAGGAAAATGGTTAGGCATTCGGTACTTGAGGCAGGAAACTAGGCATTCTTCAGTCATCCATTCAGTCAGCCATTTAATATTTACCTAATTCAGTGTTTGTTTTATGCCAGGTATTGTGTACTTGATAGATGTTACAGGAATGAACAAAAGAAAGATGGTACTTGCCTGAGTGTTGCTACCAGATAATTGAACTGAATTGATATGAACAATTTGCAAGAGCCACTGCTTTCTGAACCCCAGGGTGCAATGTGGATTTGGGCACATTTTTAGAGGGCCTTGAAGTAATTCTAAAGGACTTTTTATTTTTCTAGACATTTCTTACACAGATGCTCTGTTTACCATCTTTTATTTTTAATTACACGAGTAACTCATGAATGCGTTCACATGGTGAAAAATTACAACCCCAAGGAGGAATGGAGAGTTGCCTCCATCTTCCTTGTCTCCCCCATCCCTCCCATCAAATAGAATTTAGAATTCTCCTATCAGAATAACCATTTTGTTCAGACCTTTTCTGATAGGATATGGAAAGGAGGGAGGGAAGGAGGAGAATTTTAAGGGCAGAATTGTACCTCAAATGCTAAGAATAATGCGTTGCACATAGTAGGCTCTCAGAAAAATTTTAACTGAATGAAGATGTTTTAGGGCAGTGGTCCCCAACCTTTTTGGCACCAGGGACCGGTTTCATGGAAGTCAAATTTTCCAGGAGGTTGAGTGGGGCAGGGAGCATGGTTTCAGGATGAAACTGTTCCACCTCAGACCATCAAGCATTAGTTAGATTCTAATAAGGAGTGTCCAACCTAGATCCCCAACATGTGCAGTTCAAAATAGGTTTCATGGTCCTCTGGGAATTGAATGCCTCTGCTGATATCACAGGAGGCCCAGCTCAGGAGGTAATGCTAGTTTACTGCCCCCATCCTGCTGTGTGGCTGGGTTCCTAGCAGGCCATGGACTGGTAGCAGTCTGTGGCCCGGGGTTTGGGGACCCCTGCTTTAGGGGTTAATAAAGTAGAAAATCTTATAGTGAATTGAAAAGTTTTTGTTTCTATGCATTTTCTTACCCAACAGATATTTAAAATATAATTACTGTCATGTTAGGTTCCACTAAACTTTAAAACCTATCTGCATTTTTTAAAGAGTTGAGAGCCATTGGGTTAGAATGTAGGAGAAGTGATTGGTCGAGGAGCTGTTAGAAAGTGAAGGAGGCTGTCAGGGAGATGGAGACCTGGATTTGCAGAGGTCTTCCTCAGATCTTGATAATGGAGAGCTTTTTTCCAGCCAAGTTGGCCTATAATGCTGTTTCTGCTAAGTGATCCAAGTACGGTTATTCATCTCTAAATTTGGTCATCACTTTGATGGAATCTAAGACTTAAGCGACCGGACATTTTTCTAGAATGTTATAACTTTGCATCTGACTTCAAGACCTAGCTACTTTGACCATTTCAAAGCTTTGGATTTTCTTTCCCTCATCAGACCTTTCCTTTGGATGCTCTGTATTAGATCTCAAAAGACTCAAATGATTGGTATTGTCTGCATCAGTGTTTCTGTTTAACTTGAAGCTAAACCCATGCTGTTCTTGAAATCTGTATTTTTTCTTGACTTCCTATTTTATTTTTCCATTTCAGGAAGTGATTATTTCATTGGAAACATTAGATCTGTGTTGCCCAAGAAGAGTTTTACCTGAAATTATTCTTTATCTCTCATTTTCATAAGTGTCTCAAATATAAACCAATGGTGCTTGACAATTTGCAAATAAATATAAAGTGACAGAGGAGAAGAACTAAGTAGGAACTTCCAGGGAGATTTGCCTGTGAGCACCTGATTCATCCAACTCTGTTTTATCCCAGGGGAAATATTACATTGGTGCAGAAGTGACTGCGGTTTTTACTATTACTTTTAATGGCGAAAACCACAATTAATTTTGCACCAACCTAACAGGAACAATAAACTGTGTGACAAATAGATTCACTCTAAGATAAAGGAAGAAAATATATGAGAAAAATATCAGGCAGTCCTGGTAGAAGCTAACATCAAAATACTTGGAAACCATAGGAATGGATACATATTTAAAAATTTTATTTTATTTTTAGTTTTAGTTTTTGCTATCACTCCTTTTCAGAAGCAACAATTTTGCCAATTTCTTACATCAGTTTTTTTTTTAATCTAATTAAAAAACGTATTTCCCATGGTGGGAGTTCATATCTTATTGGATGCATTTCTGATTGTTTGAAGCAGTCCATGTTCTGCCCTTCCAAGCACCTGTTCACTGGGCCTGTTTGCTGGGTTATAAAGACTATGAGACTGGACAATTGGACTCACTGATACACAATGTCTGGTTTTGCTAAGGTTTCCCTCTAACTCTTTGTGGGGATAAAAAAGAAATTCACAATTACTAAAAGATACTCTTCAGTGTATAGAAAATACTCCAAGGGGAGGGAAGGATTGATTATATTTAATATTTAACATGCCACCCCTAAAACTTTGCTTGCTCCTACATTGAACTACCCTGACACCTTTAAATGTAAGAACCACAAATTAATGATGAAGAAGAAAAAGAAGCTGATGATCAGGATTAGCACTTACTAAAGGCTTGCCACGTGCCAGGCATTATTCTGAATGCTTTACATGTGTTAAGTCACCTGTTCGCCACTAGAACCCCATATGGAGCAGGTATTATTAGGCTCTCCATTTATGGATGAGGAAACTGAAACTTGGGAGGAAAGTAACATGCCCAACGCCATTCAGCAAAGTAAGTGGTAGACTTGGAATTAGGCAGTCGGAACCTTCAGGAAGTCTGAATAATTGGGAAACGTAGTATTAACTTATTTTAAAATGGTACATTATTTGTGTTTAAATAATATGCTTGCTTGTTTTATCTATTTTTTTCAACTTCCAGACATCTTCTCAGCTGAAGAATATTTAAATGTAAAGCGTTGGGTACAATTATTAATGTGAGGGGAAAATGTGCAATACACTACAGAGTTTTCAAAAGTTGTGGAAACATCAGCCCAAATAAATATTTTTTAAAAAACACATAAATATGAGTTTTGTTTGCATATTCATTTAAAACTACAATTAACTGACATGTCAGCTGCTCTTTTATTATGTGTAGTCCTCCTTTATCTGCAGGAGATATCTTCCAAGACCCCCAGTGGATGCCTCAAACCATGGAATAGTACCAAATTCTATAGTATACTTTGCTCTTCCCCATACATACATATGTATGATAAAATTTAATTTATAAACTAGGCACAGTAATGAGATCAACAGCTTCTTCAACTCTGCTGGAAATGTGACAGCTGCTTCTTCATCAGCAGATAGAGACTCTCCAGTAATTTTTGTATTTTTCGGTACAAGCTTATCTTGAATCTGCACAACCATTCGCTACTTGCAACAAATAACTTAGTGTCACTCATTTTAGGGGATCCCTTGCTGAAGTCTTTGTATAGGCTCGGTGCTTCCTGGTGCCACATGTTTCAGTCAGTTGGAACCCATTTCTGTTGATGTCTTCCACCCAAACATTTTTCTTTCCTTTTGAACTAAGTACTTGTAATGCACTGTGGCCATAACTTTTGTAGTTTGAAGTGCAACAGAAAAGTAGCACGAATTTCTTTTTCCTTCATTACAGTTTCACAGATAGAATACTATAGAGCTCAGCAACCTCAGCATATGATTTTTTTCTTTGCTTATTAAATCGAGAATTTTCACCTTTTTCACTAACAGAAGCACATTACAGCTTCCCTTTTGGCTGTTTGACTTGCTAGCCTCACTAGTCTTGCACTCTCGGGTCATCATTAGGTAAAATAAAGGTTTCTTGAACACAAGCACTGTGATACTTTGACAGTCGACCTGCTCACTGAGGTGGCCGATATGTGATTAATGGGTGGTGAGGGTATACGGGGTAGAAATGCTGTCCTAAAGGCCGGTTCCCCTTTGAGCTGGACACAGTGGAATGGTGAGAGATTTCATCACATCACTCAGGACGGTGCATGATTTAAAACTTATGAATTGTTTATTTCTGAAATTTTTCATTTAATATTTTTGGACTGTGGTTGACCGTAGGTAACTGAAACTGCAGAAAGCGAAGCCGTGGATAATGGGGGGACTACTGTAGCTGTAGTATTTCTAGAAATTCTTTTCATGAAAGGAAATTTCAGTTCACAAAGCTCCTGGGAATATTTATTTTGACTGCAATCAGCATGAATCTGCGAAGTTTAAGGAAACCCAGAGCATCCTTCCTAAGCCATGGTAAAGAGGCAAGAGCCATGGTAAAGGGCAGCACCCCTACACCTATCTTGGCCCGAGGCCTACAGTTGGCGGCTTCCTTTGGAACTTCAGAGTGTCTTTGATGTGCCTTTCAGAATGATGTCTGCTCCATGGGTCCTGATGACTTATGTTTCCCGGGAGGAAGAAAGGCATGGAATGGGCGAGGGGTTGTCATTTTCAGTGCTTCTGAGGCTGTGTTTGTTTGTTTGTTTGTTTGTTTGTTTGTTTTGAGATGGAGTCTCGCTTTGTTGCCCAGGCTGGAGTGCAGTGGTGTGATCTCGGCTCACGGCAAGCTCCGTCTCCCGGGTTCAAGTGATTCTCTTTTCTAAGCCTCCCAAGTAGCTGGGATTACAGGCACACCCCACCATGCCCAGCTAATTTTTGTATTTTTAGTAGAGACAGGGTTTCACCATGTTGGCCAGGATGGTCTCCATCTCTTGACCTCGTGATCTGCCTGCCTTGGCCTCCCAAAGTGCTGGGATGACAGGTGTGAGCCACTGCACCAGGCCAAGGCTATGTTTTTAAGGTGAAGAATTGAAGATGCATTTTAGAAATGAGACAAACTATATTCCTTTCAAGGGCTGTTGCTCCATAGCTGTAATGCCCATAAACAGTACAGCACAGTCCAATCCAAGGTTACGCTTAGATTTGAGTGTATCCTTAGATGACAAAACTTCCCAACATACATTGAATAATCTCCACTAGAAATCTGTGTTATTTTTCCTGTCCGTGCTCTGGATTCTTCAAAGTTCTTAAATATTAATATTGGTTAAAATATTAGTATTTATAGAAACTAGATTTCTGTTTTCTTTTTTTTGAGACTGGGTCTCACTGTGTTGCTCAAGCTGGAGTGCAGTGGTGTGATCATGGCCTACTGCAGCTTCGAACTCCAAGGCTCAGGTGATCACCTGACCTCAGTCTCCCAGGTAGCTGGGATTACAGGCCTTTGCCACCACACCAGGCTAATTTTCTTGTAGAGATGGGGTTTTGCCATGTTGCCCAGGCTGGTCTCGAACTCTGGGGCTCAAGCCGTCTGCATGGCTCGACTGCTCAAAGTACTGGGATTACAAGTATGAGCCAGTGTGCCTGGCCGGTTTCTGTTTTCTTTCTTCTCATTTTAAATCTATTTAATCAGAAGCAGCAGTTGCCATACATAGATCAGAGTAATTAAAAATCTATTCTAGAATAATGTAGTGAGTCATAGACTCTTTACAGGTATCCTGCCCCTATTAAAGCTTCCTTAGATGCATCCTTAATGTTTACTGGGCTAGTGTTTACCTGCCTCCACTCTTTCTTTTGAAAATGTAAGAGACCATTGCAGCTGGATAATGGCTTACATTGTCTGCACTAATTGGACTTGCCTTGTATCTCAGAGACTGAGGACTTTAATATTTTTTTCCAAACACTTAAAAGTGACTAGCAAATAACCACTTGAGCTTCATGTTTAATAGATAATCAGAACTCATGCGGCATAGCTAAGGTTTTCTGGATGAAAAGTAAATGCTGTTGGAAAAAAAAAATACAGATGATTAGTTTCAATCCAAGATCACACCCTTGGAAGATGAGAGAAAGAATGAAAAGTACCTGAAATTTTGTTGGTAACAGAGGAGGCATCCTCAAACTATGGCCCTGAGGCCAAATCTGACCCACAGCCTGTTTCTGTAAATAAAGTTTAGTGGTCACAGCCATTCCCATTTGTCATGTATAGTACAAGGCCGCTTTCCCATGACAGCAACAGAATTGAGAGGTTAGGGTAGAGAGCATATGGTCTGCAATGCCAACAGTATTTACTATCGGCACCTTATTATAGTTGAAATATGCCGACCCCTTGGTTAGAGCATTAGGAATAGCATATTATTATTCAGAAGGTTTAGGCATTTAAAAAGATTTAAAGTAAATGAATATAAATACTTTTAATTTTATTTCATGGCAAAACTTATTAATAGCTAACTTGCCCCACATAGATATAGCTGATGTCAGAGACCAACCGCTGTGGGAGCCAGTGTGTCCGTTTCCCCTCATATTTTCTGCTTAGTGACCAAAAGCCCAGCAGAAAAGAGATGAAACAGCAGCTGTAATGGTTAATTTTGTTTGTACTTGGCTAGGCCACGGTACCCAGGTATTTGGTGAAACACCAGTCTGGATGTCGCTGGGAAGGTATTCTTTAGATAAGAATAACGTTTACATTGGTATTAATAGATTCAGAGCAAAGCAGATTACCCTTTCCAATGGGGATTGGCCTCATCAATCAAATCAGTTGAAAGCCTTAAAAGAAAATAGACTTAAAAGAAAATAGCCTTAAAAGACAAAGAAAATAGAGCTCCTGGGAGGAAGAAGGAATTCTGCCTGGAGAGTGTCTTTGCATCAGTTCTTCCCTGGGACCCCGGCCTGTGCCAGCTCTGCAATTTTGGACTCGCCATCCTCCGCAGTCCTGTGAAGCCAATTTCTTTTCTTTTCTTTTCTTTTTTTTTTTTTTTTTTTTGAGACAGAGTCTCAGTCTGTCACCCAGGCTGGAGTGCAGTGGCACGATCTCTGCTCACTGCACCTTCCGCCTCCTGTGGTCAAGCAATTCTTGCGCCTCAGCCTCCTAAGTAGCTGGGATTACAGGTGTGCACTACCACACCTGACTAATTTTTGTGTTTTTAGTAGAGACGGGGTTTCACCATTTTGGCCAGCCTGGTCTTGAACTCCTGACCTCAGGTGATCCACCTGCCTAGGCTTCCCAAAGTGCTGGGATTACAGACATGAGCCATCACACCCCTCGGCCTGACCAATTTCTTAAATCTCTATCTCTCTCTCTCTCTCCGTGTGTGTGTGTGTGTGTGTGTGTGTGTGTATCTTATCATCTTATGGTTCTGTTTCTTTGGAGACCGAAATAGAGCAGGCTTCATTTTAAGTTAAACTTCTTATTCTGAGATAATTGGAGATTTACAAGTAGTTGTAAGAAATACTACAGGGCCATCCAGTGTATCCTTTGCATAATTTCTTCCAATGGTAATATTTTACAAAACCCCTCTCAGTCACTAATATGTTCCCCATCTCTACAATTTTATCATTTCAAGAATGTTATACAAATGGAATGACACAGTATGTAGCCCAGGATTATGGTTTTCATGCAGCGTAGCCACCTGAGGGCGTCATCCAGGTTACTGTGTGTATCAGCAGTTCATTTTTAAAAATTGCTGAGTAGTGTTACATGGTATGGATGAGCCATACTTTTTTTTTAGCCACTCAGCTATTGAAGAAGATCTGTGTTGATGGTAGTTTTGGCTATTACTGATAAAGTTGCTATGAACATTTGTGTATTTCATATGCACATGTTCATAGTGTATGAAATATGCAAATGTTTTTGTGTGTTTGAACATAAATGTCCTTTTCTCATTTAAAAGCACAAGAGAGCAATTGCTGGTCACATGATAGTCACCTGTTTAGTTTTATAAGAAAGTGTCAAACTGTTTTCCGTGACCTCACTAGTGTTTGCTGTCGTCACTGTTTTTGATTTTACCTGTTTTGATAGGTACGTGGTGGTATCTCATTAGCATTAGTCATTTGCGTCGTTGGATAGTGATGTTGCACACATCTTTTCATGTGCTTATTTGCTGTCTGTATATCCTTTGTGGTGAAATGTCTGTTTATATATTTTGCCCATCTTATACCCGGATAGTTTGTGGGTTTTTTTTTTTTTTTTCCTGATGAGGGTTTGTTTTGTTGTGTTTTGTTCAGCTTTTTATTGAACATATTACATAAAAGATTTAGTCAAAAAGACCAAGGCCCATGTCATCGTGGGGCTCCTCAGATTCTCTTTTCTTTGCCCCCTCTTTTTTTCTGAGTGAGGACAGCAGGGTGGAGGGATAGGGTCTCCTGCTGGGGCATCGCTGGTTGTGAGGCAGGTCCCCTAGGCTCTACACAGCAGAGGGGGCTCCTGAGGCTGACATTGGCTAGGCCAGAAAGGTTCACCATTGACACCAGCTGCTTTAATGAGGGTTTTGATTTTCATTCTGTGACTATCACCTCACTGTCCTGCAGAATGAGTGGATGCAGGTGAGCTCAGAGATTGAGGCTGCGTTATGGGTGGGGGCTGGGGAAGTGGCTGCTGGGCGCAGTCTTAGTCACTGGATAAAGAGAAGGCCATACCCCAACAGGTCCTGAGCTTCCTCAGAAGGACCAAATGCCTTAGCAGCAACTGAGGAAAAGGTGCTGTTGAGTTTTGAGAGTTCCTTATGTATTCTAGGTCTCAGTCTTTTGTTGAGTCTGTGGCTTGCAAATGTTTCCTCCCTGCCTGTGGCTTGTATTTTTAGCCTCTTTCCACAGAGCACAAGTTTTAGTTTTGATTAGGTCCAATTTTTGAGTTTTTCCTTTTACGAGAAGGAAAATGGCCATTCCAGATCTTCTGGCAATGGCTTGCGTCTCATCCTTTTAGTGTTACTGCTGTCTTCTAGCCTTAGGGTGTGGTCCAGGTCGAGTCGTGTTCTGTATTGTGGTAGCGCAATAAATCACAGATATGGTGGCTGTCTTGCTCCGAGGAAAAAGGAAGGCAGTGGGTTTGACATAAAGACAGCAGGTTTACAGTGGTTAGTCATCAATTGAGAATGTTGTATAACTTCTTAGACAACAGAAACTTTACGCAGCATCTGTATCTACAAAGAACCAGCATCAAATAGCAGAAAATTGAGTTGTTTTTGTCTATATGATGTTGGTGCAGAGATATAGCTGTGCAATATATTTTCTTGATCTATTCCTTAACTGGATTCTCCTTCAGAGTTGGGAGAAGGTAAACTGAAAGGAGAGACTAGTGGACAGACTGTCCTGGAAATGCAGTCCTCCCAGACAGATGCAGACCTGCAGCTGCTCCACCCAGGCCAGCAGTTGCAGGCATTTTCGCAGCTGCTTTCATCAGTATCTCAACTCAGATTCTTAGGCTCAACCCTTGAAGTGAGCTCAATGGTTATTCTAATTCTTTAATTTATCCAGAGTATCTCTCAACTGCTTATAAATACTTTGAAGATTAAAGCTCCCAGCTCCATGCCTCAGTTATATTGCTTTTCTTCTCAGTAAAAGGTAAGGGTTTGGATAATTTCTAAGTTCCTGTTCTCCTTTGGCATTTCTGAGATCCTGGGATTCACAGTGGAAAGTAATTGGTTTAATTGCCCCAGACTCTGTGAATGAGAGTTCATCTCACTAGCTATCATTGTTTACAGTTGACCAACATGTAGATCTTTTGCCAGGGCCTGAATAATCTTATGAAAAGTTGTCACAGATAGATTCATTCTGTATTCCATCTATCCTGGCTAAACTGGCTAAGCCCTGAGAGCGCCAGCATGGTGCACACCTGATAATGTGATGAAGCCCTGCCAGCAATTTCCACCTTGATTCCTTGTGCCTTCCAACATCCCTGTCTTCCCAAGCATGACTTCTTCAGAGACAGTTCTCAAAAAGTTTCTTAGCAATAAAAGAAATACATTCAACTTAGCTGGTGGATGAGACTTATCTCTAGGGTCAGAATTCAGCCTTATGAGTAACCAGTTTTCCAAACTCAAATGCCCTATTTCTCCTACTTTGGTGTGCATGAGACTCCCTGAGAGAGACTTAAAATGCAAAAACCAGGCTCTTACCTTGGAGGTTGTGATTTATAGTAGCGCCTGCCCTCCCCCGCGCCAATCCATGGTTTTGCTTTCCGTGGTGTCAGTTATACACGGTCAACTGTGGTCTGAAAATATCCAATGGAAATTTTCAGAAATAAACAATTCATAAGTTTTAAACTGCATGTGGTTCTGAGTAGTGTAATGAACCTTGAGTCATTTTACTAGATTCTCCCTGGAACGTGAATCCTCCCATTGTCCATCGGACCCATGCTGTATACGCCACTTCCCTGTTAGCCACTTAGTAGCTGATCAGATCAGGTGGGACAGTATCCTAGTGCTTATGTTCAAGGAATCCTTATTTTACTTTTATTATATTGTTATAGCTAGCTATATAGCTAGCTATAACAATATATTATTAGCTATTCTATTAGTTTTAATAAAAAACTGTATTAGTTTAAAATAGTTATTAGTAACTACTATTATTATCATCGTTTGAGAGAGTCTTACTCTGTCACCCAGGGTGGAGTGCATGATCTTCGCTCACTGCAACCTCCTCCTCCTTGGTTCAAGCAATTCTCCTGCCTCAGCCTCCCGAGTAGCTGGGATTACAGGTGTGTACCACCACACCCGGCTAATTTTTGTATTTTTAGTAGAGACGGGGTTTCACCATGTTGGCCAGGCTGGTTTTGAACTCCTGACCTCAAATGATCCTCTCGCCTCAGCTTCCCAAAGTGCTGGGATGATAGGCATGAGCCACTGCTTCTGGCTTGCTATTAATTATTAATGGCTATTTTATTAGTTTTCTATTAATAGCTATTTTATTAATAGCTATATTATGATTAGCTATTGTTATTAATCTCTTGTTGTGCCTAATTTATAAATTGATTTTTTTATCAGAAGTATGTATGTATGTATGTATAGAAAAAAAATACGTAGACTTGGGTATTATTCATGGTTTCAGGCATTCACTGGGGTTCTTGGAATGTTTTCTGGGCAGATAAGGGAGAACTAGTGTAAAAGGATTTGGATGGGGCTAAGATCTGTGTTTTGAAAAGGCACCTGAAGGCAATTGCATTGCCTGTGGTCCCAGCTCAGACTGTCCTTTTGAAAAAGCCTTAAAGAAACACCCAGAACATTTATCTATATATTTGAATGTTTTTCTGCTATGGAAGTAATATATATTCAACGTAGAAAATTTGGCAAATGGAAAAACACACACACACACAAAACAGAGTAAACACTACCCATAAGCTACCAATAAGAACGTTTACCTCCTCATTAATTTAATTTGGGATGGAGGATAGCATATGGTATTGATTTCATTTCTGTGACCATCCTCCACCTCTTCCTGCCTTCTCTCCCATTCTTTTATTCATTTTCTTTGTCTCCTCCCTCCCTTTCTCTTTTCTGTGTTTAAAATATGTAACTGTATACCCTCCAGTATAATAAATATTCTCATTTGTAGCCTTCTTCCATGTAATGTCCCTTAAATATTTTCTAATATTAGTATTTTTTCAGCAGTGTGCTTTTGAATGTCTATCGTGGTATCAGCAGGCTGTAGGCTTAAGAATATTCTTAACCAAGGTTGATTGAATTCATAGATGTGGAACTCATGGATACGAAGGGCTGACTGTACCTAGAATTTGTGTCTTCATTGTCTGATGCGCCCCTCTTGGGTTTTTCAGCTTCGAAGGAGGAGAGTGTGTGTTCTTCCCACGCAGGCTGGGTCTGCACCAGTCATTGGCTTGGAGCGAAGAGAGGTTGGCAGTAATGGAGGCATGGACAGCACGCGCTGTGTGGGGTGTCTGTTTTAAAAGAATTGCACGTATAAAGCATGTTGATTTGCACATTCTTTATTTTTATTTTAAGGTTTTTTTTTGAGGAGTCTTGCTTTGTTGCCCAGGCTGGAGTGCAGTGATGCGACCTTGGCTTACTGCAACCTCCGCTTCCTGGGCTCAAGTGATTCTCCTGTCTCAACCTCTCCAGTAGCTGGGATTACAGGCGCATGCCACCACACCCAGGTAATTTTTGTATTTTTAGTAGAAATGGGATTTTACCATGTTGGCCAGGCTGGTCTTGAACTCCTGACCTCAAGTGATCTGCCTGCCTTGGCCTCCCAAAGTGCTGGGATTACAGGCATGAGTCACCGTGCCAGCCTGCACAATCTTCGTTGTACCAGCCTTGTACAACTATAGAACCGAAAAGCACAAGCATGTTCCCCCGCGAGGCTGAGGTTGTTAGCTGAAATGTCATGATGCTTTGGGTCTGGGCTACCCCTTTCCCACTTTATTAGCTTGAGCTTGACACTTTTTTCCTCTACAGCTGACTCCAGAGGACTTATAAAATGCTACCTTATCAAGATCTAACTCTGTGTTGTAGGAAAAATAGGCCGTCTTTTTGTCTTCTGCCTAACCATTCAAGAGCATTAACCCTTAAAATGGCCATCTAATTTGGCTTTTAGTAAAAGGAGAAGGACCATTACTGGACTTCAAAGGGGTTGGATTAAAAACTTGTGGAGTCTAGGTTAATAAAAGATTTATTTAGGCAGAGCTTTGCTGGACAACTATTTTGCAAGGAGGCCTCAGTGGACTTCCATGTCTTTTTTGTTCTTTCCTTCCCAATTATGTGAACTGTTGTAATTAAGAAGGCAATAGGATCAGAAGGTCAAACAAATCGTTTTATCTTTTATTTTCCTTTTTTCTCACTATGGGCCAGTGGTCTTATAGTTCTTTTTAATTTTAAGTATTGCATCTTGGCTTTTAAACGTTGGGTTTATTTCGTGAAATCGGGGTAAGCGTAAACTTGCCTAGCCTGTTAAGCACATATACAACTAGTTTTCTTCCCAAGTAGTTGTTGGCTTTTTAAAAAGAAAATCTTTCTGTTAGACATCTTTAGTTAGGTCTGTAAGTTTTGAAGTAAAAGACATGCAATACATTTAATACGTTAATAATCATTACTGATTCTGCTTATAATGTTTCTGATCCTGAGCACTCTGGGCAAGAGCTTTATCTCATGGACTATGAGATTTTTGTTTGTGTGCAGAATGCTTCCTTTTTGTGGAAAACAGAACAAAGACAGGAAAATTTGTCCAAATTATTGAGATTGCATATTGCTCAAGGACTTTTGAAAAGGAAACTTTTTTTGTTTCTGTTTTTGTTTTGTTTTTTTCTAGGGAGTCCTCCATAAACCCCACCTAGTGCTCATCAGTTTTAGGTCCCTAATTGCAGCCATAGGGCCGTGGGCGAGGGAGATCCCGGCTAAATCAGCCACTTTACGTGCTTCGGTTCTGTCCTTTAATACTTAAAGTGGCTCAGTAAGTTTGGGCTCAGAGACTTGGATTTTATTTCTGAATTTTCCTTAGACTGGCCAATTAACTTTAACTTACCTAACTTCTCTGGTGATCATCTGCCTCAAGTGTAAAATGGGAATTGGCTAAAGGATTAAATGATACTCAGTAATGTTTGGAACTGAGGGGCCTTATAGCCAAGCAAAATGTTCCTTGTCCTGGAACTGTAGAATGTAGTGGGGAGATTTCAGGGTCTATGCCATTCTCTTGGCCACCCCGGTATGATTTTCAAGGGCTTTTATTACAGCCTAGAGGAGCTCTTGACTGGGGAACGTTAAGCATCCTTTGGGAGTGGTGGGGGTGGGAAGAATACCACAGGACTGGTGGCACTATCTTACTACTTTATGTACTTGCTTTCCTTTCTTCCCCACTGACTGGACATTTTGGTCATTATTTATTTATTATCATTTGTTTGTTATTTTTTTAGAGATAGAGTTTTACTCCCACCCAGGCTGGAGTGCAGTGGTGCGATCATAGCTCACTATAGCCTCCACCTCCTAGGCCCCAGCAATCCTCCCGCCTTAGCCTCCTCAGTAACTGGGACTACGGGTGGGTGTCGCCAAGCCTGGCTAATGTTTTACATTTTTTTTGTAGAGATGGGGTCTCACTATGTTGCTCAGGCTGGTCTTGAACTCCTGGCCGCAACGGATTCTCCTGGATTGGCCTCCCAAAACACTGGGATTATAGGCAAAAGTCACCATACCTGGCCTCATTATTTATTTTTAATTTTTTGTTTGTTGTGTGAGCTTGGGGCTTTGGGAATAAATAAACTTCTCTAAATTTTCCTTGTGTTTTCACTGAGCAACTCCCACACATAATGGTTGATTTATGGCTAGTATTGAGCTAATATTATTTTCCTTTGAGGCTGCCTCATTTCTCTGAACACTGATTTATTTAATGCTTTCTGAGACACTTCAGTTTGGTGTGGGTCACAATAAACAGAATGCAAACTGGAAGTAATTTAGAGTGAGCTACCGTAGAGATGATTTTATTGCCACAGAGGGTCTTGAGTGCAAGCCAAACTTTGAACTGTGAGCAGACCTCTGCAACGCAGCTGGTGATGGGGTGTGTTAGGATTGAACTTGGGCATAGAACTGCAAGAGCAGTTCCCTAGAATAGCTTGAAATGAATAATCTAAAATGCATAGGGGAAAGTGGTCATAATGTAGGTACATACTAGCCACTGGCTTCCAGAAGGAAGCAGCTGTTATGGTGGCAAGTAAATGATGTTTGGAATTAGACCAGAGTTCTGTTCCTGAGTTCAAGACCTTGGCTAGTCCATTCTCCTTTAAATAAAAATTATTATTTGTAAGATTGGGATGAGAAAGCGTGTGGGATCATTGTGTGATTCCCAGGACAAACTGCATTTGAAAAACATTCGAAAAACCTTCAAGCACTTGTAACATATGTGTGACTTGCTAGTCCTGCCCTCATGGGCTTTTGGAGATTTTTTCATCATTGTTTTATGTGAGTTTACTTGGGCACAGTTGAGTTTCAATTTATGTTAATTACTTCTGAGACTTCTGGTTTGACCTCAAGGAAACCTAGAAAGGTCTAGTAAAAGTGGGGGAAGAGGAAAAATGCAACCTGTAACTTTGCAGGCCATTGCAGGGATGACTCCCTAAGGATCAAGACTAAATAAACTTTTTTCTTGATTGGCTCATGCTTACTTTCTTAACCCCGTCACTTTCCATGCTTGGTTTCAACCATCCTGAGCTCTCTCTTACTTCTTGAACTTGCTGAGCTATCATGTCTTCAGTCCTTGGCACAGGCTATTATTTTCTGAGAAATATGCCTTTCTCCCCATATTTTAACGGCTCCTAACATTCAGCGGTGTTATCATATCCATTTATAGTTATTTTTAACCACCCAAGGCTAATTAGATGTTCAACCCCTGTGTTCCCATAACACCATGAACTTGTCCCTGACAGTCTACTCTGTTTTATTATTGCTCATTTATTTGTCCATCTGGCCTACCAGGCGGTGCAGTCCCAGAGGGCAGGGAATGTGCCCTGCTTGCTGTTATATTTCCAGCATCTAGTATAGCCCTCAGTTACACGGAGTAATTTTGAGGAATATGAGTGAATGATGTGTGAGAGTTAGTTCCCTTGTCACTCAAACACAATGTGTTTTGGCATTCTATTTAAAGTTTCTGGGCTGCCTAGAACCGACTAAACATAACATCTTTGTTTTGACAGTAGACTGTTCACTAAAAAAACGGCAGAGGAAGACTTTTCAAGTTGAGTTTATCATTTGGTGATCCGGTTTCTTTTATACTATGTTGCTATGAAAATGCTCCAGTGGCTTATAAACTCGAGGTGTCTTAAAGATGACCGGGCCCTGTGTCTGTAAAAGCTCATCCTTCACCCATTCATCACATCCCAAATGAAAAACCTTTCAGAGATTGCCTTTCCATGCCTAACTTTTGTTGTGACTGAGCTTAGAGTAAAAGTTTTTGTAACTGAATGTGGCTTCTGGGGAGGAAATAGGGGCAGTTTTATTGTTGTTCCATAAATTAGTCTGATGTCAGACCCCTTGAAACATGAGATAGGAGAAGAATCTGGTTTCCTCTAATGAAATGTTGTGTGCTTGTGGCTTAGTAAGAGGTGCATTGATGGAAAAACATTAAGTAGGAATACAAAAGGTAACACAATGAGAGAGATGTGTTGGTCAGCATTAAAAGATTCTTGGGGTCTTGCGCGGTGGCTCACACCTGTAATCCCAGTACTTTGGGAGGCCGAGGCGGGCGGATCACGAGGTCAGGAAATCGAGAACATCCTGGCTAACACGGTGAAATCCCGTCTCTACTAAAAATACAAAAACAAAATTAGCCAGGCGTGGTGGCGGGCGCCTGTAGTCCCAGCTACTAGGGAGGCTGAGGCAGGAGAATGGCGTGAACCCGGGAGGCAGAGCTTGCAGTGAGCGGAGATCGTGCCACTGCACTCCAGCCTGGGTGACAAAGCAAGACTCTGTTTAAGAAAAAAAAAAAAAAAAAAATTCTTGGGCCAGGCGTGGTGTCTCATGCTAGTAATCCCAGCACTCTTGGAGGCTGAGGTGGTAGGATTGCTTAAGCCCAGGAGTTCAAGACCAGGCAACATGGGGAAACCCTGTCTCTACAAAAAATACAGTAAGTTAGCTGGGTGTGGTGGCGCATGCCTGTAGACCCAGCTGCTTGGGAAGCCGAGGTGGGAGGATCACTTGAGACTAGGAGGTTGAGGCTGCAGTGAGCTGTGATCATGTCATTGCATGCCAGCCTGGGTGACACTTCAGTTTGGTGTGGGTCTCAATACACAGAATGCAAACTGGAAGTAATTCAGAGTTGTTGATTTCAAGGCAAAAAAAAAAAAAAAAAAAGTTATGATTGGCTGGGCGTGGTAATCCCAGCACTTTGGGAGGAAAAGGTGGCCAGATCACCTGAGGTTAGAAGTTCGAGACCAGCCTGGCCAACAAGGCGAAATCCCATCTCTACTAAAAATATAAAAATTAGCCGGGTGTGATGGTAGGCGTCTATAATCCCAGCTACTCGGGAGGCTGAGGCAGGAGAATCACTTGAATCCAGGAGGCAGAGGTTGCAGCAGTGAGCAGAGGTTGCAGTGAGCCCTGATTGCACCACTGCACTCCAGCCTGAGTGACAGAGCGAGACTCCGTTTCAAGAAAAAAAAAAAAAAAGTTAAGATGACAGCAGGAATAAGGGGGAGGTCGGGAAGGATTCATGGCCTAAAAAATTACACTTGATTTCACACAATGTCTCTGTGAACTTGTTTCAGAGATAGTTATTCAGTGAAATGATTGTGATGTTTGGTATGGGTGAAAAGAAATATTTTGATGTAGTCTCCAAGGTAGGTGAAATTTTTTCTGAAATTTAAGAAATGTTGATTTCACTCATTCATTCATTTATCTCATTCATTTAATAAATATTTATGGAGTGCCAATTATGCTAGACATGGTTCCAGGTGCTAGAGATAGAACAGAGAACCAGAGACCACGTATTTATAACATGTTTCATTTCCTGTGATGATTTATATTATCTCACTGAATTTTATCCTAAACAAATAAGTTTGTATAACCTCTTGTATGACAAGAAGTGAAGGAAATGAATGCAGTGCAACATTATCCGTAGTTTCTGTTACTGAAGTTTAATTTTAAACATTTACTTTTTATCTGTGTATAAGTCATGATTTTTCAACCTGTCACCAACCTTGGTGACACTATTGTCTTTAATGTGTTGTATGAAACATACTAATACCTCATTCCGTCCAAGAAAAGGGGGAAGAATGAAATCAAATTGGTAAATAGGACCCCTGTATGTTAGACACTCGGTTTTCTGTAGCTGTGAGGAAAGCGCCCTCTTGTGGTTATATATGCTTCTCCTACAAATACTTCTTAAAACACCTACTTCCTTAAATAAAAATTACTTAGTAAGTAACTCATGAATACATATGGGATACAGAAGTTAAATCACATTTTAAATAGCGGTATTGAGATATAACTAATATGTCATACAATTTATTCATGTAACATGTACAATTTAGTATTTTTAATAGATACACAGCGTGTGCGACTATCAGTATAATCTAATTTTAGAACATTTCTGCCCTCTCCAAAAGGAATCCTATATCCATTAGTAGTCATTTCCTTCTCTGCCCTCCACCGCCACCCTCTCAAGCCCTAGGTAGCCACAAATCTCTTACAGATTTGCCTATTCTGGACATTTCATCTAAAGGGCATTGTAAAGTATGTGGTCTTTTGTGATGTGCTACTCCACCTTATCTTGTTTCAGGATTCATCCATGTTGTAGCATGCATCAGTGCTTCATTTCTTCTTCCCAAATATTATTCCGTGGTTTGACTATACCACATTTTTTTTTTTCTTTTCTTTTTGTTGTTGTTGTTGTTGTTGTTGAGACGGAGTCTCGCTCTGTCGCCCAGGCTGGAGTGCAGTGGCGCGATCTCGGCTCACTGCAAGCTCCGCCTTCTTGGTTCACGCCATTCTCCTGCCTCAGCCTCCCGAGTAGCTGGGACTACAGGCGCCCGTCACCGCGCCCAGCTAATTTTTTGTATTTTTAGTAGAGACAGGGTTTCACCGTGATCTTCATCTCCTGACCTCGTGATTCGCCTGCCTCGGCCTCCCAAAGTGCTGGGATTACAGGCGTGAGCCAACGCTCCTGGCCCTACCACATGTTTTTTATCCAGTCATCAGTTGATAGGCATCTGGGTTGTTTCCACTTTTTGACCTCTTATGAGTAATACTGCTATGAATATCCACGTACTAGTTTCTGTGTGGACATATGTTTTCATTTCTCTTGTATGCATACCTAGAGTGGGATTGCTCCTAGGAATGTGGTAACTCCATGTTTAGCTTTTTGAAGAACTCCCAGACTGTTTTCCAAAGTGGCTGTACTATTTTGCATTCCTACCAGCAATGATGAGGGTTCCAATTTCTCTGTGTGCTCATTACTCCTTGTTATTGCACCTTTTTTTTTTGAGATGGAGTCTCACTCTGTTGCCCAGGCTGGAGTGCAATGGCACAATCTCAGGTCACTGCAACCTCCACCTCCCAGGTTCAAGGGATTCTCCTGCCTCAGCCTCCTGAGTAGCTGGGATTACAGGTGCCTGCCACGATGCTCAGCTAATTTTTGTATTTTTAGTAGAGATGGGGTTTCACTGTGTTGGTCAGGCTGGTCTCGAACTCCTGACCTCAGGTGGTCCATCTGCCTCGGCCTCCCAAAGTGCTGGGATTACAGGCAAGGGCCACCACACCTGGCCTGCACTTTTTTTAAAATTAATTTTTTTTTTTTTTTTTGGTACAGGCTGGGTGTGGTGGCTCACACCTGTAATCTCAGCACTTTGAGAGGCTGAGGTGGGCAGATTGCTTGAGCCGTGGAGTTTGAGGCCAGCCTGGGCAACGTGGCAAAACCCCATCACTACTGAAAATACAAAAAAAATTAGCTGGGCATGGTGATGCACGCCTGAAGTCCCAGCCACTCGGGGAGGCTGAGGTGGGAGGATTGCTTGAGCCAAGGAGATTGAGGCTGCAGTGAGCTCTGATCGTGCCACTGCACTCCAGCCTGGGTGGTGACAGAGTGAGACCCTGTCTCAAGACAAATTTTTTTTTTTTCTTTCTGGAGACAGAGTCTCATTATGTTGTCCAGGCTTGTCTTGATCTCCTGGCCTCAAACAATCCTCCCACCTGCCCTCTCAAAGTGTTCGGATTACAGGCGTGAGCCCCTGTGCCTTGCCTTATTTTGCCTTTTTGATTGTAGCCATCCTAGTGGGTGTGAAGCGGTGTCTTGTGGTTTTGATTTACATTTCACTATTGTGTAATGATGCTGAGCATGTGCTTCTGAGCTTATTGGTCCCTTGTATGCCTTCTTTAAAGAAATATCTGTTAAAATATTTGTCCTATTCTTTCTTTTTGTTGTTGAATTGTAAGAGTTGTTTTTTTTTAATACATTCTGCACACTGGACACTTATTAGATATGTGATTTGTAAATATTTCCCCCAGTAGGTTGCCTTTTCACTTTCTTGATGGTGTTGTTTGCAACACCAAAGTTTTTCATTTTGATGTCATCCAACTTCTCTTTTTTCTTCTTTTTTTTGTTGTTGTTGTTTTGTTTTTAAAGGTGCTTTGGGATTATATCTAAGAAACCATTGCTTAACTCAAGGTCATGAAATTGATTTTTCTCTTTTTTTTTTTTTAAGAGTTTAATAATTTAGCTCTTACATTTAGGCTTCTGATCTGTGAAATGACTTTTCACAGATGGCCCAGTACTAATAGTGTCTGGCTCAAAGGTTGTGAGGACTTAATAAGATAACACTTATATTGCAAACATATTAAAAGCTCAGTAGATGTTAACTGTTGTAGGTATTACACCTGAAAACAAATCAACTTGACTAAACAGAGTCCTTCAGTATATTATGTTTATACCTAAGCTACAGTGTTGAAAAATGAACCTTTCATCTAACTTTTTTTTTTTTTTTTTTTTTTTTTTTGCTTAAGAAATCCATATACTTTAAAAAATAGTTTTTATTCTCCTTTGGTCCAGAAGGGTTAGGAACAATAACTCAGTAGTTACTTCCTGTATTAGTTTCTTATTTGCTGCTGTAACACTTTTTCACAAAGTGAGTGCCTTAACACACATGTACTTATTATCTTACAGTTCTGACTGGTGATGCTGGGCTAAAACCAAGTTGTCACAGGGCTGTGTTCCCTTCCTAAGGCTTTATGGGAGAATCTGTTTCCTTGACTTTTCCAACCTAAGGACATTCCTTTCCTCCATCTTCAAAGCCTGCTAGCAACGTTGTATCCTTCTGTGCCATTCATCTACAGTCTTATCTTTTACAGATGCTTATGATTATATTGGGCCCACCCAGATAATCCTATTTAAAGGTCACCATAATTAGTGACCTTAATTCCCCTTTGTCATGTAACATAGTCACAGGTTCTGGGAAGCAGGATGGGGATATCTTTGGGGTGATTATTCTGCCTATTATGCTTACTAATGATAATTTCTACAATCTGTGATTGACAAGTGTTTCCCTTTGATAGTTAGGGTCTCTAGACTTGGGACATGTGATAAATGGACATGAAATGCATGCCATCCCCCAGAATATATGGGAAAGTGAAATCTACCAATCTGCTCAGGAGACCCCTCTGTTTACCAGCGAGTCTGTTTTTACAGAACAATCTTAGGTTTATAGTGAGGGGGGGTTCCCCAGTCAGATGGTTCAGACTTCCACTGACTGACTTCAGGAAAGCTGCCTGTACTCTCTGTGTTTGCGTAGTTGCAGAGTCAGGGTGATGGAGATTAATGAGAGAATCAGTAGAAACCTTTAGCAAATCTCTTCCGTGGTAGCTGTTATTATTATAGATGTTGCCATTATTGGCCAGAAGCTATTTAGGATCTTGTAATGGCCTCTCAGCCATGAGATGAAAACTGAATTATCTATAATACGAGTTTAATGTCAAGTCAATTTCATTATATCTTTGGTCTTTGAAAAGCGGCAGTTGCTATATAATTTGTATAATAATTTTTTAAATGAATCTATTTCTGTGAAACAAACCACTACTGTATTTAGTTTTAAAAAACCTATTCCATGCAGCAAACCACCACGTACGTGTTTATATATAACAAACCTGTACATCCTGCACATGTACTCCGGAACTTAAAAAAAAATCTATCCATTTCCTGATCAAGGTAGATAGGCATTTGCGAAGATGAAACAATCAAATGTTCAGATGATCAAATGGAGCCATTAGCAACTACTGCCTAGCACATGTAAGTATACTCAATGAATGCTGTCAGATATCTTGTATTGTGTCAGTATCTGTTTGGGAAGGCTCTGTGTGCAGGTACTATTCTGTTTTCCATCCGAACTTTTAACTTTTAAATTTTGTTCTTTTTTTTTTTGAGACAGAATCTTGATCTGTCACTCAGGCTGGAGTGCAGTGGCATGATCTTGGCTCTCTGCAGCCTCCGCCTCCCAGATTCCAGCAATTCTCCTGCCTCAGCCTCCTGGGTAGTTGGAATTACAGGCATGAGCCACAACGCCTGGCTAAGTTTTATATTTTTAGTAGAGATGGGGTTTCACTATGTTGGCCAGACTGGTCTGCCTGCCTTGGCCTCCCAATGTGCTAGGATTATAGGCGTGAGCCACCATGCCCAGCCCATCCAAACTTTTAAAAAATACAATATGCAAAGTAGTGAAACATAAAACAGAAAAATCACCCGTAGTCATGGCCCTTACATAGTATACCATAAGCAGTGCAAATCCCTTCTTCTGCCCCATGTGGGCTAGATTCTTTTCCTTCTCATCAACCCCCTTCTGTAACCCATGGTTGATAATGTGGTGGCCATCCTTCCTTAATTTTCCTACGTTTTTTATAATCAAGTCTGCAAATGAGCATAAACTGTATAGGGGGCTTATTCATCTGTTGGATCAAAGTAATGATTTATTTTTAATGTTAAAATTTTTTTTCAAAAATGGATTCTTCACTCAAAGAGGAAACTTTAAGTCAGCTGTTAACCATTTCTGACCCTGTGTAATATTGAGTTTGAGTATTGAGACTTTCTGTGAATACATATGCAAGTTAGCTCTCCAGGGCTCTTCTCTCAATAGTTTTGGACCTCATTGTTAGTCGTTTGAATCTCCTTAGTACTGTGGTTATAGAACTTTTGCTTTAAATCTTCTTCAGTGCTTTTGCAAGTATTTAGGCCAAGTTGGTAATTTCAGAATTAAGCATTGACTGAAATTAATCAGTATATCTTAAGATGACAGCATAGGCTGGGCGTGATGTGTCACTCCTGTAATCCCAGCACTTTGGGAGATTGAAGCGGGGGGATCACTTGAGCCTGGGAGTTTGAGACCAGCCTGGGCAACATGGCAAAACACAGTCACTACAAAAAGTACAAAAATTAGCCAGGGCTGGTGGTGCATACTTGTAGTCCACAGCTACTTAGAAGGCTGAGGTGGGAGGATCACCTGAGCCCACAATGTCCAGGCTGCAGTGAGCCGTAATTGCACCAGTCCACTCCAGCCTGGGCCACAGAGTGAGATGATGTCCCCCCTGCCCTTCCCCCCCCAAAAAATTGATAGCATGTTCTCAGATCTCAGGACCACCCCCTTTTCAAGTTTGTCAAATGTGTTAGGAAACTAAGGACTGTGTTACAAGTGTCATTTTTTTTTCTTTGTTAGTGCTGTTATTTTCATGATAGTAAATGTTCCCATCACATGTAATCGATAACAGGAACTAGCTGGTAAGAAAAAGGTTAGAGTTACTTGCTACTGCTTTTGCTTAACAGCATACTCGTCACTTTCCAAAGATAGATCTTTTTTGGAGACCTTAAGGAATCAAGATCTTTCTCTCCATGGTGCGAATAAAATTCATTAGACTATTAGACTGTTACTTTAAAAGAAGCCTTGTGTTGCCACAGGAGAACTTTTCATCTAAGTAGACTTATAAATCTTTAGTTGAGTTTTTCTGGGAAGGGGCAGAGGCTATCAAATTAGGGGATAAATCTGTCAAGCGATTGTGCAATTCTTGGTCTTAGAAAGTTCTGAGATTCAACTTTACCTTTCTAAAGTTTGCTTTTTAAATCATCTCACAGTTCCTTATGCAAGAACACACAGGCAAAGAAAACTGCATTGCTGGGTTGAAGATGAATTATTTTTGGAAAAAAGTTGAGTGCTTTAGTGTATGGCATCTGATATAGTCCCCTCCCGGCCCTTCTTACCTTGGGCTGAGCCCTTCCAGAAGCAAATTTGGGACTTGCTTGTGTTCTCTTGAGACCAGAATATTCTATTTGTGCACATTTACATGGAGAAGAGGGCCACTCACATTAACGCTGCCAGAGCCCTGGGTGTGATGGAAGAGGTCATACTGGCAGTAATGTGTACTGAAGCGTAAACTTAATAGTGAAGAAAAAAAATGAGTGAGGCTAAGTGGTTATTCCTGTGGAATTCTAGAGCATGACTAAGCAAAGTACAACTTTTGGAAAGTCAAAAAATTTTCATTTTGTGGGTTGCTACAGGGTTTCTTTTCCTATGCACTGGTGACATTTTGGACTGGATAATTCATTGTCTGGGGTTTGGGAGCAGGCAGCTGTTCTGTGTGTTGCAAGTTATTTAGCAGTATCCCTGGTCTCGACCCCTAGATGACACTAGCACCTTCCTAATTGTGATAACCATTAATGTCTCTGGACATCCCCAAATGTCCCCTGGGGGGTATAACTGTCCCTGGTTGAGGACCTCTGGAGTATATTGGAATCTTTGGAAAATTATTAATAGGAACTTGATCCAAGATGCGAGTTGTCTTTTTAAAAGTCATTAAAAGTGAAGACACATTTTGACTGGCTTCAGTCATCTTAGTATTTTTCTGTTTGGCAAATATTAAGAAGTTGGGCAGAAATCTAGAGTCAAAAGCCAGGTAGGTCTAAGTTTGAACTGTGGCTCTTTGACCTGAGTGGTCCTGGCAAGTTGCTTAACTGCTGTTTCCTCACCTGTGCAATTGAAGTCATGGTCCCCATCTTCTGGGTGTGGAGTGAGGACACAGATTGCATATGTAAAGGGCACTATATGGGGCTTGGAATGTGCTGGATATTCAACAAATGTTATCTTCCCTTTGAACCCTTCCTGCATTTCTCAAAAGACTTATTTATTTATTTTTTTTTTTTTTGAGACAGAGTTTCACTCTTGTTGCCCAGGCTGGAATGCAATGGCACTATCTTGGCCCACTGCAACCTCTGCCTCCTGGGTTCAAGCGATTCTCCTGCCTCAGCCTCCCAAGAAGCTGGGATTACAGGCACCCGCCACCATGCCCAGCTAATTTTTGTATTTTCAGTAGAGACAAAGTTTCACCATGTTGGCCAGCCTGATCTTGAACTCCTTACCTCAGGTGATCCGCCAGCCTTGGCCCCCCAAAGTGCTGGGATTACAGGCGTGAGTCACTGCACCTGGCCGAACTTTTCTTTTTAAATTAATATTTTCTTCATTAAGTTAGTGCTGTAAACTGTGTATCACATGGCTGTTGTGGGGCTTTAAAGAATACAGTATCTAAAATGGCCTAATATGATGTATGTACTCATTAAGTATTTGATGTCTGAATAAATGATGCCCACCATATGAATTATTATGCATACCTATTTAATCATGATTTACCACACTCTCTAATAGAACTATAGTAGTGTTAGTTAGGATTATTGATTGTTTACTGCATGCCAGTTTTCTTGCTAAATTTTTTATATAATTTAATTTAATCTTTCACAGAAAACGTATGCAATGGGAACTATGATAATTCCATTTACAAATTGTTCACACGGAGGTCCAGAAATTACACAGCACTGCAGTCAAATAGGTGGGATTTGAAACCAGCTATATACATTTGTTTTCTATCTTTTAGGAGACCGAACATATTTTTCTTTTCCCTTTTCTTTTTCTTTCTTTCTTTCTTTTTTTTTTTTTTTTGTGATAAGAGTCTCACTCTGTTGCCCAGGCTGGAGTGCAGTGGCACAACAATCATGGCTCACTGCAGCCTCAACCTCCCAGGCTCAAGTGATCCTCCCACCTTGGCCTCCCAAAGTGCTGGAATTACAGGTGTAAGCAACCGCACTTTGCCATGAGCACGGTTTTCAAGTCCATTTGGTATTTATGCCAAATATAGTCCCTTTATTTTAGTAAAATGGTGATAATGAACCTGATATTTATTTGTCAGTACTTACTTTTTTTCTTGACACATAGTATTTTCCAGTCATTCGTCTAAGTACATCACAAATGGTGACTAATTTAACCCTCACAGCAACCACTTGATTAGGCACTGTTAGGGTCTCAATTTTATAGATGAGAAAACTGAAGCCCAGAGAGGCTAAGGAACTTCTCTGAGGTCACACAGCTAGTGAGCACATTATCTGTATGTTTGCTTCTCAAAAGTCGAATATTTCCCTTAATAAATATAATTTTAGAATCCAGAAAGTCTTTGAGTTTTCACTGTTTGCGTTTTGTTCATACATTCTTTATCCTTGCACATGCTCACTTACCCTACAGTCCATCTACCCACAGCCTTGGTTGGGCATCTGCTATGTTCCAGGTGCTGTGCTAGGCCCCAGTGCCCTTCAGGGAGATGAAAGATGAAAGCAAGGAGAGGGTAGAAGAAGGTTCCTTGTTGGAACCTGTAGTATAATAGAAATAGGGAGCCCTGTTCAGTGCAGACATAACCAGGGTATGAATGAAGCAGCCAGCGATGGATAGAAACAAAAGTGGCTGAGATGCAGAAAAGTCTGATGGAAGAGATCGAATGACTCTTTGTTCATGAATCACACAAATCACACAAATGTCTTTCAGCTGCTCCAGGCTGGAGGCCTGTGGATTCATGTTTTACATTAAATTCGTGGTTATTCTGTGTGTGTGTTGCGGGGGGAGTACCGTTTTCTGTTGCTGTCATGAATTCTTTTTCATTGGGATGCCTGAAAGCTGGCATTAATTATTGTAGTGGTATGTCTACCCAGAGATTTCCTGCAGCTGCCTGGAAAACCAGATATTCGAGGAGAGCCAGAAAATCACCCCAGATGTGTTCTATTACAGTTTAGAAATCAGCCTGTACAAAACTGATGTCCAATTTATAATTTAATATATTTGACAAGATCTCTTTTTATTATGTGTTTAAATAAGGGTTACCATTTTTAAAAATTGTGTTTCCTGGGACTCAGAGGCTTTGAAAAATTTTTGGAAATATATCTTCCATTCTCTTACCTAATCACTTTTTTTTGACATTAATATTTGTGTGGCCTTTTTAAAAAAACAATTGAGAGTAGGATTTAATTAATGGAATGTAAAACATTCAGAAGCCATAAAAAAAAAAAAAAAGAAACCCAACTATATGCCAGTAGTGTTTCATATAGCAAGTAGTAAAGAATGCTACATTGATTTTTAAAATACTTTCTGCACCACCTATGTAGAAGACAGGAGGATGAGCTATTTCAAAAGGAGTGGCAAAAATTGCAAACTAAGTAGGAAGGACAACAAAAAATTCTTATAGTAATTTATTTGACTAGATTTGGGGCACACTAAGTAAGTACGGGATTTATGGCAAAAATGTTTGTTTAATGTTTTTGTTTTGCAAATAATTTAAATTCATCAAAGAATAATTAGAAACTTTTTTTTTTTTTTTTAAAGACAGGGTCTCACTCTGTGACTGAGGCTGAAGTGCAGTGATGTGATCATGGCTCAGTGCAGCCTCAGCTTCCCAGGTTCAGGTGATCCTCCCACTTCAGCCATTGCATAGCTGGGACTACAGGCATGTGCCACCATGTCCAGCTAATTTTTTATATTTTTGGTAGAGACATGGTTTTGCCATGTTTCCCAGGCTGGTCTTGAACTCCTGGGGCTCAAGCAACCCGCCCACCTCCGCCTCTGAAAATGCTGGGATTACAGGTGTGGGCTACTGTGTTTGACCAGAAACCACTGTTAAAAAGAACTATATAGTATCACCTTTCATAATCATAGTTAATACTTTGGTGTATGTAACTGCACATTTTTTGTCTGCATATCCATTCACATAATGGACTATGTTTTCTTTAAGATGCTTTTTTTTTTTTTTTTTTTTTTTTTTGGCAGAGTGGGTGAGAAGAGAAAAAAACACTTAAAAAAATTTTTTTTTTTTTTCCAGAGAAGGTCTCACTCTGTTGCCCAGGCTGGAGTGCAATGGCACAATCTAGGCTTACTGGAACCTCCAAGTCCTAGGCTCAAATGATACTCCTGCCTCAGTCTCCCAAGTAGCTGATACTACAGGCATGTATGACAATGCCTGGCAAATTTTTTTGTATTTTTTTGTTGAGATGGGGTTTTGCCATGTTGCCCAGGCTGGTCTGAAACTCCTGGACTCAAGGAATCTATCTGTCTTGGCCTCAGAAAGTGCTGGGATTACAGGTGGGAGTCACCACGCCCAGCCTGAAAATACTTTGTTATATTCATAGGATTTCAGAAATTTTAGAATTAAAAAAATGCATTTGAGATCAATCAGTCTGTAGGTTACATTCATGTGGCTCTTTGGGTTGATAAGAATGATGATGATAATAAAAATAGCCAATATTTATTGAGCTCTTATTGTATGCTGGGTACTATGAAATTCATATACATTGTCTTGTTTCACTACTATCCCATGATGTTGACAACATTTTTATCCTAACTTTATAACTGAAGCTTAGAAAGGCTAAGTAATTGACTCATGTAGCTATCAATAGTGAAGACAGAAATCAAAATCTTCTCCCTATTGCCTAAGGCGAGTTAGTGTATCTTAGAACCCCTTGTTAGGCACAGAACATAGGCCCAGTACTAGTTGGCTCTTTGGTTGAATTTCTTGTTTTCCTCTTACTTAAAAATCACTTGTGATCTATATGTTCCATGTACTTGTTCATCACCAAATAGGAAAACATTTTGTGTATGCCATTTCTCTTAGGCAAGCAGATGTGAAATGTCAGGGTTAAGAATGGGTGCACAGTATATCCATAAACTATGTGAACAAAAGCTTGGTAGACTCTGAGTTTTTAGGGGACACAAGCCAACAGGATTATAAGGAAAGTATGAAAGCACTTATTATGAATTCTTTTCCACCAAAACCTGGACATTCAAAATAAGGAGAATTTTGCCCCAGGAAGATTTTGAATATATAACAAACATGGACTTCAGAAACTAATTATCCAAGAGGGATACAGGACACAATTTTTGCTCATTTCAAATACATTTTCAATAAATTCATGGGTGAAAAACATCACAGGAAGATGGTGGAGACAACAGTGGTATTAAGATAAGTATCTTCCACGCCTTTGACAGTAACATCAAAGATGATAACTACCATTTCACCCTGCTCAGGACTTCTTTGCTTGTGTAAAACAGAATTTTGGTTTAGCCGGAATTATATGTCAGTTATAGAAACTCATAACCAGGAAAAGTTTCACCCAATGTTAGAACAAAACCTTATTGTTAGCAATTAATTTTTTTTTTTTTTTAACTAGCCAGTGGATCTGGGGCTATGGAAACAGATGCCCATGTGCCACTTAGTTACTGGGATGGTTAGCATTATGGGAATCTGTAGTGTGTAATTTCTGTAATAAACCTGTTTATCCTTTGGAATTTTTTTCTCTTCCTGTGAAGTTTCCTTCATATCGTTCCCGGGAAGAAATTGTTCTAATTTGTACCTTGTTCAGCAACCACAAGTAACTTGTATTAAAAGGAAAACACAATGAGATATAAAAATTTTAATCTTTATATCGAATTAAAAAAGTCATTAAAATGAAAGACTCAAGTATGATTAAGGCATAAACACTCGAATCAAGGCAGTCTGAGACACAAAGAAAGCAAATTAGAGTACAGTTACATTTTCCTTCTGAATTCACCATGTTCTCCAGAAGGTAGGCTTGTGAACTTCCAGATGATAAACAAGGAGACTGTAACTTAGAATTCCAAGGCATATACATTAGCATCACAGCCAGACAATCCGAGTGATATGGATAGACCTTATGCTAGTGTATTCTGAGTTTACCTACCAGTGATCCCACCCCCACTCTTTTTTGTCTTTTTTTTGAGACAGTGTCTTGCTCTGTTGCATAGGCTGGAGTGCAGTGGCCCCATCATAGCTCACTGCAAACTCCACCTCCCAGGCTCAAGTGATCTTCCTGCCTCAGCCACCTGAGTAGCTGGGACTACAGGCATGCACTGCCATGCCTGACTAATTTTTTAATTTTTTATGGAGATGAGGTTTCACTGTGTTGACTAGACCAGTCTTGAACTCCTGGGCTCAAGTGATCTTCCTGCCTCAGCTTTCCAAAGTGCTTGGATTACAGGTGTGAGCCATGGTGCCCGACCCCCTACTCTTAAGGTTGTTAATCTTTTGGGGGTGTTGGCTGTTGTTTTAATATATTACTCCTACATCATAGTGATTCAGGGTTGGTGAGAACTTGAGAGCTCTTTTTCTACTCTGTCAGGTACTTTTATGAATACTTTACATATATGATTTCATTTATTTCTTACAACAGTCCTGCCAGGCAGGTAGAGTTTTTTTGCCATTTACCAGATGAGGAAACTGGTCCGTGGTAGATCAAAGAGGACGCTGGTGTGAGGTGGAGTCTGTATCTTCACCCAGTTCTGCAGACCTCATGACCTCTGTGCTTCCTGGTAACTTTCATCTGGTAGTCTTTCAATTCTTGCCTCCTCCCATTGCTTCCCCTCCTTAAATTCACATGCTGTTAATTGCTTTCTGTGCATCTTTTCTGTCATTTGTAAATGCAAGAAATTCTCATCAGCCTGTGCAGTAATCAGGAACTGGGTCGTAAAACCAGGTCCCTGGAAACATGTCTTGTCCCAAACTTAGACTCATTTACCTGCAATACTGCCCTCAGTGAGCCTGAAGTTTGTTAGCTTCCTGATTTATGAAGCTTATCCTTATGCTGTCTCGTTTTCCTTTTCTCTGCTCCCTGTTTGCTTCCTCTGTGTTTGCTTCACTCTCACGAAGTGTTCTCCATGTGGCAGCTCCTGGCCTACTTCCTTCTTATGGCTGCTGATCCCAGGGAAAGAGGTGTCCCTCCCTTGTAGCACCATGATCATTCTCTGCAGAGAACTCAGTTGGCTCAGTTAGGTCTTTTGCCTACATTGGTGGTGATTGGCCATCCCAGGTCCCATGCCCACTCCTGTGGTGAAAAAGCCAGGGTCTCATGATGGACAGCTGTACTCAAGTCCCCCCTGAATCAGTGCAGAAGAGACAAAGAAGGAATGGCTTTTCTCTATGGTCTGACAATGTTAACAGGGAGACACAGGTTCATAAAGTCTCTGTTTTGATGAGGAAAGAGGAAATTGGCCCCTACAAGGAAGGGATTGGGCCTAATAGGTTATATTGTTGTCTTTTTTTTCTTTTTCTTTTTCTTGAGACGGAGTCTTGCTCTGTCGCTCAAGCTGGAGTGCAGTGGCATGATCTCAGTTCACTGCAACCTCCGCCTCCCAGGTTCAAACGATTCTCCTGCCTCACCCTCTCCCTGGGATTACAGGCACCCACCACCAAGTCTGGCAAATTTTTGTATTTTTAGTAGAGACAGGGTTTCACCATCTTGGCCGGGCTTGTCTTGAACTCCTGACCTTGTGATCCACCCGCCTCGGCCTCCCAAAGTGCTGGGATTATAGGCGTGAGCCACCGCGCCTGGCCAGGTTATAAAAGATGCCACAGTATTCTTTTAAAATAGTCAAACCATAAATTAAGGTCTTACATGATCTAGCCTCATAGAATGGACTTCAGACTCCAACTAGTCCCTGCTTCTCATAGCATGCTCCATACAGCACTGGGGATTCCTGGGTTAGGCTGAAGGAGAGTCAAATAATGATGAGGCTTATTGAATAAAATTAAATCCATTAGATTTTGTTTTTTATTAAAGGTTTCAAAATTTTTTGTGCTGACTAGCTTATTTGCTTTCTAATGCTAGCAGAACATAAAACATTATAAGCTAAATAGCAAATAACTATTAATCACATTTGGAGAAGGCTGGTTATACCTTATTTTGATAGCTAGTTTTAAACAAATTGCAGACATGTAAACTGTGGTTGTGCTTTTATATTACACAGTTATAAAATTTTCTTTATTTATGATGAAATAAAATATCTCTATGTTTCCCTGTGTTCTGTAAAGAGATACTCACTTGCCCATGGTGCTATACTACCTGAAATAATTAAGAAACACCTTTAGGACTTTCCACCTCATATTCACCTACTATCTGAGCTGATATTTGCTGAGTAATCGTCTTCTTTTTTTTTTTTTGAGACATTGAGACAGATTCACTGTCTGTCACCCAGGCTGGAGTGCAGTGGTGCAATCTCGGCTCACTGCAACCTCTGCCTCCTGGGTTCAAGCGATTCTTCTGCCTTAGCCTCCTGAGTAGCTGGGACTACAGGTGCATGCCACCATGCCTGGCTAATTTTTGTGTTTTTAATAGAGACGGGGTTTCGCTATGTTGGCCAGGCTGGTCTCGAACTCCTGGCCTCAGGTGATCTGCCCGCCTTGGCCTCCCAAAGCGCTGGGATTACAGGTGTAATCTGTAATACCACACCCTGCCCAGTAATCTTCTTTAAAAATAAAATAATTTGCTGGGCGTAGTGGCTTGCGTTTGTAATCCCAGCACTTTGGGAGGCCGAGGTGGGTGGATCACGAGGTTAGGAGATCAAGACCATCCTGGCCAACATGGGAAAACCCCGTCTCTACTAAAAATAGAAAAACAAATTAGCTAGGCATTGTGGCACATGCCTGTAGTCCCAGCTACTTGGGAGGCTGAGGCAGGAGAATAGCTTGAACCAGGGAGTCAGAGGTTGCAGTGAGCTGAGATTGTGCCACTGCACTCCAGCCTGGTGACAGAGCGAGACTCCACTTCAAAATAAATAAGTAAATAAATGAATAATAATTTACTAAAAAAGGATACGCCTATATGCAAACATCTAATATTTTTCTAATGCTCACATTACCTATTAAAAGCATCTTTCATACCTGTCCCTCAGCTCTCATGGTTTGTGAGTCATACTTTGAGAAACACTTGAGGCACACAGGTATCATTTACACAAGAGTAAACTGAGGCATGTAGAGTACCTTGCCCCTATTAAGGGTTGCTGGACATTATCAGAACAAGAGCTGGCCAGTGGGTTTCCTCGTGTCAGTTTCTTCCTGCACGTGGCAGGATGGATGGGAGCTTAAATCACCAATGCCCTACGGTACCTAGAAGGCAACTAAAAGATGAACATATGGTAGCATTTTTCATACTTTTAATAATTAGTGCTTGACCAATTTTGATGAAAAAAGTGGGAATTCTGATGTTAGTTTTCTATGAGACAGTCTTTGGAACTAGGAGAAGTCATAGAGTCTCTGGGAAATGCTGAATGGCCACATAGGCCTTGACACACTGGTTGTATTTCCGCAGGCAGGAGTCTAAAATAAACTCATGGTAAGCAGACAGAGCAGTTTTTGCCAGTGATGTGTCTTCTTCTGCCTCTCTCACCTTTCTTGTCCTCTCAGTAATAAGGTTCATGAGAGCAGTAATAGCATCATGGGCCCAAGATAGCAATCCTCCCAGATGGCACGTAAATCTCCTCATGGTGAATTTTGAAAGTGAACATCTTTGCCCAAGGGCCCTGTTGGATACTGTGACTTTAGTTGGAGGTTTTGACAGGAGAGGCTATCTCACTGATGGTTATTCAAGCTACTTTACTGGGGAAGTGATGCAACAAAGGAAAGCTCTTTCCAGCCACCTTCTATCCGAAAACCTGAACTTGAAGATGCCTTCTCACCTTTTTTGCTTTTAACAGGCACTGTTACATAGAGATAGTAGGCACATTTTTAAACCCAGGTAGACACTTATCTTCCTTGGTGTCCAGAGACACGTGTTATCAACATCTACATCTTATCATCAAAGTCAAATAGGGAATGGTGCTCCATAAAGTATCTTCCCGGCTATGGCTTCTTCATTTTTCAATTGCATGTCCATCACCTTGAAATGCTGTGAAATTGCAGCTTGTACCTGGATGGGGCCTGGGACTGTTTATTTCTAGGAGGCTTTGTGTGATATTGATGAACTTTATTTTTATTTATTTTATATTTTTTTCTTAGAGTCTTGCTCTCTTGCCCAGACTGGAGTGCAGTGGTGCGATCATAGCTTACTGCAGCCTAAAACTCCTGGTCTCAAATGATCTTCCTGCCTCAGCCTCCTGAATAGGTGGGACTACAGGTACACAACATCATGCTCTACTACGCTTATGAACTTTCAGTAGGAAGTTCAAAGTGCATGTGCAATGTGAGCTCATTTTTATAAAAAGATCAAAAGAAAACCAAGTAAAAACCCCATTATATGCATATATGAGGATTATATACCTAAGTAATCATTTGGTTTTGTCTACTCATTATTTATTTTTGTCATCAGAAAAAAACAGATCGACAACTTTTAAAGAATATTTTCCTATTATTTTCTTCAGTAAGAAAGCCAATATTGAGTTCAAATTTTGCAATTTTTTTAAAAAGGCATTTCTTTTTTTTCAGGCCCAGTGGCTTTAAAATTGAAATTCATCTATTTAAGTTACCAAGAGGCTCTTTGCTGGTTTCAAGTTTCAAGGAGTTTCTTAGCACTAGGTTTGCTTTGTCAAAATCCTGGTGGGCTACAGTAAAATGACACTGGAAAATTTGCTTTGTCCCTGGAGTTTAAAGGGGAAAATATTATTCTCTGTACGGAGCAGTTTTTATCTTCTTAAACACATTTTTCACATTTTCTAAAAGATAATGATTTCTTTAAAGTAATGCCACTGTAGTATTTTCTAAAGCAGAGATATTAAAAATTAAATTGTAGGAAGGTTCAAACTGGGACTCCTGTGTGTTCTACCACAACTGGAAAAATCTGAGCCTCCACTGCTGCATTTCATCTTTGCCATTTATTAATAGATGTGAATAAAGTCATTCTACCCATAGCTGGCTGTTATTATGTGAGCCTTGCAGGAGTGATTAGTTTTTTAGAAAGCATTCTAACTTTCTGCTATTTGATTTCAATAGTCTTATTTTTGGTACTTTAGTGAAGCCAAACAATGAAGAAAAAACTTGACTGAGACAAGCAACCTTTGCTTTACCACTTCTTGAATTTAATATGGTGGCACCAGTATCCTTAAGTAATTTCTTTTTTTTTTTGAGATTGAATCTTGCTCTGTCACGTAGGTTGGAGTCCAGTGGCGTGATCTTGGCTCACTGCAACCTCTGCCTTCCGGGTTCAAGTAATTCTCCTGCCTCAGCCCCCTGAGTATTTGGGACTACAGGTGGGCACCACCATACCTGGCTAATTTTTGTATTTTTAGTAGAGACGAGGTTTTGTCAAGTTGGCCAGGCTGGTCTAGAACTCCTAACCTCAAGTGATCTGCCTGCCTCAGCCTCCCAAAGTGCTGGGATTACAGGCATGAGCCACCACACCCAGCCTGCTTAAGTAATTTTTTAAGCAACTTGTGTAAAGGGTTGCCAGTAGGAATAGAATGCTTGCCTATTTTGGTTGTGTTAAAACACAAAATTTCAACAAATTAAGTTTAAAGATCTTATTTGCTTTTAGTAGCAATTCATGAATTGGAGAGCATGACATCCAAAGATTTAGAAAAGGCACTCCATTGGGCATGCAGAATGGTCAGTTTTTATATGATAGCTTAAGCCAGGAACAATGAAATTGCATAATACAAAAAGTGGCTTGGTTTACATTAAGCTACATCAGATTGCTTTTCCTGTAAGGGTTAAAGCAGAGGTGATTTCCCTTTCATGCCAGCTAGAACTGCCTGAGGATTTGGCTGTCATCTTTTTTGTCATTTCTCCTAAGCTTAGACACTTTCATTTTGTTTTGGTGAATGGAACCTTAGCATGAGTAACCCCATTTTGGTTTGGTCTGTTCTGTTGGGGCCTAGTGCAGGAGATCAGTCCATAACAATGGCCTCCTAACGTAAATTTCATGTAACAATTGTCAGAGCTTCATTTAGGGGAAGTTCTTTCTTGAGGG